>NC_000006.12:116282911-116585941 GCF_000001405.40 Homo sapiens
TCAGGGAGTTATTTTGCCATACAG
The DNA here is from genome assembly GCF_000001405.40 of Homo sapiens. Taxonomy (NCBI): domain Eukaryota; kingdom Metazoa; phylum Chordata; class Mammalia; order Primates; family Hominidae; genus Homo; species Homo sapiens. The sequence goes on from NC_000006.12 coordinate 116,282,936, forward strand.
GCAAAGCTGTGGTTGCTATTCAACACAGAATATTGTACTTATTATAGTAGGACTATTACTTGTGGATTTTTTGTTCACCTTTTTGTATCTAAAAAGGCTTAAAAAGGATACCTGTTTCTTTTACATGACACAGGTTATCCTGCTATCTGGGAATTCTCTTTCTGGGTAGATGTTACACATTCTCTAAGACTTACCAAAAACCTGTCTTGCTTTAAAATGTGCTAGGCATTTTACATGCATTAAAGTGTCAAATTTCATAAAAGAGGAAACAGTAACACTGAGAGGCTAACTAACTTTACCAAAGTCATACATAAAGTAACTGGTAAATTCTTTCTCCCTTCTCCTGAGTGCATCTTTCCTAAGTAGCCTATGGCTCCTTAATCTTCCTCACCTGAATTCCTGCAACTCTTTTATGAGCTGCACCATGCAGTTTAGCACTTAATTGTGCTTCTCCTCTTAGGGACTAGTTGATTTATATGTGTCAGTCTCATCATCCCAGCATTCCAGCATCATCTCATGGGATGGGAGCATAGTTGCAGCTTCTTTTGCATTTATTCATCATAGCATGGGGCTCAGGTTTGGGTAGATTCTTTGTTGTTGTTGTTGTTGTTGTTGTTGTTGTTGTTGTTATGGAGTCTCACTCTGTCGCCCAGGCTGGAGTGCAGTGGCATGATCTTGGCTCACTGCAACCTCTGCCTCCCAGGTTCAAGCAATTCTCCTGCCTCAGCCTCCCGTGTAGCTGGGACTACAGACACTGGCCACCACACACGGCTAATTTTTGTATTTTTAGTAGAGAAGGGGTTTCCCCACGTTGGTCAGGCTGGTCTCGAATTCCCGACCTCAGGTGATCCGCCCGCCTCAGCCTCCCAAAGTGCTGGGATTACAGGCATGAGCCACTGCGCCCGGCTAGATTTGGGTAGATTCTTAACAATATTTGTTCATTTGAATAAAATAAACCTCAAATTATCTTACAAAAACAACAGTGTATCTGTACTGGCATATTTTATTTGCAGAGGAAATACATTTTGGCTATGCTTCATATATCACCTTTTTTGCACTTTAAAATATAGGATAAATTGGTCCATGACAGAGCATTTCTGTAATTGACAATAAACTTCACTACCCCCAAAGATAGTTGAATCTTTTCTAATACAGTTCTATGGGAAAACATCTGCAAAAAACCCTGAGGTTTTTCTCCATAATATCAAGGAATCATAGATTCTTTGGGAATGATTTCTCAGGTAGCAAGGAGTTTAGCGGAAGTTCAGACATTTTTGTTTTGCAGAAAGGTAGGTTTTATCATTATAATTAATGATAGCTTTCACTTATTTACTGCTCCTGATGTACCAGCCACTTTTATAAACAACATCCAGTGTGTCACATCTTTTAGTTGTCATAAGAACCCCATGAGGTAATTGCATTTATGACCTTCGTGTTACTCAATAGGAAACTGAGGCAAAGAGAGACTGTCACTTGGCCAAAATGGTACAGAAAGTAATAGACCCATGATTCGAACCCAGAAAGTTTGTCTCAAAAGCCTGTACTCTCTGAACAAGTGTGAACTCACTTTCTTTTTTTTATTATTATTATTATACTTTAAGTTCTAGGGTACATGTGCACAATGTGCAGGTTTGTTACATATGTATACTTGTGCCATGTTGGTGTGCTGCACCCATTAACTCGTCATTTACACATTAGGTATATCTCCTAATGCTATCCCTCCCCCCTCCCCCCTCCCCCAACCTCATGATAGGCCCCGGTGTGTGATGTTCCCCACCCTGTGTCCAAGTGTTCTCATTGTTCAATTCCCACCTATGAGTGATAATATGCAGTGTTTGGTTTTCTGTCCTTGCAATAGTTTGCTCAGAATGATGATTTCCAGCTTCATCCATGTCACTACAAAGGACATGACCTCATCCTTTTTTATGGCTGCACAGTATTCCATGGTGTATATGTGCCACGTTTACTTAATCCAGTCTATCATTGATGGACATTTGGGTTGGTTCCAAGTCTTTGCTATTGTGAATAATGCCGCAATAAACATACATGTGCATGTGTCTTTATAGCAGCATGATTTATAATCCTTTGGGTATATACCCAGTAATGGGATGGCTGGGTCAAATGGTATTTCTAGTTCTAGATCCCTGAGGACTCGCCACACTGACTTCCACAATGGTTGAACTACTTTAGAGTCCCACCAACAGTGTAAAAGTGTTCCTATTTCTCCACATCGTCTCCAGCACCTGTTGTTTGCTGACTTTTTAATGATCGCCATTCTAACTGGTATGAGATGGTATCTCATTGTGGTTTTGATTTGCATTTCTCTGATGGCCAGTGATGATGAGCATTTTTTCATGTGTCTGTAGGCTGTATAAATGTCTTCTTTTGAGAAGTGACTGTTCATATCCCTCGCCCACTTTTTGATGGGGTTGTTTGATTTTTTCTTGTAAATTTGTTTAAGTTCTTTGTAGATTCTGGATACTAGCCCTTTGTCAGATGGGTAGATTGTAAAAATTTTCTCCCATTCTGTAGGTTGCCTATTCACTCTGATGGTAGTTTCTTTTGCTGTGTAGAAGTTCTTTAGTTTAATTAGATCCCATTTGTCAGTTTTGGCTTTTGTTGCCATTGCTTTTGGTGTTTTAGTCATGAAATCCTTGCCCATGCCTATGTCCTGAATGGTATTGCCTAGGTTTTCTTCTAGGGTTTTTGTGGTTTTAGGTCTAACATTTAAGTCTTTAATCCATCTTGAATTAATTTTTGTATGCGGTGTAAGGAAGGGATCCAATTTCAGCTTTCTACATATGGCTAGCCAGTTTTCCCAACACCAGTTATTCAATAGGGAATCCTTTTCCCATTTCTTGTTTTTCTCAGCTTTGTCAAAGATCAGATGGTTGTAGATGTGTGGTATTATTTCTGAGGGCTCTGTTCTGTTCCATTGGTCTATATCTCTGTTTTGGTACCAGTACCATGCTGTTTTGGTTACTGTAGCCTTGTAGTATAGTTTGAAGTCAGGTAGTGTGATGCCTCCAGCTTTGTTCTTTTTGCTTAGGATTGTCTTGGCAATGCGGGCTCTTTTTTGGTTCCATATGAACTTTAGAGGAGTTTTATCCAATTCTGTGAAGAAAGTCATTGGTAGCTTGATGGGGATAGCATTGAATCTATAAATTACCTTGGGCAGTATGGCCATTTTCAGGATATTGATTCTTTCTATCCATGAGCATGGAATGTTCTTCCATTTGTTTGTGTCCTCTTTTATTTCGTTGAGCAGTGGTTTGTAGTTCTCCTTGAAGAGGTCCTTCACATCCCTTGTAAGCTGGATTCCTAGGTATTTTATTCTCTTTGAAGCAATTGTGAATGGAAGGTGAACTCACTTTCTTAAAATGTGTAACCATCATTGATGTTAACTTGATACACAATTTTCTTCTCTCTTCCCTCTTTCCCCTATCCACAAGCATATTAATATAATATTTGTAAGGAAAGTACCCAATTATTTTCTTTCTTTTCAGAGGAGAAGCAGTTATTGATGATCCCCAAATTCAGTATTTTCTCAACTCTATCAGACTGAATGCCATCTTTTTATAACAGATATCTTCTAAAAGAGTCTTTACTTTCCTTAAATGAAATTTATAGATAATATAACCTGCCTACACAGGTAAATAGAAAAACATCAATATAATCACATCATAAAAGAGAAATAAAAGTAATTTATAATATTGTCTATTTTGATATGTAAGGACATTAACATTGCCTACACTGTAAGAAATAGCAAAGTGATTAGAAAGTTATACTTGTTGATATAATCACCATGGATGGAGACTGATATGGGTATGTTTTACCTGTGATTCAAATACCATGGTGATGAGGTTTTCTGAAATGGTGACCCAATCTTTGTTAAGTTCTATAAAAGAAAAAGGAAAAGCTCCCCTTGGTACATGTTACTGTATTTCTTCCATTATAGGAAATACATTTCACATTTCTTAAATCAGGATGTGTCTTACAAGCACTGTCAGCCATGTGTCAGTCATTGCATCATTACCATCATCACTGCCTGAGCATGTGTGTATCCGGTTATTGTTACCAATTTCTGGACAAACTAAAGATCATCTGAAGAAAGAATATGTGCTGTTTGTTGCCTTAAAACTTTCCATTAATCTCTTTGAAAGACTCAAAAAAGTACTGACATCAAAACTTACAATAATTTATGCCTGGCTTGAATTAAAACTCTTCTAGACAGAAGAGTTGAGCACTGTTCTAGGAAATATTGCATCATCAAAACACTTGATAGCAGAGAGGATAGTATTGCTTGGAAAAAAATATGGATATTGACACCTCTGAGCCAAACTTTCAGTAAATTTTGTGAATATGAAGTTTTATGAATACCTTAACAATTTATTTTGCTTTTCCCTTTCCTTTCATTTATTTCCAAGTATGATATTTTATTTCTGTCTAAAGCCTAAAAGAGTTCTTTTTAAAAACATAAAATAATTATGTATAAGAATGCATCATGTCATAGTTTAATTGGCAGTGTTTTTTCTCCTTGTCTTCCTTTCTTGGTGATACTTAAATAATACTTTGTTTTACAATTGATGTCTCAAATTAGATGAAATACCATAATTTCCTTCCTGGAAAGTTTATTGCACATTAAATCAGTGTAAACATGTTTAGTGTTTATATGTAAAATGTTAAATTCGAGGCTCAGATAAATATAAATAGGTTTTCCCTCTGGGAAGGAGAGCATTTTTTGTTGAGGGAGACTTCCCTTGGATAGTATGATATCTAGCATCCATGACACCACCTAATAAAAGTAGCAACTCTCATTTTTTGTAATTACTAAAATTCACATCTACAAACTTCCAAGACATCCTTAAGGAAGGTGCAGCTCCTGCTGAGATTGTCACTTTTAAATACTGCTAGGCATGTCATTCCTATTGATGCTCACTAGAGGGAGCAACTGGTCTTTAAGAAAGTGATGTATCTAGTCTCTGATGGAAGAACTATGGGATGGTCTTTCACTATAAATTAAATACTTTTTTATTTAAATTGAATCACAAACTTTTATTCCCACTAAGCTGTAATTGTTACAATGTATTTTTCTCAGACAAGTTTAGGTTTATTATGATGGCTCCAATACTCAAATTGTTTACGTATCTCATAGGAGCCTGCCTACAAAGTCCCTACGCAGTCATGAATCTGATTTCAAGTTACAGCTCTCCTACTCACTAGCTGTTTGACTGGAGCTAGTCATCTTTCTGAGCCACAATTTCCTCATAGGTAAAATGGAGATTATAATACATATTTCACAAGCCTATTATGAAAATGAAATAAGATATATATAAAGTGTACTATAAGCTTTCAATGAATAGAAGATGGTAATATTATTTGTATTATGCTAAAACTTAGGCATATTAAAGTTAGACTATTGTGCAAGGTATAATCTGGCACTAAATTTTCAATTTCCTGTACACAGCTAACTATATAGAATTTCAGAGAAGAATATAATCCCTGTGGATTAGAGTGGTCAGTGGAAGAAATGAGCCTTGACTTATATTCTGCTATGGGTGAGCATTGAATAGCTTGAGAAAGAAGTGGGGCGTGAGGACATAGTAACCATACTTGTCCACTGCTCCAGCTATTTCAACATGCATTCAAGACCTGCACTGTCCAATACTATAGGCACTAGCCATATGTGTCTATTTTGATTTAAATTAATTAAAATGAAGTAAAGTAAAAAATTCAGTTCATCAGTCACACTAATTACATTTCAAGTACTTATTAGCAACATCTGACTAGTGGCTGCTATATTGGATCTCATGCAACATTTCATCATGGCAAGAAGTTTGTTGGACAACATTATTCTAGACATACAGCATCTTCAAGTGGTGGAAAAAGGTGTAGTTGCTGGAACTAAAATGCCATACCACAGAGGTAGCAGGCACACATTTTATAAGAGTCTTAAGGGAAAAAAACACCTTTTGAAATTCATACTAGCAGCATTTTTGAGCAAAAATTTTGTGTGTTTATAATTGGGAGTATATAAGTAGAAGTACTTATCCACTGGCTCACATAACATAAAAAGGATAATCCAAATATTATGTTGCTTCACTATAAAACTTACATATTTAAAATAAGTTACAAAAATCTGAGCCATTACCCTTCAGAGAGAGGAATGAAGCTAAATGGGTCAAATTCAGGAAGTGTTAGTTGAAAAATATGTGTAATTAAATTAGTTATTTAAATAACCAATAAAATGTGTACTTGGTGGGACAAACCCCTACTGTATTTTTAGTAAGGTAAAATGGTAAGGTATAATAATTTAAAAGAAAATTTAAAAATAATGTACATGAAACAATGAAAATACTTGCATAGATTTTTTAAAGTCACTATGAATCATAGTGATTTGTTTGTTACTATACCAAAAATTCACAGTCAAGCCATTTAATAAACATGACTGTTATATGTGAAAGCATCTCAATATCCTAAGATTAAGCAATTTCATGCAAAGGAAATATTTCTGTGTATTTTTTAGGTAGTATTTAGATCTGCAGCTAAAACCCTTTAAACATTTTGTTAGTTGCCATTCATTTAAAACTCCAGAGCTCATGTATCATACAAAAATATCAGAAATTTCTTTTTTAAATGGAAATATAGTCCTAGGGTCAAAGAACCTTTTCAGAACAACTAGACCTTCATGATAAAAAAAATAAAAATAATAAAAAGTAAAGAAAACCAGCCCTCTTGTTTTAAAACAAAATTCATCAAGGTCATTTACTACTTTCCACATACAAATTGATTCAATATGAAAAGTTCATATTATGGTATCCAGCTTAATACTTTGGTTGTCATAACACTTCATCCATTAGCTGAGAACTCTGCCTTGTGAGTTCTTTGGCTCTGAGACTATATTATAACTTCACTGGGTTTGTAAGCAAGCCATTCTATGCACATCTGTTTTAAAAATGTGACAGGTTGATTTGAAAAATACCATATTTCATTCATCATCATAAATAGAAATATTTATATTTATTGAATATTTACTACATAATAGATACTGTGTTAAATGCTTTTCATATATTATTTAATTGCCTCACCCCTCCATTACATAGGTAGTATTCACCCTGTTGTGAAGATTAAGAAATCCCAGAGATATCAGGTGACTTGCCTAAAGTTACATGACTAATAAGTAATGGAGTATGGATATAAACCCAGTTTATTGGCTTCAAAGCTCTTTGTACTATGCCATGTTGCTTTTCTGATTTCTTGAAATCTTTGACAGTAACCGGGGAACTCAAGGGTTACTGCCACCTATTTTCTAATAACTTCGTTTTCTTGGATCTGTATCATTAGTGCCTAGCACCTAGAAGATTCTTAGGCAGTGTTGGCTGCATTGATTGAATGATTCCACACTGATGGCTAGCTTAAACAGCCATGGAAACTTTAATTATAATATATTAATCTAAACAGGACATATGGTTTTTAGGAGTTAAGTGCCCTCAGGGGAAGCATTTACTAAATGTGGGGCACATTTTAAAAGTAATATCTCCTGCTACTGCTGATATTTCTAAATTAACAGTATTTCTAGATTCTCAGACTTGGGGTTCAGAGATTTCACTTGCTGATTAATTAATTCAAGGATATAAGAGCTCTAGCAAATAAATATTTTATTAATTTGTACTGTTCTACACTCAGGAGCAATTATTGAAAATCAAGGTTTGTTATCAGGAAATACATGAAGTCTTATTTGGAAATAATTCCTTAAAACTCATCCTGAGAAGAGACAATCTGCATCCTTCCCACTTAGTATATCATCTACCCATTTGTGGTCTCTCATAATTGGAAATATTTCCCTAATTCCAAAAGCAGAAAGGAATCCTCTTAACTGCTAACTTCTCTCCCAAAGGGAGAAACTTTTTCCAGCCAACCTCAGTGAAATTGTTGATTGAATGCTGATCCTAGAACTGCATTATGAATGCAAAAAAGTAAACAAAGCACCCATTCTAAGTTTGCTCAATTTTCTGGCCACCACTGTGCTCTGCAATGTCATCTGTAGCACAGAAGATTGGAGGCGTAGACTTGAGACCAGACCACTTCGTCTGTTCTTTCCAAACTCTCTAAATTCAAAACATTTGTTGAGGTTTATGCAGGACACAAGAGTTGTGGGATGGCATACAAAAATCTGAAAGTCATGGACTTTGTTCATTAGGGACCACAGTGTTGTGGAGAAGATAGACACAGAAACACATAATTATAATACCAGATGAAACAAACAATTATAATACCAGATGATACCAATAATTATAATACTAGGAGAGTGTTGTTCCAGCAAGAGAGATGTGGACAAAGGGCTTTGGGTGCACAGAATAGGAAATTTGTATTCCTATATTGATAAGAGAGCTTGGTAAGAATTCAGAGGTGATAATTTTGAGATGAGTCCTAATAAGAAAAATAAAATTATAATAAGAGAGAGGGGGTGAAAATTCCAGGTTGACTAAAATACCCTGAACAAAGACTCAAATACAAGTAGAAGTCCAGCCAGCTTGAGGAAATGACTGAAAGATAGGGAGATTAGTTGGGGGTGATGGTTAGGTAAAATGGAATCTGATAGTTAAAGGCTTTTTATTATACATTATTATATGTTTATGATATATTAAATATAATTATATATATACATATTTGTTAATCCTATGGGTATTAGAGGATATTGGAGGCTTTTAAACAGGGGATTGACATGGACAGTGTCAGAAAATAATATTAATTGCCATATGGAAAATGATGTGAAGGTTATATGATTAAAGGCTGGGATATCAGTTGTGAAGTATTATAAAAATGCAGGCAAGGGTAGATGAGGATATCTTTAGGAATGTAGTAACTGACAACAGAATATGTCAGATAAATTGTAGAACCAATTGAAAAACTAGATATGAAAGTAGACAAGAAGTTAAGGAAGACTGATTTGTTTAGTTTGGGTAACAAGGATGGGTGGAAATGTGATTGAGTTATGGAATACAGGAAGAAGATCGGGTTGTAGTGGGAGGAGAGATCAACAGTTCAGCTACAGACAAGGAGAGTTTCATGTGACTCTAGGGAGATGTTGGGTATTTGTAGATCAGATAGATTTGGGTATTTGTAGAGCAGGAGAAGAGTGGGGTTTACAGTTAGACTTGGAAATCTTGAGTGTTTAGGTGATAGTTGACATCATCAGAGTGGACGAGAACACCAGGAAGACAAGTAGAGGAAGAAGAAAGGAAGGCCAAAAATAGAGCTCTGAGGAACACTGACGTGAAAGAAACAGATGAGGTGGCACAAGTAGAGGAAACTGAGAAATAGCCATTAGAGGTAGGGAAAGAACCAGAAGAGTGTTGTTTCAGTATGCAAGGGAAGAATGGACTTCAGGAAGCTAAGGTTCAAGGGATGCAGCCATATTGAGTGAGATGAAGACTGGGAAGAAAAGTTTCCGAATTGGGCGGCAGCTATACAGCATGGGTGTCTTTAGTGAGAGCAATTTCAGAAAAGTAGCAAGACAGAAAAATTGCAGAGTTGAAAAAATGAATGATAAATGAACATATAGATAGTGTGTGAGGCCAGTTCTTTCATAATTGTCAGTATAGAAAAGGGGAAAGACTGGATGACAAGTTCAAGGAGATGCAGGGTTGAGGGAAGAATGTTTGTAGGGAGCAGCATTGTTGGGAGCAGAGTAAGGATCTGATTATTACACTGAAGTGTTGAGGAAGCAAACAAACAAAAAAAAAGAAAACAAACTGAATGTCAGTAAGTAGAAGAAAGGTTGGATAAATTATGGCATGTTTATACAACTGAATATTACGTAACCTTTAAAAGGAATAAATTGGATCCAAAGTAGTGACCTGGAAAAGCATCCATGTTAATTAGAAAGATGTAAAAGAACATTGCAGACCAATAAGTATATGCTAATTATATTTTAATAAATATTAGCTGACACCCTTGTATCTATATAAATGCAAGAAATATTAAGAAAGGATGTGTACCCAGTTGCCAACAGTGGTGATCTCTGGGGGATGAGGATGGGAAGGGGACTTTAGCTTATTGCTTCTTAGAATTTTAAAGAGAGGTGGTGACATTAGGAATGACTTTTACACATTGGATTTAAAATATTTTTCAGACAAACATTAAAGAAAACCCTCTCATACAATGATGAGATAATTTAACTTTATATAATTAACTACAGAATTCAAAGAAGAAAATAACATAAACGAACACATTTGCTTTAATAAGTTATTGGGCTTGTATTTAAAGCTGAAGCAAAAACATTTGCTCAGATGTGATATTGAGTTCAAGGTGAATTAAAGGTTTTTCCTTTTCTTTTTTTCTTTTTTTTTTTTGACACGGAGTCTTGCTCTGTCACCAGACTCGAGTGCAGTGGCGTGATCTCAGCTCACTACAACCTCTGCCTCCCAGGTTCAAGCTATTCTCCTGCCTCAGACTCCCAAGTAATTGGGACTACAGGTGTGCTCCACCATGCCCAGCTAATTTTTGTACTTTTGGGAGAGACAGGGTTTCACCATGATGGTTTGTTTTTCTTAATTCTGGAAGATGAGGCCAATATTTGTTTGAAGAGTGATTTAAAATAGCTGAAATTCAGTCAAAAACTTAATTTACTGGGTTGTACCTCTTTATTATGAAGTATTGGTTGCTTTTAAAATGAGCTAGAGGCCAGACATGGTAGCTCACATCTATAATCTTAACACTTTCGGAGACAAAGGCAACAAGATTGCTTGAGCTCAGGAGTTCAAGATCAGCCTAGGAAACATAGCGAGACTTTGGCTGTACTAACAATAGAAAAATTAGTCAGGCATGGTGGTGTCTGGAGGCTGAACTGGGAGGATCACCTGAGCCAGGGAGATCAAGGCTGCAGTGAGCTATGATCACGCCACTGCACTCCAGCCTGGGTGACAGAATGAGACGTTGCCTCAAAAAGAAATAAAAAGAGCTAGAAGTGACCTTGGTGATCTATTTGGTAATATTTCTTTTGTCTAAAGTATGTTTTTAAAATATATATACAATTAGTAACTAGCTAATAGTTAATAAATATGTCTATTTTTAGAAAAATTTATTATTTTATTTTCTATTTTTGAGACAAGGTCTCACTCTGTCACCCAGGCTGGAGTGCAGTGGCATGATCACAGTTCTCTGCAGCCTCGACCTCCTGGGCTCAAGCAATCCTCCCACCTCAGCTTCCCAAGTAGCTAGGACTACAGGCATGTGCCACCATGCCAGTTAATTTTTTAATTTTTTGTAGAGATGAGGTCTTGCTATGCTGCCCAGGCTGGTCTTGAACTCCTGGGCTCAAGGGATCCTTTTGGTTCAGCCTCCCAAAGTGTTGGGATTATAGGAGTGAGCCACTGTGCCTGGCCAAAAATGATTTTATATGGAACACTTAGAAGCAGGGTGCTGGAATTAGCAAAAAACAGTTTTCAAGTTAAACGTAGTTTAGTAATCAGAATTGTATTGACAGTAACAGATTCATTGTAAAATAGAAATGCTCCTATATTCATACATTAGTTTAAGTAAGTTAAATAATCTGTAAACCAACTTTCTTGGATTGAATTCTGAGGTCAAGCCAGGTTAATAGAAGGGTCAGGGAAGATAGGAAAGCCATAAATATGGTTCTTAAAGCTTGTGGGCACAAGAACTCTTGGAATGAAGGTAGATAGGGGAAGTATTTGTAAAGGGAAGTGAGAAGATGTCAGGAAAGTCCTGCAAGTGGGTACCTGAATCATGGCATTACCAGTGGTTTAGCATATCAGAACCTCAGCCCAGAGTTTCACCATCTAGTCTCTGGTCCCATCCCGAAGCCAGAAAGAACATAAGGAAAAAGAGGAGATGTGAATAACAAGTCTCTCCTCCAATTTCCTCTCACCCCATCTTTATTACCAATTACCAGTGGAAAGCAAAATGATATATGCAGAACACCCCATCTCAAAGCCCTAAAGGTGGTTAAATGAGTAGACTACTCACCAACTCCTTACTGAGCACTTCCTATAGTAAGTATGATAAGTGATGAGGATTTAACGATAAAAGACACTGTTCATGCCCTCGAGAGACTGCCCACGGTGGGGTGGAGGGTGATTTGGAAATAAATCATACTGCAGTGTGAAAACAGGAATATTAGGTATATTCTACCAAGTACAAGCTGAACACAGAAAAAAAGACCTACTGATTGCTGTGGCGGTTGGAGGAGCTTCCTAGAAGAAGAAAGGACACTTGTGCTAGGACTTGAAGGCAGAAGAAAGGTGGGAGAGGAGAAGATGGGAGGAGATAGGTTCAGGGAACAGCCTAGGCAAAGGTGTGGAGGGTTGTGGGGAGAGAGCGGGAGAGTGGATGAGGAAGGAAGGCTTGAATGTGGCTTGGCTTATATTTGAAGGACTTTGAGACTCGCTGTGGAGTATTATGTTCTGCTGTGGTCATCCTATTAAACCCTGACTACATCCATTGATTTTTTTTCCTATTTAAAATTTCCTATTTAAAATATTTCCTTCCAAACATTTTTTAATTTCAAGGTCTTTATGTAAGATGAGATGTGATCCAACAACTATACTAGCCCACATGTGAAATGACAAGGCAGAAACCACAATACAGAAAATAAAATAAAACAGCCTTAATTTAAATATTTAAAGTAGAGCTGTCTAGATTTTCAGAAAGCAATAATGTGTCTCCTGGAAATTGACTGATATGTTTTTTGACACTGTTAGTTTCAGTTATTTTTCAAGGCATCACTAAACCCTGGAAGAGAACAGTCTTAATTTATAGTTTAAGTAGGTTTATTTAAGGGGAAAAAGAAAATTGCAAGATGTCATTTTATTTCCATTCCAAAAATAAGCATAACATTATCATAGAAGCCTCTTTGAAAGTAGAACTTCATTAATTGGGACTCCACTGAGGAAAATTTTTCCATAATCTCATCAGTTTTGCCTTTGCTTAGCAAACCATCATTTTATGATTATCATAAACCAATAATAAACTAGGCATATTGGAATTATATTTACAATATGAAAGACAGCACTTTTCATTCAACCTCATCAATCTTGGAAACCTATTTTTTCATTAAATAAATATTTCTGAAATCACTAAAATGTGCCTGGTGACATTCTACATACTGGGGATATATAGCTGTCCCTTGGTATCCAGGGGAATTGGTTCCAGTACCCCCTCAGATACCAAAATCCATGGATGCTGAAGTCCTTGATAGAAAATGATGTAGTATTTGTGTATAACCTACACACATCCTACCCTATACTTCAAATCATCTCTACATTATTCATCATATCTAATACAATGTAAATGATATGTAAACAATGTTATACTGTATTATTTTTTAATTTGTATTATTGTTTACTGTTACGTATTTTCTTGAAATATTTTCAATTCATGGTTGGTTAAATCTGTAGATGTAGAACCCTTGGATATGAAGGGTGGACTGTGGGGTTGAACAAGACATGCTAAATCCCTGCCTATTAGGAGTTTATATTTTGATGCGAGGAGAAAGATAATAAATATGAAAACATAAAAAGATAATTTGAAGGACCCAAGAAATGCTCTAAATAAAGTAATTTAAAAGTGTGACTGGGGCTAAGGTTTTGTGTGGAGGTGATATTTAAGTTAGACCTGAGTGGTGAGAAGGTGTCAGATGTAAAGATCCACTAGGAATTACATTATAAGTGGAATGAACAAAGGAGCAAAGACCCTGAGACAGGTTTAGTTAACAAAAAAGAAGAGTAGTGTGGCTGAGTAGTGAACATCCTTATTTTGGAAATGAGGTCAGAAAGATGAAGATGGTCAGATCATGTGAGGCTTTAAAGGCTATAAGGAAGCTGGATTTTATTCTAGTTACAATGAGAATCTGTTTGGATTTTTGGTAGGGTGAGGGTAGGGTGAATTTTTGGTAGAGTGAGAATCTGTTTGAATTTTTGGTAGGGTGGATTCGACATAATTGAATTCATGCTTTGGAAAAATCATTTGCGCTGTTTTGTGGGGATTGGGTAGGGAGGAAGAGTTGAGGCAGGAAAGCTGCTGAAGTAGTTGCTGCAGTGGTCCAGGGAAAGTGGCTTAAACTAGGGTTGTAGCTGTAGACACTGTGAGAAGTGGTAAGACTCAGAATATGATTTGGGTAGGCAAAGTATAGTGGAGATGTTGGTGCTCTGTCCATATCCCTTTGCATGCACTGTTTCAGTGTGTGCTGACGGCTTCCTACTGCCAGGCCAGAATGCTAGGGAATTGATACCCTAGGAGCCATCCTTAGCCAAAGTCAACCCTAGGAGCCGTCCTTAGCTAAAGTCAGATGGGAGTTGGAGGAGGAACATTCCAGCTTCCTCTCCTCTTGGGTGGAGAACAACTCCAATTCATGTTCTACACCATCTCTCAAAGGTCCCAGCGGGCCCCCATCAGTAACCTGCTCATCCTCACACTTTGTACTTGGTTTCCTTCCTTCCTTTCTCCTTTTCCTACCTCCACATGAGTGCCTCCTAGGATCACCTCCTAAAGAAGAAACTTACACTCTAATTCCTGACCCAACATCAGCTTCTAGGGAAATGCAATCTGAAACACTAATTTTAGTGAATTCTAAGTAATTAATTAGCAGGGGCTAAAATGAGGACCTATAATAGTTAGTGGTTTGGGATTATTTGATTTGTTAGACATACTACAAGAAGACAAAACTGCATTTCCACTTCAAATTCATTCTTTTATCTACTTCCAAGGTTCTGCTTATGAATCTTCTTAGGATAAATTATCTTGACCATTTTCAGCAAATTCACTTTTGTCAAACCAGGAAAAAGTGATTTCTAGAAAGAGGTGGCATTTCTCTAGCATCTCTTTGCCATGTTAGGGGATGTCTGCCATGGCAGTAGAGCTCTCTGGAGTTTAGTTGTGATCTATGATCACTAGGCTCTTAATAAAATCTTGTTAAACTATTGTTACCAGGATTTGGGTTAAAGGTTCAGACATAATGACTAACCATCATGGTTTGCCTGGGACTAGTGTTTTCCTGGCTTGGAAATTCATTGTTAAAACTGGCTAGTCTCAAGCAAACCAGGATTGTTGGACACCCTGTCAGAGTTTAGGCCCTGGGGTAAGAAATATTTGAGTTTTAATTCCTGAATTGTCATTTATTGACTTGGTGATTATAGTCAAATTGATTAACATTTCTGTGTCCTCATTGCTTATCTGTAGAGTTAATGCCAGTACCAAATCTATAAATCTGTTGTGAAGATTAAATGAGGCTATCCACATGTGGTAGGCAGAATAATGCCCTCCCCCCAGGAAAGATGTCCATGTTCTAGTCTTCATAACCTGTGAATATGCTGTTACATAGCAAGGGGGAATTAAGGTTGCAGGTGGAATTACGGTTTCTCATCAGCTGACCTTGAGATAGGGATATTGTCCTAGATTAGTCAAGTGAGCCCAATGTAATCACAAGTGTTCTTTAAAGTAAAAAAGGGAGGCAGAAGAGATCAGAGTGACACAGTGTGTGAAGAACTCAACCAGCCATTGTTAGTTTTGAAGACAGAGGACGGGGCCACTAGCCAAGGCATGTGGGCAGCATCTAGAAGCTAGAAAGGTCAAGGAAATGGATTACCCTCTAGAGGTTCCAGAAAGAAATGTAGCCCTTCTGATACCTTCAGTTTAACCCCATGAAACACATTTTAGACTTCTCATTTCCAGAACTGTAAGATAATAAATTTGTGCCCTTTAAAGTCACTACGTGTGTGATAATGTTTTACAGCAGCTATAGAAAACTCAACATATAAAGCATTAAACACATTATCTGACATATAGTGTTCATGTAATACTGTTAGCTAACTCAGCTCCAGTGTTGAAACTCACACAAAGCCTTTGACTTTTCTGCATTCTGATAGGTGGGACATGGAAAACGGAGCCATCCTCTTCTACACTAGCCATTCATTAACACAATTCTTAATAATTAACTCCTAAATAAAAAATCGTTTTGGATACCTCAGGCTAGATACATTATCTTGTTCTTTTGAACCCGTAGGCATTGTGTGCATATCTATGATGATACTTGTTTTACCTTGTTTCTAGCTATTTGTGATTTTACTTAACTCTCTTAGTTTAGAAACAAGTTGAACATGAAAACAATTTTTACTAACTTTTCTATTCTCAGGATGTTATCAATTTGCATAAAGTAGCCAATGTACATTAAATATTATTAAGTAATAAGTATGGGAAAAGAGGAAGTGAAAGCAAGCAGTTTTCTGATGTGACCTAGAAATTGCACAGTTGTGTCCACTCTCATGCCACTGGCAAAACTTGGTTTGCAAGAGAAACAGAGGGAAATTTGTCTCTAGTTAATGTAGTTTTGTGCTTACCTAAAATTTTGGGAAAAAAGAGAGGACTGAATGTTGAAGAACAATGAGCACTTTCTCTGTTTAATGGTTTTAAGAATAATTTGAGCCAATTAGAAGTTATCTATAATTAATTATGAGTTTAGAAAGCTATAAGGGAAGAAAGTGCCCCAAAGGTATGGTGAACTAGAAATGTAAATAAATTCTCATCCTGAAAGGCTTCTTGAATTATTTTTATATATATATATATATATATATATATATATATATATATATATATATACACATACACACACACACACACATACATATATATGTATGTATATGTGTGTGTATATGTATGTATGTAGGTAGGTAGGTATAGGTATAGATAAAGAGATAGAGATAGATGATGGACATTCCTCTGCACTCAACTTGTACCACATAGAATCTCTAAAGTTTGAACAATACTATTCACAACTTTTTATTTTGTCACCTAAGAGGCCAAGATAACTTTTTAGGGCACATCTTTAACAGTTATTAATGTTGAAATGGTTAATTCTACAGTGTACTGTGAATTGAAACTGAGAAAGTAAAATCAATATGGTCCAAAAGAATGTTACCTAACACATTTTACTATTTTCTGAGATTGCTGGTGTTTTGGCAGTGACTGGCTGTGGGCAAGGATAACATGCAACATTAGATGGAAATATAGTTGTGGAATTTTAATAAACTGTTGGTCTGCCAATTATTTGCTTTTATTCAAACCGTTTTTAAATTTGGCAGTTATTCATAAATCTCAGTCCAGAAAAACTGTCAACTTTTCTTAGGAAGATGTATATAGTAGTAAGAGAATAAAGAAAAGACAGACCTTCACATATTCCAGAAAGAGATTTTATTTTTGCCCCAACCTACTGAATTTGTACTTCCAGAGTTTGCCATAGTACTTTAGAACCCAAAGTTACAATTAGAGGAATAATAGGAACTAACAGAGTCATGTCCGAATAGTAAGTTTCAAATAGTACATTTTAGGTGATTGTTACTATTTCTTGGAATACTAAATAGTTCTGATGAGTACAATACTCATTTCCTTCCATATTTGAGTATTATTTTCATACAAATGCAAAAATGAAAGAAGAAAAGCCTCGCTTCAAATGCACAAGTTCCTTAAATTTCTGAATATATCATTTTATCCTGCTTGTTGATAAAATTCCACAGTATTGAAGAGCTGGGAATTTTTAGAATTCACAGGGACTATGCATAATATTTGGTAATGGCTTGATGTGCTTCATGACATATATTATCTTTCTCCTTCTGCTCAAGATCTACTTGGCATAATTATTTTCCTGACTTCTGCCTCAGGCAATCAAGTCTAATGGGGACATTTTTGGCCTTTTGCTAAGTTACCAGTGCTAGTGTCAAAGAACTATTGTCCTTCCCCCCTTTCTTTCACCCTTTGAATCTGAGTCCAAAATAAATGAATGGTAACAAGTTCTCTTCACTGCTTTTTAGTGTAAAGTTTCAGTTCAGGGAAAGTTCTGTTCAACAATGAATTCCAGCAGTGTTCCTAATGCCAGCAGGCAGCATAAAGGTCTCGGAGTGTGGAAGTAAGCCAGAATAAATTCTTCTCAATTTGAGTGAAGTCATTTATATATGATAACATATGATTATGATTCTTAATGCAAACTTCATGGCCATCTTAAGAGCTTAAATGATCAGTATTTATAGACAGCAAACTTAGGGGTGAAATCATCTTACTGTGTTTTTTATCCCAATAAGATATTATTCATATACAAAACATGGAAGAAGGTCCTAAGAGATAGAGAGTTCTTTGGTTGTAGCACAGTGGTTGGACTTCTGAGGTGGTCAGGGTGAAAGATTTTAGAGTGGTTATATGGACAGAGCAGTGAGGGAGGGAGGGAGGGAGAGAGAGAGAGAGAGATCCAGAGAGCACACAAACATAGGCATTCATGCACATGCAAGTGTACAACCTCCCTCGGGGCTTCTCCCTCAGAGGTGAAGGGCAGTGCTGAGGACCCATCTGGAAAGAGTTTTGTTTCTCTTCCTCGGAGATGATGGGGACTTCCTGAAAGCCTTGGCCTTACCCATGTGCAACTAGGCTGTATGATCCTCCCTACAGCAGGGAGGTTCCGTCTGCTCAGAGTCATGCTCCTTGGGTATCCTTCTGTATTATCTCTTCTATTAGATGTGTATGTGTCTTAAGAGGGAAGAACCATTTTATATTTTATTGATTCTTCCTACACTCACTCTTCATCTTCCAATGCCTTCTCCACACTACAGCCAGAGTGATCTGCTGAGTAGTATCTGATTATGTCACATCCTTACTTAAACCGCCTCAATGGCTGAGTAGTACTCTTAGGATAAAAACCAGCATTTTTTTTAATACTTTAAGTTCTGGGGTACATGTGCAGAACGTGCAGGTTTGTTACATAGGTATACACATGCCATGGTGGTTTGCTACACCCATCAACCCGTCATCTGCTTTAGGTATTTCTCCTAATGCTCTCCCTCCGCTAGCTCCCCACCTTCTGGCAGGCTCCGGTGTGTGATGTTCCCCTCCCTGTGTCCATGTGTTATCACTGTTCAACTCCCACTTATGAGTGAGAACATGCGGTGTTTGGTTTTCTATTCCTGTGTTAGTTTGCGGAGAATGGTGGTTTCCAGCTTCATCCGTGTCCCTGCAAAGGACATGAAGCCATCCTTTTTTATGGCTGCATATTATTCCATGATGTATATGTGCCACATTTTCTTAATCCAGTCTATCATTGATGGGCATTTGAGTTGGTTCCAAGTCTTTGCTATTGAGAATAGTGCTGCAATAAACATACGAGTCCATGTGTCTTTATAGTAGAATGATTTGTAATCCTTTGGGTATATACCCAATAATGGGATTGCTGGGTCAAATGGTATTTCTGTTTCTCGATCCTTGAGGAATCGCCACACTGTCTTCCACAATGGTAGAACTAATTTACACTTCCACCAACAGTATAAAAGTATTCCTATTTCTCCACATCCTCTCCAGCATCTGTTGTTTCCTGACTTTTTAATGATCGCCATTCTAGCTGGCGTGAGGTGGTATCTCATTGTGGTTTTGATTTGCATTTCTCTAATGACCAGTGATGATGAGCTTTTTTTCATATGTTTGTTGGCTGCATAAATGTCTTCTTTTGAGAAGTGTCTGTTCATATCCTTTGCACACTTTTTGATGGGGTTGTTTGTTTTTTTCTTGTAAATTTGTTTAATTTAAGTTCCTTGTAGATTCTGGATATTAGCCCTTTGTCAGATGGATAGATTGCAAACATTTTCTCTCATTTTGTAGGTTGCCTATTCACTCTGATGATAGTTTCTTTGGCTGTGCATAGTTCTTTAGTTTAATTAGATCCTATTTGTCTATTTTAGCTTTTGTTGCAATTGCTTTTGGTGTTTTAGTCATGAAGTCTTTGCCCATGCCTATGTCCTGAATGGTATTGCCTAGGTTTTCTTCTAGGGTTTTTTATGGTTTTAGGTATTATGTTTAAGTCTTTAATCCATCTTGAATTAATTTTTGTATAAGGTGTAAGGAAGGGGTCCAGTTGCAGTTTTCTGCATATGGCTAGCCAGTTTACCCAACACCATTTATTAAATAGGGAATCCTGTCTCCATTTCTTGTTTTTGTCAGGTTTGTCAAAGATCAGATGATTGTAGATGTGTGGTATTATTTCCGAGGCCTCTGTTCTGTTCCACTGGTCTATATATATCTGTTTTGGTACCTGTACCATGCAAAATCAGCATTCTTTTATCTCATCCAATTCGTCCAATGTGCTCTCTCTTTCTCTTCTCTGGCCACAGTTACATCTTTCTTTTCTGCCTTTAGTACAAGTTCCTTCCTGCCTTGGCTTCTTTTTATGCTATTTGCTTTGCTTGAATTTCTCTTTACCTCCACCCCTCCCCTCAACTTTACCCTCTTTATCTCGCTACCTCCTTCTCGTCTTTCTCTTTTTCAACTCAAAAGTCACTTCCTTCAGGAAGACTTCTTGAATTTTTATACAAAGTTAGGCCCCTTCTGCCCCCTTACACACTCTTCTTGCACTCTGCAATCCCCATTTGCAGCACTTAATACAATTGTAGATATTTAATACCCTTTCCCCTGGTTAGATTGTAAGCTCAATGATGACACTAAATATGTCTGTTAATTACTGTATGTCAAGTACATAGTGTAGTTGAGGAAAAGGCATCTACAACATCTGGCATGTTGTAGATGATCGGTATATATATTTCTTCAATGAATAAATGAAGCAAGCAAATGACCAACTGGATGGCTGAATGGCTAACATGATTTCTTTTTCCACTTCCCCTTCCCCCAACAACTCAGGGCAGGAAAGCAAGAGACAGGTGACGATAGGGGTAGGGGAGGGCTGGTTGGGGAAGGATGCTGGTAGGCCCTATTCTTAAAAAGCAGTTACAATTCAGAAGGGCCATAGATAAAATAGCAAAAACCATATCCTGAAGAATGAAGACTTTGGATCAGAATGGTGAGCCAGTCCTGTAATGATTGCCTAGGGACAGAAACAAAGAGCCAAATATCCTGCAATAAGAAACAGTGGGGGCCCGGTGCGGTGGCTCATGCCTGTAATCCCAGCACTTTGGGAGGCCAAGGTGGGCAGATCACAAGGTCAGGAGATCGAGACCATCCTGGCTAATATGGTGAAACCCCGTCTGTACTAAAAATACAAAAAAACTAGCCGGGCATGGTGGCAGGCGCCCGTAGTCCCAGCTACTCAGGAGGCTGAGGCAGGAGAATGAGGTGGAGCCTGCAGTGAACCGAGGTTGCACCACTGCACTCCAGCCTGGGCGACAGAGCAAGACTCCGTCTCAAAAAAAAAAAAAAAGAAAGAAAAAAACAGAAACAGTGGGTCAGAGGAGGGGAAACGAAGGTCTCCTTAGTAGTTCCAGATACGAAGTGTCAAAGACTGGGGAAGCTTCTTTGAGCGCCACTCACATTTTCATGAGCAAAATATTCATTTAAAGGAATCAGTCTAGGTTGCAAAGTATTTAGCCCACTTTTCAAATACCTTTGCATATCTGAAATTTTTAGTCACATGAGTTTGAAATTCAGATTTTTTTGGATTTTAGACAGGAGATAGAGTGCCATCCCAGAATGCATTTACCGTGAATAAACTACCATCCCCAGTGGGTTCTGAGGCAGCATTTATTATCAAACACATTAGTAGCCATGTAGTGAAACATTGAATATTTACAGTGTGTGGGATGTGTAAACTATCAATAGCCTCACATCATTTCAGGTCAGGTTTTGCTGCCAAATGAGATACCAAAATGCTTTTTGCTTAGAAGAGCTTTTGGGGTTTGGAAATTCTGGTTGGGGGATTGTGGCACTGGTACAAAGCACTGTGTGCTTCTGGTGCCCTGTTAATTCTTGTTTGACTGATTCCCAGCACAGAGGAGGAGCTGCCCTGGTTGACTGACTCAGGGGTTCCTCAGTTCTTCAGGGAAATCCCCAGAGTCCCCCCAGCCCTCATCTGCCTAGAATGAAACTCTGCTACCCCTTGCCTTTTCCTTAGGCTACTGTGAGATGGTTGTCATTCTACTATCTTTATTAAATATTTGCTGTGTTCAGTTGGGAAATACAAAGATAAGCAGAAGCTGAGCTGTTTAGGTTTATCCTCCTTTAGGTAATCCATCTCTATCCTAGATATCTCACTTGAGCTCCATGACTTTTTTCCAGCTGCCTAGTACACAGATCCACTTAACATTCAAAATCAAAACTGGTCATCTCCTTCAACCTAGAATCAAACAAAAACAAAATCTGCTGTTTATCCTGTAGTCCTTGTCACTCCACTAAATGGTCCAAATTAGAATCAAACTTTCCTTTTTTTTTTTTTCTTTTTGCACATAACCTGCGCTAAATCCTGTTGGGTCTCCCACATAAGTGTCCTCCCTTCTCTCCCATCCTCTCCCATCCCAGTAGCATCTTAGCTGGTTTGATCTCCCAAGGCTCCTCCCTGCCCCTTATTTAATACTCTCTGTCATCTATCCATTTCTTTCTTGAAGACCTTAGTTATTTTTCAGTAATAAAGATTTTAAAACATATTGTTGCTTTAAAAGTTCTCACTATTAAAGAAAAGGTTAGTTTCCTGAAACAAAAAATAAAATAAAGACTCAGGAACTGTTCCAGATTGAAGGAGACAAAAGAAGCAAGAAAGTGAAATGCAATACATGGTCCTGGATTAGGTCCTATACAAGAAAAACAATTGACATAGTATACAGATCACTATTAAGGCAATTGACAAAATTGGAATAGATAAAATTATTACATCAGTGTTAATGTCCTGAGTTTGATAATTATACCGTAGCTATAGAGTATCCTTTTTTTTGTTTTTGTTTTTTTGAGTTGGAGTTTCGCTCTTGTTGCCCAGGCTGGAGTGCAATGGCGTAATCTTGGCTCACTGAAATCTCTGCCTCCCAGGTTCAAGCGATTCTCCTGCTTTAGCCCCCTGAGTAGCTGGGATTACAGTGTAGCATGTGCCACCACAGCCAGCTAATTTTTGTATTTTTAGTAGAGACAGCGTTTCACTATGTTGGTCAGGCTGGTCTTGAACTCCTGACCTCAGGTGATCCACCCACTTCAGCCTCCCAAAGTGCTGGGATTACAAGTGTGAGCCACCGTGCCTGGCATAGAGTATCTTTATTTCTGTAACATATACACTGAATTATTAAGAGATAAAGGGATTAATGTGTGAACCCATTCTCAACTAGTTTAGAAAAAAATGTATGTATGTACATGTGAGTATGTGTATGTGTGTATAGATACACATACACATCCATATCAGTATATAAATGATATATGCATATATATGTAAAAAGAGAACAATAAATATGGCAAGAGAGTAATGATTGGTAAATCTGGATAAAAACTACAAAGAAGTTCTTTGTACTATTCTTGCAACCTTTCTATAAGTTTAAAATTATTTCAACATAGAAACTTTTAAAAACTCAATTTTTAGATATTGAACTTATGTAACTGTTATCCAAACAACAGACTTTATTATAACATACATACACACACAGGTACATACACATACAATTTCATAAACTTCCCACTGCCCATAAAAAGAAATTTTAAGCTCATAAACATTATGCTCAGGGAGTTTCTACAATCAGGTCTCATCCTAATTTTCCTGCCTCACTTTTTGCTTTCTCTAAGGCACTCCTTACTCTATATATGCTGAAATGATTATGTTTGTTTCTCCTTCTGTGTTTTTGTTCCTGCTGTTTGCTCTATAAGGTAAGCCCTCCCAGCTCTTCCACTGGTTACCTCCTATGCCTGCTTTGAGACCAAGTTCAAATGTTGCTTCTATAATACCCTTCTCTACAGCACTAGGCAGATACAACTCTTCCCTCTTTTTGTGAACTGAATGTTGTGTTCCCCCAAAATTTATATGTTGAAGCCATAACTCTCAATGTGATACTCTTTAGAGATGGGGCCTTTGGGAGGAATTAGGGTTAGATGAAGTTATGGGGGCAGGACCCTAATGATGGGATTTGTGCCCTAAGAGCTCTCTTTGCCTTGGGAAGATACAACAAGAAGGCTGCCATCTACAAGCCAGAAAGGGAGCCCTCCCCAGGAGCCAAATTGACTAGCACCTTGATCTTGGACTTCCCAGCATCCAGAACTGTGAGAAAATACAAAAAACATTTCTGTTTTTTAATCTATTCAGTCTATGTTATTTTGTTAGGGCAGCATGAGCAGACTAATATACCTCCTCTGTGTATTCATACAACTTTACACAGAGGTAAAATATAGCAGTTAGAACTCTATCTTATATTGGGTTGTTGATGAATCTTTCACACAGGCATGTGAGTCCTGAGGACAGCAGCTATGTGTTTCATCTTTCTGTCCCTAACTCACTGCCTGACCCATGGAGACCTTAAGTCCAGGCTTGCTGAATGAATATGGCATAATCTGAACCTGACCACTCCAATCATTCATTAACCTTACTGTTTGGGTGTGGATTGATCATTACTTTTCTTGAATTTGTGACAAGATAATTTCAGCAGTTGACAGACAGCTAGTTTCTAGTCAAGCCGATGCATTGTATATGCTCCTACTTGCCTGTTCCTATGTCTTCAGTGATGGATTCAGTGACCTGAAGAGTGTATCTTAATAAAGAATTTTGAATGCATTTGGTTGAAAACATTCTGAAAAGAACCTTTTCTTCATACATTTTATATGGATATGAACTAGACAATAATGTATGCTTATAATAATTGAGAAGTTTTTAAAAATGAGATGCTGTTACTAATAAATTATGATTAATTCTTTCTCTAAAGGTAGTACGAAGTTAAACAATGGTAGGAATCTTGGTCTCTGTTTATTATCCTTACTCCAACTCATCTTTCATTACAAATAATTTTTTTATACAGTCCCCTCTCTACCCTCTTACACAGAGGCATTTCAGCAGATATTTTATTGAAAACAAAACACTGTGCAGCCCATGCTGCACAAGGAAAGAAGTGTGTACAAGATAATTCCAAAGGGCAATACATGTTTCTAGTTAAAAATTGGAGGGTCATGTAAATATGAACTGTTTAGTCAAGTTCAGGTAAAATTAGGAGGAATTACTGGAAAAGCGTGAACAGTGAATATATTCCTTAGTTCTAATTCTTTCAATAGTCATCTCTATCAACTCAGAGATTGCTTTTGCTTGTTTTCTTTGTTTTTTATTTCATTCTGTACAGGGCCTTGAACATTCAGTGACAATTTATGGTAACTGCAGAGTATACCATCACCATCCTGTGTTCTTTGGATAACCAGCTGGCCTAATTTTGAATGTCCTGAACCACATATTACTATAGCTCTGTGTTAACTATGTCATGGAGTGGATTTATTTCTCCTGTTGACTATTAGACAACCTGGTTGCTTCCACTTACTATTTATTCAACTAATACTGCCTGTTATATTGTATGTTGTAAGAGTTGGAGGCAAGTTGTTTCCTGGTAAGCATTAGACTCAGAAATTCTGGGAGTGTTTTTGTTTTGTTTTTAAGCTCGGCTTCAATCTTGTAAGAGATTTGTAAATCTCGTAAATGTATAAGGTAACATAGAACTTGATGTGACCTTGTTTACTCTTAGATATTTTGATATGAGCTGTTTAGACAGAAAATATTTGTTGATAAATATGAATGAAAACATAAGGAATATTGAACAGGAGGTTAAATGTCAAAGTATTATGACGATGGCCTGGCATAGTAGGTGGAATGAGGGCTTTTTAATGAGAAAGATCAGTGCCCACATTCTTGTTTTGTGACTTACTAGCTATATTTTTAAAGCAATTTACATAAACTCTTGAGCCTCAAGTATACCTTCTATAAAATGGTGATAATAACACCCATCTTTTGTTGCATTTTTTTGTTTTTTGGGGTTTTTTTTGAGATGGAGTCTCACTCTGTCACCCAGGCTGGAGTGCAGTGGCATGATCTCGGCTCACTGCAAGCTCCGCCTCCCGGGTTCATGCCATTCTCCTGCCTCAGCCTCCCAAGTAGCTGGGACTACAGGCGCCCACCACCATGCCCAGCTAATTTTTTGTGCTGGGATTACAGGTGTGAGCCACAGTGCCCGGCCTTGTTGCATTCTTTTGAAAATGAATAAAAACGGTATATAAATTATGAGTTACCGTGCCTTGAGCATAATAGATACTCATAATAGATATTCTAATAAATAGTGGCTCTTATGGTTAATGTTTTTTAAATCAAGAGGACAAATAAGATCAATTAAAATTTCTAATTGATTATTACTTTTACTAAAAGTTTTTATTTTGTTTAGAACAGCCATTAGTAAATTGAACTTATTATCTCATGATGTTTTTATGAGGAGCAAATTAAAGAAAATTAG
This sequence comes from Homo sapiens, assembly GCF_000001405.40. Lineage (NCBI taxonomy): Eukaryota > Metazoa > Chordata > Mammalia > Primates > Hominidae > Homo > Homo sapiens. The sequence continues at coordinate 116,309,158 of NC_000006.12, forward strand.
AATCATCTGTTGTGCTAGATGACACATAGCACTCAATGTGCTCATTTTATTCCCCCCTCATCCTGTATACACACAACTCTACTTTTTAGGTGGATTTCTTCCAAGATGGTCTAGAAAATAATTTTTTAAAACTTAGTCATTATATATTTGGAATACACATACATACATACATACATACATACATACACACCACTCTAAAATGAAGAAGGTCAATTGCCTATTATCTATTGTCTAGCATGGGTTCTATTATTGCTCCTTTATATGTTTAACTATGATGGTATTAACTTTTGTTCATATATGGATGAGGATAGTATTTATGTATTAGTAGATATATCTGTTTTTAGTTATACATGAATTATTCATCTTTGCTTATATTAACCCAAATATAAAAATAACACAATAGTTATTGTCTGTTTGTGCTGCTACAACAAAATATCTGAGACTAGGTAATTTATAAAGAGCAGATACTTATTTCTAACAGTTCTGAAGGCTGGGAAGTCCAAGATCAAGGCACTAGCAGGTTGATTGTCCAGTGAAGACGTGGCCTTGAACCGCAAGATGGTTCAAGATGGTGCCTTGAACACCATGTTCTCCTGAAGGGAGGAATGCTGTGTCTTCATATGGCAGAAGGCAGAAGGACAAAAAGGGAGCAAACTCCCTCTATCAAGCCCTTTTATAAGGGCACCTAATCCAATTCATGAGGGCAAAGTCCTCATGACTCAATCACTTCTCAAAGCCCTCATCTTCCAGTACTGTTGTATTGAGGATTAAGTTTCCATATAAATTTTGGAAAGAAAAAAAAAAGAAGCATTTAAACCATAGCAGTCATGCACATAAGGAACATTCAAAATTTTGCCAACTATTAGAGTTTACTGAATATTTATTGTGGCCAGGTTTTCTGCTAGGCACCTCACATATATAATCTTATTTAATCCCTACAAATTCTTACAGGAAATTACTGTTTTACAGTTGAGGAAGCCACAGGTCAAAGTCTGGATCCTATGACTTGTAGGTAACTTTGGAACCCTACATTCTTTATTTGTTCCCCCTATTTCTCATCTCTTTTACTTAGTCCTTTTTTTCTCAGTCTCTACATGTGGAAGGGTGTGGCCGTGGTCCTCTGCTTTTCTCTGTGTATGCTCCCTCCTTAGGTTGTTGAACCTAATCAATTGATTTTTAAATATACTGATAAATCCTGGGTAGGCAAAATAATTCTTTTTTTTTTCAGTTGCTGGTGATATCTTCTGCTTATCCAGCCATTCACGATAATCTCCATCCAGATGCCTAACAGGTTTTCAACTCTTACTATGTCCTTCTTGACATCTTCCCCTGTAACCACTCACTGTACTCCTACTCCAGTTTTCCTCATCTTGGTCCACGGCTCCACAATTCATTCAGTTCAGGAAAAAAACCAAGGAGTCATCCTTCATTTCCCTCTTTTTCCTTTTTTTCTATGTTCAGTCTACCAACAACTCCTTTTGGCTCTGTCTTCAAAGTATATCCCAAATCTACACACTTTTCAGCATATTTATCATGTCCACCCTAGTATATGCCACCATCAAATCTCACCTGGTCTACAGCAAGACTCATATCCCTGGTTCCACTGATCCTCCTCATAGTCTCCTCTCTGCATACAGACAGAGCAAGCTTTCTAAACATAAAATGAGAACATGTAATTTTCTTTTTCAAAGGCCCTTCCTAATGGTTTCCCATTACACTTATAATGAATCAGAATGTCTTGTGTGGCCACAGGGTCTCTGGGCCCTGCCTTGCCTGTGTGTCCAGCCTCAACTTGTTTCCTAATATCTGGCTAGGTGTGCTCTGACCATTCTGCCTTCTTGCTGCGCTTCCAGTGTGCCATGCTCCTCCTCATCTCAGCTCTTCACACATGCTGCACTTCTGTCTGAAATGTACTTCCTCAGACTTTTGTATGGCTTGCTCTCACATCATTCATATTTTGCTCAAATGCCACCTCTTCAAAGGCTGTCTTTGACCAACATATCTAAAACAGCACCCACAGCTTTGCCCAAGGTCCTAGGAACACCTTGTCCTTCTTTAGTTTTTTTTACAGCATTTGTCACAATCCAAAGCTATATCCTCTTTATATACATGTTTGTTTTCATATCGCCTTTCTCTCCCACCAGAATATAAGCATCCTGAGGGCAGGAAGATGAACCACCTATTTCACTTCTGTATCTCTAATGCCCAGAACAATCAGTGAAATATAGTAGAAATAAAGAATAACACAAGGAAAGAAAGAAAATGAGTTGTTTCCAGTTCTGATTCTGTTTGATTCCACCAGGCTATGCTGACTCTTCATTGTGTGTAACGTTTTGCTTGTAACAACAAAAAATTGGCAGCAACCTACATGTCTTCAATAGAGGACTATTAATAAATCATGAAGCCTACATATAATAGAATAAAATGCACCAATAAAAAAGAATGAAGAGGATCAAGATGTACTAGCTCTGAAATAAAGTGAAAAGGCCTGTTGCAGAACATTGTGCTCCAACCTCTGCTTTCCTGCTCTGGGCCTTTGCACTTGCGATTCCTTGTGTATGGAATGCTCTTCTCCAGATCTTTCAGGTCTCTCTCAAATAGCACCTCCCAGAGAATGTTCCAAATGTTTAAAGTATCTTTTACCCTTTTCATTCACTAATCTCTTGGCTTGCTCTGTTCTTCTGCATGATAGTTATCACCATCCAAAATTACATTTACTTATATGTAAATGTAAAGCAGGGACTTGACAGTCTTATTTGCCGCTGCATTCCCAGGGCCTCCAACAGTGCCTGGAGTAAGATTGAAAAAAACAATGAGAAATAAAGAGAGAGATATATCTGGTTTTCCAATTAGGTTCTTTTGTATAAGAGAGTAGAAGTACCACCATATGCTACCCCTCATCTTTAAAAACTCAGTGTTAGGACCTTTGTGTTTTTAGGCAGATAGGGACCTTAGAGGTCATCTAGTCCAAGCTATGATTTTGCAAAAGAGTGGATTGAGAAGGGTGTTAGGTGATGTGTGGAGGTCCAGTGAATATGGAAGTCAGCGGTGACAGGATGACTTTTTATGCTTTTTGAGCTTTGAGTTATGTAATGTGCTACTTAATTTAAAAATAACCTCCATAAATATATTTTGAAAAATATCAGTGAGATGGTAGCCAGTTAAATAATTCAGACACAAGCACTCAAGGGTTTAGAGGAAGATAAGTTACTTTTAAGTCACTGTGGACACAGTCATTGATCAGAGCAGGCTTCCTGAAGGAGGACATCAGCTGGCCCTTGAAGAACAGAAGGGATTTAATGGTGAGGAAGCATAAGGAGCATTTCAGGAAAGCATTGCAGCAGTGAGCAGTTGGTGGAAGAGGTCCAGGTATAGGAGGGAGACCTTGAAGGAGAAACCTATAAGGGCTTAAGAAGAAATTAATGGTTACCCATAATATACTTAGCTCTGGAAATAGGAACTGGAACATCAGTCTGTAAATCCTTAGGGCCTGTAATGGAAAGACTTATTTTCTCAAAAAATATTGTTTTAAAGATATTATTATTTTCTCTATAGACAGATAATATAAGTGAAACAGTAGTTACACATTGTTATGGATTGAGTTGCGTAAAATATATATATTTTTATTTTTATTTCTATATATAAATATGTAGACCCTGGGAATGCAGTAGGAGATAAGACTGCCAAGTCCCTGCCTTACATTTACATATAAGTAAATGTAATTTGGGATGGTGATAACTACCATGCAGAAAAATAGAGCAAGGCAAGAGATTAATGAGTGAGGGATACAAATATATATGTATATAGAAGTCTTCTCTAGTACCTCAGAATGTGATCTTAGTTGGTGATACAGTCACTGCAGATATAATTACTTAAGATGAAGTCACACTGGAGAGATGGGCCTCTAATCCAATATGACTGGTATCCTTATAAGAAGATCCCATGTAAAGACAGAGCTAAACAGGAAGAACGCCATGTAAAGATTCAGGCTGCTATTGGAGTTATGCTCCTTAAGCCAAGGAATGCCTGGGTCTATCAGAAGCTGAAAGAGGCAAGGAAGGAACATCCCCTGTAGGCTTCAGAAGGAGCATGGCCCTGCCAATACCTTGAATTCTAACTTTTAGCTTCCAGAACTGTGAGACAATAAATTCCTGTTATTTTAAGCCATGCAGTTTATGATATTTTATTATGGCAGCCTTAGGAAACTAATACAGAAACTCTGCTTTTACAACACAATTTTGAAATGAAGCCAAACAGAAGAAAACCATCACTTGCTTTGTAACTGGGTTTATGGAACATTTGGTAAATTTGATTAGAACTTTGTTTTTGTTGATTTAGTAATAATGATTGGTTACATAATACCTATAAATGCAAGCATCATTAAATTCTTTTTGCATAAGTCCTTTATAAATTAATTGCAAGCATAGCTGGAGTAACTCCAGCCACAAACTAAGTGAATCACCATTAGAGTCACACATAGATCTTTTGTTTTCATTTTTGTATCTTAAAAGCTCAGTCTTCAACAGGCATTCTTTTTCTCTTATTTTAGTTACAGCATTAATTCCTATGTATGTTTAATCACATGATTAACAATCATTGGGTGAATCGGTTCATATAAGAATAAAGAACAGATTTTAACTTTTTTGGTTTTAAGTTCATGAACATGCCTATCATATTGTCATTTATTATGCCTATTTAAATGTAACAAGAGTTTTAGGACTCACTATGCCAATAATCTTGCTAACTTATGTCCTGAATCAGAAAGAAAATTCATAGAGAAATGAATTATATGTAAACTTAAACCACCTAGGCAGATAGCTGTTTTCTGTTGTTTTCAGAGAGAAAACCAACTTACATCAGGTTTACATTTTACTTATCTTTGTTTTCAAGCCTCTCAGCCACTGCCTTGATGGCTTCCTTTCCCCCATTTTTTTTTCTGTCAGTGCTGTCTCTTATATTAAACCAATATCTAATATTTTGTCTTTTGCTTTTCTGGTCCATGTGCTTTCACAATAAGGATAAGAGATTTTGCTTTGTTATCATATGGCAGGACTATAAATAGAGAAAATCATATTTTTAAAAATCATTTCTAGTATGGTTTGCAACATGTTTAAATTGATTGCTCCCCCTTCCTTTACTCAGCCTCAGACTTAATTCTTAATTAACTGTTTTTCTTTTTTCTTCTACTTGAGGGTCATGGGAAAAAGTTTGAGGTTAGTCACATCATATGGGTTTTAACCTTTATAGTTATCTTGTAACCCAAACAAACATTAGTCATTCTGATAAAGGGTTAGAAGAATAGTTTGGACATCTCATAGGACTTTGGCTCAGATAAGTTATTCCATTAATATATTTTCTCAAGAAAATGTCTTCATTTTTGCTTTCCTGACTTCTGGTCTCCTGTAAGTTTTCTAAGTTTCATCTGGCTCTAAAATGCTTTAAAATAATGCTCTGGACTAAATATATTTGGGGAAATGGTCAGATTTGCTTTATTCATCAGATAGTGTTATTTTGAGGGAAATTATTACATATTAAATTATGTCAAAGATTTATTTTATAGTTTCTTTTACATTTTTCCTTAGCCATTGCTTACTTATTCATGATATAAGTGGAGACCAGTAGATAACCCATTATGTGAACATTCTAGAAAGGTGTTTAAGGAGTTGGCTGGAGCTACAAGCAAAGTGAGTTTCTTTAGCCTTTTAACTTATCCACGCTCTCAGGGATGCTAAATAAAAGCTCCATTTAGCAATATTTGCTTCTGATGTGTGGCACCAGCAAGAGCTACATTCAGGTACAGGAATCTGTGTCCAGAGGTAGGCTCTGAACCCATTGTTTTACCATCTGTCTTCCAGCCCCAGAGTGAAATTCTTGTAGGAGGAAGTTGAGTGGGGAGAAATGGGGGAAGTCCTGGGCCTGATTCACCTCCTAACTCTTAGGGTTGCTTGGGCAGCTTCCTCCATCTCTCTAGAAATCAGTTTCTTCATCAGTACAATGAAGGAATAGCCACTAACACTTACTGAACATTATGTGCCAGGCACTGCTCCAAGTACTTTGCATGTAAAATTTGTTAAATCTTCAGAACTCTGTGAGGGTGAAAAATCAATACACACATACTCTCTCAATTCTCTCTGTCCTGCTTTTCCCTCCTATTGTCTCATCACCTTCTGAGATATATATATATATATATATTCTTTTGTATGCTTTATATTTTTGTTATTTTGTCAGTCTCCTTGCTTTAGAATGTAAATGTCATAAGGGCAGGAATTTCCATTTGTTTCATTTACTAGGGTATACCTCTAAAACAGAGCCTGGCAAGCAATAATTACAAAATCGATGTTGAATGAATGAAGTACATAGATTAAGTAATTTATTAATGTTCACCAAGATAGTAGTGGGGCAGAGTTGGGAATTGGTCCCAGGTTGTTTATCTCCAGATCCCATACTCTAAAGCACCGTGTTATACTGACTAAAATTAGGCAACCAATGGCTTCCAAGCCATGGTTCATCATGCTTGTTTCACATGAGAATCGTATGTGATGTTTTAAAAGCTACAAATGCGGGCTGGGCACGGTGGCTCACGCCTGTAATCCCAGCACTTTGGGAGGACGAGGCAGGCAGATGAAGAGGTCAGGAGTTCGAGACCAGCCTGACCAACATGGTGAAACCCCATCTATACTAAAAATACAAAAATTAGTGATGCATGCCTGTAATCCCAGCTACTCAGGAAGCTGAGGCAGTAGAATTGCTTGTACCCGGGAGGCAGAGGTTGCAGTCAGCAAAGATCGCACCACTGCACTCCAGCCTGGGTGACAGAACAAGATTCTGTCTAAAAAAAAACTACAGATGCCTGCTGCTTCCTACTCTTCCCCATTACATACTCTGAAGGAATTTAGTGAGTTTGGAGTCACAATATTTTGTCCTAAAATTCCCAAGTGAACTTAGTTTGCATCTAAACTGAGATAAACTTCAAAAACATAGCTTAAGTTTATCTCAATAACACCTTTAATTTTATAAATCTTTAAAATGTATTCTAAAAGGAGTTCAGATTGAACCTTTTGTTTAAAGGGGCAGATGGAAGATAGTAGGAGCAGAGCTTCCTTCTGACATTGATTCATGGTTGGGTTTATGGTTGAGTTCATGGATCTTTCTATAATGATTTTCCAGCTGATTCTAAATGTTAAGTAGGACTGGCCTGTGACTGATATCTACAGACCTTACTATAGACTGGCAGTAAACTCATAATAATCTATATGATTTAAAATCAGTTGTTTAACCACAGTATAATTTCAAGACTATACTTCCCTTTCAGACATTGGTATTTAACAAGTGGATAGTCTAAACCTACCCTGGGACTGGACCTTGGGAGCTAGTTCCAGTTTTCAATTAATGAACCACATTATACTAGATGAATAAGATTTAAATAATTTTGTCAAAGCGTTATCCCCTCAACTCATGAAATAACCTTTACTAGGACAATAATGGGACTTGGTGCGGAATGACCTGAAATGACAGCTAGTCCAGAAAGATTGGTATTTGGTTGTGCTGTAGATGACTTCCTTATCCTGAAACTAATTACAGAAAGGAAGATATTTAACAAATGCCTTGGAAATTGATTAAGCTTCTTCTTCTTTTTGCTTATTTCTTCTTCTACTACTACTACTACTACTATTATTATTATTATTATTATTATTACTGCTACTACTACTACTTTTAATGTGCTGTGCAGGTACCTTAGCTCATTTACTACTAGAAATTTTGTGAGCTTATGTTAGCCTGGATTATCCAAGAAGCAGATGCTGATTCAGCATTAAATGTGCAAGAAATTTAGTAGGGTAAATTCCTGTGAGAAAAAAAATGTGAAGGGATCCCAGAGAGGCTGGAAGAGCCCTTAATGCAAGTCTGACCCTGAGGAAAAGATAGAAAGAGAAGGGGAAGAATGGTGTAAGCATTTCAGACTGCTGTTCAGTTCCATGAAAACTTAGCAAGGCTGTTGGGGAATCCTCAAGCCAAAGCCAACTATTAGAGGAGTCACTCATCTCATGGGATTGGGCCTGCCTTTGTATTTCTGTTGTACAGTCATTGGCCGGGAGCAGCCTGTGGGAGAATGTGGACCTCAGTGGATTTCAGAACAGAGCAGCTGGGGCTTTCAGCCAATTCTGCCCCCTGCAGTCAAAATCTAGGAGGCATATTGTTATGGCCAATATTCTCATATTTAGACATGATGTTCTAGAGATTCCGGGAAGTTACTCTTGGATATGTGTCCAAGATGTGTCCTTTCCAGAATAATTTCTCTTTACACATTCTTTAACCTGGTTATTATCAGTCTTGTGCTGAACTCTCTAACCCATGTGGATAATTTTTAGTAAGGATGCTTAGTAATTTAAAAACATAAAATCCATGCTGCTAGTCTCTAAATCTTCTACGAAAAGTTTAATGCTAAACAAAAGGGGTGTGTGTGTTGTTTGTATCATGTATATGTACATACAAATACACACATACACATAGTATTGAGAAACATAAACTTATTCAACTGGTTATTATAGACCATGAAAGGAATTGTATTGCCGTATCTAAACAAAGTGTGCAATTGTTTGGGTTTATGTACTCTGTGCTTATGAGTGTTGTGAATTTGTCACTTGGGCTTTCACCTCAGAACAAGTCCTTTTTTATTTCTACCTCTTGAAATAATAGTTGTTCACTCAAAGCTCAGAGGTGGTAGAAACTGGTAGCAGATATCAGGAAAACAAGAATAATTGTCATTTACTATTATTGGTCAGTTTGGTTCTTTATTATTTCCTTGGAAATTATACACAATCAGAACAACTACTTGAGGGTTTTTTAAACCTCAAATAGTATAAAAATAGCATTTTATCCTAATCAAAGCAAGTTTTATTCAGTGTTTTTCTATGATCGAACAAGGAGTGGACAAATATATATTGAGCACTTGCTGTATGACATGCTGAGGCATTCGACATTCATGATTTCATTTCTTGTAGCATTATAATTATTATGCTTCACAACAAGCCAATGGGCTAGGTGTCATTATGCACATTTGAAAAGTAGGGGCCAGTCGTGGTGGCTCACCCCTGTAATCCCAACACTTTGGGAGGCCAAGGCAGGCAGATCACAAGGTCAAGAGATCGAGACCATCCTGGCTAACACAGTGAAACCCCGTCTCTACTAAAAATACAAAAAATTAACCAGGCATAGTGGTGGGTGCCTGTAGTCCCAGCTACTTGGGAGGCTGAGGCAGGAGAATGGCATGAACCCGGGCCAAGCTTGCAGTGAGCCGAGATGCACCACTGCGCTCCAGGCTGGGCAACAGAGTGAGATTCCATCTCAAAAGAAAAAAAAAAAAGAAAGAGAAGAAGACTGAAAAAGCAAAACTAAAACTAACTTGCCCCATGGCTCTCAACTAGTAAGTGGCAAAACTAGCAACTTTACAACTATCTGACTGATATCAAAGCTCCAGTTTGTGTTTCTCAGCTATACGTGTCTTTTTAAAAATGAAGGAAATTAAATTTCAGCATCAAATTACCTGGCTAATTTAGAAATGAAGGGTTAAAAGTAAATAGAAAATGAGAAATTTAAAAATATTTTTTGGAAGGAAATACCCAAAGAGTAAAGTGAATTAAATCAGCTTCTTTTCTACTTGCTTATTAATAACAATAATAATGCTAACGTATCCTACAAAGCACATAGCAGAAATGTCTAAGAAAACTGTGTACCTAGTAAATATGTATTAACATGTTTACATATGATTTAAAGATGACTAAAATAGAGGACAGAATGCCCAAAACGCTCTTTTTCTGTTTAGGATGAAACCATTGAAAAAAATGCTTCAGTAGTCTCTTCTAGAAATTGAGGGGAATAGGCTAGGTCATCTCTAAACTCTCTTCAGTTCTAAGATTCTTTATTCTTTCTTTACTTTTTCTAAGCACTTTGACATAGTACTATCCATTTATTTTCAAGATGTTCATTGAAAAATAAATATTATAGGGAATAGATGAATAAACATGGCTAATTACTTAGAGGATTTCTCACAGATTAGTTAACATACACCCTTGTATTAGTCAGAGTAGATAGGTTATGCTGTAGTAACAAACCAACCTTTAATGCTCAGTGATATAAGACAACCAAAGCTTATTTTTAGCTAATTATACATATTTACTGTAAGCACGGGAACTCTGTTTTTGTAGTTATTCAGGGACACATGCTAACAAGTGTATATAGCCAAGCTATTCAAGTTTACCAATTATTGTGCTATAGGGAATGAGGAAATATGGTGAATCTAACACTGGCCCTTGAAGCCTCTGCTTACATTCCATTGACCAAAGCAAATCACATGGTCACATCTCACATGGAAAGAAGAGGCAGGGAAGTACAACTTAGAAGAGGTCTGAAGTGAACGTATTTGTTGAAAAACCCTAATGGATGTCATAAAACTAATACAATGTGAAATGAGAATCTGGTCATATCCTGGTCTTACTTAAAATCCTACACTGTAGTGCCTTATTATGGCCTTTGGGGTAAATATGTATCTTTGACATGGCCCTTGAGGCTCTGTTGATCTGACACTCACCTTCAAAACTTCATCTTTTGATTCTTCCCTTTTCGCTTTCTTCACTGCAGTCATGTTGGTCAACTCATCCAACATGTTGTTTTCATAAATATGTTCTTCTCCCTCCTGTTTACACATCTTTGCACTTCTGTTCAGTCTACCCACTATTCTATAAGCTGAATCCTACCCCCACCTTCACAACTCAGTTTAAACAGGACTAACTCTTGGTAACTGTCCCTGACTTTCTAGGAAAAGATCCCCTTTTATGTGTTCTCATAGCACCTGATGCATTTTCTCAGGATATAAGCTGTGTCTGTTTAACTCACCAACCACAGCACAATACCCAGCACATAATCAAACACTGAAATGTTTGTTGGCCAAATATGGGTTTTAGATTAGTGCCCAAAGATTACATTACCAGATTTCACAGAAAGAATAGACAGCTTTACCAGCAGAGCTGTTAGGAAAGGGACCAATACCAGGATTGCTTATATAAGAGGATGCGTAGCCAGATGCCTCCTAGGTATATATTTTATTGCAAAGGTTACTCTCAACATCAGAATGTGTTCCTGCTTAGTTCTACTTGTGGGACTTTCTGAATCTTGTTTTCTCCTTTGGTAAAAATGAGATTTTCTGGCAAGAATATGTCAATTTTTTTTTATCCTCCTTCAAGAGTCTAGGATGTATTTCTAGATAAAGAACTTATTAGATACTAGATAAGTCAGAAAATATAAACTATGCTTTGGAGAGAACAAAACAAAGGAGAGAACAGTGCAGGTTGGGGCAGGTGAAGGAGTCCTCCTTTAGGGAAGGAGGTGTATTAGTTTGCTTGCGCTGCCATAACAAAATACCATAGACTCAGTGAATTAAACAACAAAAATTTATTTTCTCACATCTGGAGGCTGGAAGTCAAGATCAAGGTACCAGCAGCATTGGTTTCCTCTCCTTTGCTTGAGGTGGCCACTCTATTGCTGCCTCTTCACATGGCCTTTTCTCTGTGCATGCACATCCCTGATGTCTCTTTCCTGTGTTCCAATTTTCTGTTCTTATAAGGACACCAGTGATATTGGATTAGGGTCTACCCTAACGACCTAATTTTAACTTAATTACCTCTTTAGAGGCCCTATATCCAACTACACTTAAACATTCTAAGGTACTAGGGCTTAGCATTTCAATATATGTATTTTAAGGAATACACAACTGAGCTCCTAACAGAAGGCAAAGAAGGAGTGTACTAAGGCGATGGAGAGATTGAGATAGAGCTGACATGCTGCACATGTCAGCAGGCTTGCTTGTGCTATGTGAGATTGTTGAATGGGTCACTGAAACATGACTTCCTTAGAAAAGCAGTTCTGCAACTCTTCTGTCTCTGCTCCATCTTCCTGGTATTGCTTCCCAGGTCACACTTTCAAATACTCATTTAAAAAAACCTACTTATTTATTTACTTATTTGTTTATTTATTTATTTTAGAGACAAGGTCTCACCCTGTTGCCCAGGCTGGAGTGCAGTTGTGTAAGCATAGCTCACTGCAGTCTTGAACACCTGTGCTCAAGTGATCCTCCTCTTGAGTAGCTGGGACTAAAGGTGTGTGCCACCATGTGTAGCTAATTTTTCATTTTTTTTTTTTTTTGGTAGGGATGGGGGTCTTGCTATCTTGGCCAGGCTGTTCTAAAACTCCTGGCCTCATGCAGTCCTCTTGCCTCAGCCTCCCAAAGCACCGAGATTTGACAAGCATGAGCTACTGCACCCAGCCCACAAAAACTCTTCTTATATTTACAGTTCCTGGCCAGGCACAGTGGCTCATGCCTGTAATCCCAGCACTTTGGGAGGCCGAGCAGGTGGATCACGAGTTCAGGCATTGGAGACCAGCCCAGCAAACATAGTGAAACCCCGTCTCTACTAAAAATAGAAAAAATTAGCCGGCGCCTGTAATTCCAGCTACTCGGGAGGCTGAGGCAGGAGAATCGATTGAACCCGGGAGGTGGAAGTTGCAGTGAGCCGAGATCGCGCCACCGCACTCCAGCCCGGGTGGACAGTGTGAGACTCCATCTCAAAATAAATAAACAAACAAATATTTACAGTTCTTTAAGTAGTGTCTGCCTTCTCCCCTATACTGTGTCATAAGGGCAGGAACTTTGTCTTTTTTGTTCACTACTGTACGTCTAGTACCTGACAATCAACATGCCGCAATTTTTTCACATGATAGTGTAGCAGGACGAGCCACAGACAAAACTCCTCAGACACCGAGTTAAAGAAGGAAGGGGTTTGTTCGGCCGGGGGCATCAGCAAGACTCCTGTCTCAAGAGCCGAGCTCCCCAAGTGAGCAATTCCTGTCCCTTTTAAAGGCTCACAACTCTAAGGGGGTGCGTGTGAGAGGGACGTGATTGATTGAGCAAGCAGGGGGTACGTGACTGGGAGCTACATGTACTGGTAATTAGATCAGAACAAAACAGGATAGGGATTTTCACAGTGCATTTCTATACAATGTCTGTAATCTATAGATAACATAACCGATTAGGTCGGGGTCGATCTTTAACTACCAGGCCCAGGGTGTGGCGCCGGGCTGTCTGCTTGTGGATTTCATTTCTGCCTTTTAGTTTTTACTTTTTCTTTCTTTGGAGGCAGAAATTGGGCATAAGACAATATGAGGGGTGGTCTCCTCCCTTAATAGAATAAGTGGAATATGATGTTAAATAAAAGAGATGAAGACCTGGATGTTCCCAAAGGTCTGTAGGCCTCAGCCAGCCTCCCAGAGGGAGCAGAGCCTCTGCCACTGAGTCTTTAGACAAACCTTTCCTTCCCCACCATCCCCAAAATTACTTCTGCCCCCCCACCCCAATTAAATAAGATTTACCTTTGGGACCTGTTGAATAAACCTGGAGTGATTTTTTAGGTTTCTGATTGCCTTCTTCCTAAAATATATCATTTCGTTGATGCTTAAAGTAAATAAAGAAAAAGTATTTCATTCCTCAACCAGTGATAAGATTTAAATGCAAACCTGTGATTGAAGCTGAGATTTCAATTTGTTGAAATGTAATCAGCCCATGTGCATGTGTAAATGACTCTCAACCAAGATTTTCTGTTTAAATATGGAGAGAAGAGAGAGAAGTGGCAGGGTAGAAGAGACTGCAGAATAATGTTTCAGAAGAGTAACTTCCCAGATTTGACACTGCACTCCATGTAGAGCAAGTTGGAGTGTTAGTGTAGAGAGCATTTTTTTGCTTCCTGGCTGTGGGAAGTCCTCCCCTAACCACCTGCAGAAAATAATTTATCCATGCAGGGAGCATAAGGGTCTTCCAGAAAAGAGAGCTGATAGTGGTTCACAGTATTTTGCGCTTTACTGGTCTGTGATTATGGAATCCCAGATTTGCAACAATTGAAGTCTGGTTTTGTTAATGTTATTCTTTAAGATGTCAGTGGAAACATTTCTCTCCCAGTTCCCTTGTAAAGTGAAAATTACACATCAGTTGTAAGCCAGCTTTTAAACAGATTTCTTTAAAATATGTATTTTTTTCAGTTGTAGCAATGTCATGTCATTTACCTTGTAAGAAATCCTATACTGAGAAATATAAGAGCTGAACATCTTTCACTGTGTTTCTTCACGACTGTACTCAATCTTATTAGATTCTTCTACTGTTAAGCTAATAATTAATTTGGATTTCTATTTTTTTATTGAGTAGTGAGATTCACATTTGACTTGCCAGAAAAATAAAAAACTTTTCAGTGGCAGCAAGGCAGATAATAATTACTTCTTGGACATTCGTTTAGCAGCCAGGTGCTATAGTGTGCTTTGTCTACAAATGTGCTTTTAAATGTTCTTATCGAAAAGTGTGTCCAGGAAAAACCTTTATATTATTATGATCTATTTTACTCATTTTAGTTCTAAGGGTAATGGAATTTCATGTCATTTGATTTGTAATGAACAACACAAAGATTTTTAAATATTCTGAAGAAAGTTTTGAAAATTTAAATCTAACAGAAAAGTAAGAAATATGTTTAATAGCATTTCAGGTATAAAATATACACCAAGAGAAAAAATTAAGTTGGCAATAAGTTATAGTTAATTTTGTATATGGTTTCTATAAGGGGAAAACAGGTCATTAGCCTGATCATGTGCATCTTTCCTGATACCTTTCTTCTCATTCCCTCTTCCATTATCTTCCCTCCACTTCTACCATCCTTCTTCAGCCAGGATATATTTTTAATGGCTGATTTATCCAACTCTTCTCTTTTTTTCTGGGCCCCCTAGTCAAACCTGCCCCACATAGTCAAACCACAACTCATTAACAACCCTCAGAGGCAAGGTAAGAGGACAAAAGAGAAAAGGAAGTGCCCACCTGTGAGATCTGAATTCAGCAGTTAATAGGTCCCCCTCTTACCCCTCACCCCAGGCTCCAAAGGGGCTTTCTTCGTATTAACATGTGGGAAACACAAGTCCCAAAGCTATGTCTGCTAGTAGGCTTTCCTGCTAATTTCACCATCATTTTATTAGACTTCACTTATATCTTACTTCATCAGCTTGCCATTGGCAGGTGGGCAGATTTTCCTCAGTTTTTGGCCTAACTCCAAGATATATACAACAGCAGGCAAGATCCAGGAAAGCAAAGGTATTTTGACTATTTTTCCCAGTTTGCTTTAATAGCTTAGGACAAGTAACCTGCTGGAAGGCAGCAGTTTAGATTATTGACAAGAATATGAGTTTGGAAGTCAAATAGTCACAGGTGAAATCCCAACTCCACCCCCTTGTAGCTGTTTGAATTGACTCCATGAGTTTTAGATCTTCATCAACACAAAGGACAGGGAAAGCACAATTGCTTTAGAATAGGATAGTTGCAGCGTACGTAGCTTTGGAACCTACATGAGATTCTGAGGGTTGTGTGCAGGGGTATATGTAAAATACAAAGAGAGCTGGCTTTGTTAAACAGCAATGGTAGAACAACCCAGGTGACCCGGAAGTTCATTATCCCCTCTCATTGGTAGCTCGAGGAGCCTGAGTTAGCTTAAGGAAAGAACAGGCTTCCATTTCAACTACTTCTTTCCATTGCATTGATGTTCACTGCACTTCTCTGTTCCTTATAATGAGTAGAATATTATAGGGGGAGAGTTTCACCCTTTTGGGGATGCATGCAGTCCATTTCTGCCTGTGTGCACTCTCCTATGTCTGTGCTTTTAAGTTTTCTCTGAGTTTATCCCATTTTATATTTGTACTATGAGGCACTGATAAGGAGTGCTAATGACTCCTTTGCATAACAGTTGGAGATTAGCTAGGGACACATACCACCCACTCTGGGGTTAGGTGTGTTTTGGGAAGCAGCAGAGTTTAACTGGTTCACCCAGGGTGGAAACAATCCTCCTTGGAAAGGCTGGAACCAGGTGGCTGCTAACCCCGAATCATGTCTGGTGGCATCATAGGAGTCCTTCAGACACCAAAGCCTCCAAACCCACAAGTCACTGGGAAAAGGTGGATTTTCTGCAAAAGAAAAACCCTGGCGAGTGAGACTCATGGTTGCCTAAATTTTCTAAGTCCCAAGACCTCACTTTCAGATGTTTCTTCCCCATGTCTGGGGTGAAACCATGCATGATTTTTGAAAAATGTCCACCACAAGTTGTGATGTGCACTCCAGGATGAGTACTGCATGATACATAATCTCCAAAGTTCCATCAGCTCTTTAGTTCTTGAGGTAGGTATCATCAGAAACATATGAGCTCCTTCCCTTTTGGATTAGAGGAATTGTACAAAATGATTTGTTTTTATCTTCTATCTTGCCTTCATCCCCAGATTTCTTGCAACTTTCATCATTTTTTTAATAAAACCTAATGTCCTGTGTTGCAACTGGAGTAGTAGGTAGGTGTTCTCCTGCCAAGTTAAGATGTTTATACAACGTCTGTTTGCCATACTAATGCATGCTGTGGAATTGTCTTCTGCCCTCCATGTAAGGACCACTTCTACCTTCTCAAATACATAACCCATGTATAGTTTGCTATCTGACTTATAGCAAGCATTCAGATATTTTCCTGGCCTATCACTATGTAGCAGGACGAGCCACAGACAAAACTCCTCAGACACCAAGTTAAAGAAGGAAGGGGTTTGTTCAGCCGGGGGCATCGGCAAGACTCCTGTCTCAAGAGCCGAGCTCCCTGAGTGAGCAATTCTCCTCCCTTTTAAGGGCTCACAACTCTAAGGGGATGCACATGAGAGGATCGTGATCGAGTGAGCAAGCAGGGGGTATGTGACTGGGGCTGCACGCACCAGTAATTAGATTGGAACAAAACAGGACAGGGATTTTCACAGTGCTTTTCTATACAATGTCTGTAATCTATAGATAACATAACCGATTAGGTCAGGGGTCGATCTTTAACTACCAGGCCCAGGGTGTGGCGCCGGGCTGTCTGCTTGTGGATTTCATTTCTGCCTTTTAGTTTTATCTTTTTCTTTCTTTGGAGGCAGAAATTGGGCATAAGACAATATGAGGGGTGGTCTCCTCCCTTAATTATAGTAACCAGAAGACAGGCCTCATCCTAGAGGAGCTCAGAGGGGAGGACGGCGGGAGTCCTAAGGAGTCATAGCCTCTAGAGACGAAAGGAAAATCTGAGGCAAGGGTTCTTTTCAGCTTTTTCTTTAACTCCCCCACCCCCCACCAAAAAACTTTCAAATATCTTAGGAGCTGCTTATGCCAAGAGTGATGAAATTTTTTGGCAGTTACTGTGATATTTGTGCCAGTTCACCTCCTTAGGGTATCTTGCTGATAAGATTTAAATGATGCCAACATAATGCTGTTGGACCATTTGTCTCTTTTCACTGTTTTGTGCATTTATCCCATGCTGCGGCACCACCGGCGTCTTCTGAATGGATACTGAGGCAGCCAAATCCTGACTCACTACAGTCCTACACTGTGTCTCTCTTGCTTGGCCGAGAAAACTGTTAGGTTCTCTCTTCATCTGTCAAATGTAAGGATATTAGGCACTCCCTGAAACTTAACTGCTGAGGTACAAAGCATGAATTTAGGTGAAGACTTAATGGAAAGAACAGCAAAATGTATCAAAATCTCTAAATAGGTGAAATAGTATGTAAGGGCAAAATGAAGCAGAAAAATTACTAGAGAGATGAGAATGTAAAATATTTTTCTTACTTCATTCTAGTAGAACAATCTATAAAGAGGGAATGCCTAAGTTAAAAATATAACTGTAAGTAGACTCTTCAAAATGATTAGGCAGGCAGTTAGATTTTCATGTTGCTTCACATTTATTAACCTTCACCCATTAGGCTGTTGTTGGGGTCATTTGTATGATCTTCAAATATTCAGGCCTTCTGTAGAAGCCTTCTAACTCGAGCGGAAATGGATGGCTTTCTCCTAGAGGGAAATTAAGGGGTCCAAAGATACTTAACAGTGCATACAGTAAAGAGAGAAAAAACAGGAAAAAGTCGAGGATTGGAATCTCCAGCTTATAGAGCTCCATTCTGCTCCAGAACAAACTCTGTTTTATTCAGTTACTTAGTTACACAGCACATCAGAGAGACTAAACTATTGACCCTTGAGGTACAGAAAAGAAGTGAGCCAAAGACTTTACGAGATTATTTCCTAGCAGAAAATTAAAATAAAATCTCACTGATTTCTCCATCTCTTCCATCATAAGGTGAACAGTAAGTAAAGGAAGTGGAGAGTTTAAGGGACAGCGTTAGGAAAAACTTCTGAGCTCCTACATGTGACCTGGATAATCATAACTTTAACCCTCAACTGCCTTTCCACCACCTATGATGTTGGGGTTTCAGAAAAGGTGGAATTGGAGGAGGATGGATTTTCTTGTCAAGATCTTGGGCAAATGATATGCTGAAAGAACCACAGCTGGAGTCCAGGGGTTACATAGAAGTCACTGGTATTACAGGATATTTGGAGGTCAAAACTTTAAAGTATTATCCATAATACTTGAATCCAAACTGCTCTTGGTAAATATTTCTGTTTGTTTCCGGTGAGCCCATTATTTGTTTATGCTTTCTGCCTCATTGGCCATTCTACATATTTTCTAGAAAATGTTCTATGATATATTTTACCTGCCTAATTTTGAGGGCAGTTGAAACCATTATGTGTGTTACTACAAAAACTGTGTTCTTACACAAGTAAATTTAGAGACACAACAGCTAAAAGTCTTTCTTTTAGCTGTTGTGGTATTTTCACTACTTTTAGTGTAAATTCAGGTCTGTTACTTAACATGGAGCTTCCGCCACAGAGGCCAGAGGAGCACATCAAAGCCAAAAGCACAGCAAGTCATCGGAGTTCAGATTCTTTTCTGCTTCCCTGCAGAGGGGTCAAGAATATAAACATACTCAACTGCTACAGCAGGAGGGAACATTAGCCCATCAACAGAACCAAACAGGAAGCACCAAATGGGCATTTCTTCTGTTTATTTTGTGATTATTAAGAAAGACGTAGTTTAGTTCCTTCAACCAAATTTGTCAATGAAACATAGAAAACATACAAGGTACAGTCATTTTGGTTAGGGGAGAGTCTGATTGTGAAAGGATTCAATGCTGTTTTTTCCAGTTATTTCACTTACTACAATGTATACAATAAGTTCTTAGGGTGTTGGAATTTAAAACTAATTAACATTTGTTACACTCTTTTGAGATTCACATTATGAGTCACTTAGATTTTAATCAAATTTCTCATACGTTTCCTTTCTGGACCGAGGAGACTGTGCACATATTGAGCAGAACAATTTTGCCTCCCTTCAGTTTGAGATGGGGTGCGAAGAGTTTCAGATACAGCCAGGAAATACCTCAAATGGCACTGCAGAGGTCTGTAAGACTGACCAAAATTTAAAATCTTGGTATATCCATTCCATTACATCAAAGTAAGTTCTAGTACTCCACTGCCAGTATCAGCAGATAATAAAAAATGACGCACATTGTAATGATTCAAGCAAGCCCAGTAAAGGAGCAAGAAGGAATGTAATATCTATTTTTGTGAAAGTTTCCAGAAATAAATCAACAAACCACTTTATTCTTCTTATAATTACTTGGAATCTCTTAATTCCAGAAGACTATCTGGCCTGCTGTTTAAAAGGAAGTGAGTGTTCCCTTTCAGCTTGCTTCACTATTTTTCTCATCCAGTCAGTGGTATGGGATACCAAGGATGGGATAAGGAGAGTAGTTCACCCCTAGTACAGGCAATAAGGGCTGCTTTGTGTGTAGAAAATTGAAAAGAAATAAAAATAAAATAATAATAAAAGCCAGTTCTGCTTACTACGCCTGGCAGTTCCGCTTACTATGCCTGGCAGTTCCAAGCAATATCAACAATACTACTCCTCTTTGAAAAATAAAAAAACTTTTGTTGGTCTAAGTTCTAAACAACTGCTGCAGTTGCTGAAATTTAACAAAACAAATGTAAGCTGAATATTACGTTTTTATTATTACTTATTATTTAATAAACATTGCATTCTATGTGGAAGTAATTCTAACTCTCAAATGCACATGGACTCAGCTATACTTGTTTATTTCAAGAATAAGCAGTCAAGTTCTGTTTCATTTTTATAATCACTCTGCTGTAATTGTTTATTTTTAGTCTGTGTTTAAATACAGGCTTACATAGTACCACAGGGACTGGAGATGTGACCTGAGCCTGAAGCAAGCTCAAATAATTCACAATCATTACAAGCTTTGGAGAATTTTACCAAATATGATAGAAATTTATGATGAATTTTCTGGTGAAGTTATTTTAGTGGAAATTTTTCAACAGCAGAAATATTTGAAAACTGCTGGAACTGATCCCAAAGAAAAAAGGATATGGGTAGTACTATAATTTCTGGAATTTATTGTGAAATGGGATTTGTATGAATCTGATGAATGTATTCTTATTTTAAAGATTTCATCACTATTTCCATATCTGTTATTTCACGTGAAACTTTTTGAAATTAAAATAAAAAATGTTCTTCAATCAACTATGAGTGATGTCAACACATCTGACCGCACTGATTTTACTGACCATGACTATATAAAGATTAATTTGACAAAGCATTGACAAATTTGCAAAAATTAATGCTCAAAGTCAGAAAACATAAAGTGATTATTCTTCACTGAGGCAAACCAGTATATAGGTATAAATATTTTTCTTTTCTTTTCTTTGAGATGGAGTCTTGCTCTGTCCCCAGGCTGGAGTGCAATGACGCGATCTCAGCTCAATGCAACCTCCGCCTTCCGGATTCAAGTGATTGTCCTGCCTCAGCCTCCCGGGTAGCTGGGATTACAGGCGCCTACCATCACGCCCAGCTGATTTTTTGTATTTTTAGTAGAGATGGGGTTTCATCATATTGGCCAGGCTGGCCTTGAACTCCCAACCTCAGGTGATCCACCTGCCTCGGCCTCCCAAAGTGCTGGGATTACAGGCGTGAGCCACTGCGCCTGGCCCATACTAATGTACTTAAAAAGTATTAAACCTTAACTTTTTGCATTTTCAGCTAAAATATATACTTTATTAATTTATTATTAGCATGATTACATAGTCAAAATTGAATAAATGAAAACTTTCACTGCCTGCATTTCTTTTCTGGACATAATTATTATTTGTTTCATTTCAAAATTATTACTGAAAATACTTTTATCATACAGAGGAAGGCGTATTAAAAATGGTCCCTTTCAGGCATCAAGTACCTAGCTATGCCACTGCATGCGTCTATTCATTTTAACTCAAAACAAAATGCATTTTTAATCTTTTTGGTATTACATATGTTTTTGACAATTATGCCAAAAAGCAATTTATTTTAATAAGGGAACTCTTAATAATCAAGAAATAGAAAGAGCTACCCTTAAATACAACTCTCAACTACCACCGATTTTGGTAATAACTATTTCTAGTTAATATATTTGATGTTTTGATTATTTTATTATAAGCTTAGTAGGATAAGAAAAATACAAAAAATACAACTGCATAAATCTCAACATGATGAAATAGAAATTATGACTATCTCCTTATGACTCAAAAAAGCTGAATCACTCATTTTAAACCTTCCAGTCTAGCAAATACCCTGATTTTATGCCTTTTCAGAAAACAGAAAAACAAAGATGTTCTCCAACCTAGCTTATAAAGTCAACACAACTTTGATATAAGAACATGAACATTAAATGATGAGGAAAAATTGCAGGCAACCTCAATCATGAACAGATATGCTTAAATTCTTAATATTAGATAACCATACAACATGTATATATGAAATGTCACAAGTTGAGTTTGTTGCAATTATGCAATGTTAGTTTAATATTAGAAAACTGAGAATTTATGACATTAACAGAATAAAGGAAAAAATTATATGATAATTGTACTAGATGCAGAAAAGCAGTTGGTTAAAGTAAGCATCTATTTATGATTAAAATACATCTTTGGGCAAACGAAGAATAGAAGAGAGCTTCTTTAATCAAATACAGGGTATCTACAAAACACCAATAATAAACACCATAGAAATACTGAAAACTTTCTTTCTGTGATCAGGAATAAGATAATAGTTGTATTAGTTCATTCTCTTGCTGCTATGATGAAATACCCAAGACTGGGTAATTTATAAAGGAAAGAGATTTAATTGACTCACAGTTCTGCAGGGCTGGGGAGGCCTCATGAAACTTACAATCATGGTGGAAGAGAAAGCAAACACATCCTTCTTCACATGGTGACAGCAAGGAGAAGTGCACTGCGAAGTGGGGAAAAGCCCCTTATAAAACCATCAGATCTCATGAGAAGTCACTCACTATCATGAGAACAGCATGGGGGAAATGCCCCTATGATCTAATCACCTCCCACGAGGTAACCCCCCAATATATGGGGATTACAATTCGGATTACAATTCAAGATGAGGTTCTGGGCGGGGACAGAGCCAAACCATATCAATAGTTACCAACATTTCTAGGCTACCTGCCACTGAAAGTCCTAATTAGTGTGGTAAGGAAGAAGAATTGAAAAGAACAAGTAGGCCGGGCACAGTGGCTCACGCCTGTAGTCCCAGCACTTTGGGAGGCAGAGGCAAGCAGATCACGAAGTCAGGGAATCGAGACCATCATGGCCAACATGGTGAAACCCTGTCTCTACTAAAAATACAAAAATTAGCTGGGCATGGTGGCACGCACCTGTAGTCCCACCTACTTGGGAGGCTGAGGCAGTAGAATTGTTTGAACCCGAGAGGCGGAGGTTGCAGTGGGCCAAGATGGTATCACTGCACTCCAGCCTGGCAACAGAGTGAGACTCCATCTAAAAGAAAAAGAACAAGTAAAACTGCCATTATTTGCTAAGACTATATATATAAAAAAACTCAAAGACTCTACAGATAGTTCTTAGAATTGAGTTTAATAAAATTGTATCCCAGCAACCTTGTTAAACTCAATTCTAATCTCGACTTGTAGATTTTAAAAATTTCATTTCTATGATGAGCAACAACAGAAAATAAAACTGAAAATAATCATAATAGGATCAAAAATATTTAAAACCTAAAAATAAATATTTTAGCAGTTGTAAAAGAAACATAAAACATTCCCAAGAGACATTAAAAAAGACAAATCAATGAATACTTGTACTACATTTATATATTGGAAGACTCAGCATTTTTAAAATGTTAATTTTCCTGAAACTGAGCTTTAGATCCAAAGAAATTCAAATCAAAATCCCAGTTGGTTTGTGTGTGTGTGTGTGTGTAAGAGAGACACAGGGAGAAAAGGAGTTTGAAACTCAATTCTTTAAAATATGAAAAAAAAATTAAGAGAAACAGGTATAGACAAGACACTCTTGAATAGGAGGGAAAAGGTAAGAGGAGTTGCTCTACTGGATATTAATACTTATGTCTGTGATAATTAGGATAGTACAGTATTGGGGTAAGAATAGACAAAAATCAGTGGAACAAATTGGAGTTTAGAAAAAAGACACATTTGAAATAAATTAAGTGTTTATATATTAAGCAGGACACACACAAAAAAGTACTTACAGTAAAGGAAAAGACTGATACTTAGAGTTAAAATTAAGAGCCTCAGTTTATGAAAAGACACCTTTAATTGGTAAAAAGTCAAGCTACATGGTAAAATATATTACATATGCAAGTCTTGTGCCTGGTATAAAGTACATCTACAAAGTAAATCAATATATAAAAAAATCCAATGAAAAATGGACAAAAAGACTTCAGGCATTTCACAAAAATAGATACCCCAATTGCCAGCAAGTATAAGAAAAGGTCTTTGATTTCTTTAGTAATCAGGAAAATGCAAATTAAAACCACAGTTATATACCATCAGACTTCCTTTAGAATAGCTAAACTTAAGAATCCTGATAATCTCAACTGTGGGAGAAAATATAGAGCACTAGGAATTCTTATTCACTGCTAATGTGAAAATTGGTAAATGTACTTCCTCAGGATAAAATTTTCAATGAAAACGGAATAGAATTTACATATATTCACATAAATTCATGCATCCCAGTGGAAAGCACTGACCTATTTTTTGTCTTGTCTTAGTCCATTTTCTGCTGCATAACAGAGTACCATAGACTTGGTGATTTATAAAGAAAAGAGATTTATTTGGCTCATGGTTCTGGAGGCTGGGAAGTCCAAGGTTGAGGGACCATATTTGGTGAGGGCATTCTTGTTGTATCATAACATGATGGAAGGCATCACATAGTGAGACAATGTGAGAGAGAGTGAGAGCATGAAACAGAGAAAAAGAGGGCCAAACTCCTGAGATAACTCACTTCTGTGATAATGACAATCCATGAAGAAAGTGCCCCCATGACTTAATCACTTTGTAAACTCCCCATCTCCCAATACCGTTACATTGGCAATTAATTTTCAACATGAGTTTTAGAGGGGATTTTCAAACCATAGCATGTCTCAACTGATCTTTATGGTATGTACATATCTACTTTACAGATGAGAAAAGTGAGGCTTCAGAAAGAGAAAGATTTTTAATAAATCCATGAATCTACTAAGTGGAAGAGCCACCATCTAAACAAGCTCTTTCTCATTCTCAACCACATATTCTTTCACCATGTTTATAAAAGCATCCTTTAAAAATATATCCTGTTTTTCCTTATACATTTATAAATTTCTCTTTAAATTTAAAAATATCACTTTAATTACATTACTTGATGCCTTTTGCTCCCTACTCAGAGGTAAGACAATGCAGTTTACAAAATATTGCAATTCTTGAGTCCAGGAGATCGAGGCTGCAGTGAGCCATGAATGCACCACTCCACTCCGGCCTGGGTGACAGAGCAAGAACCCCTCTCAAAAACAACCCTCCAAAATATTGCAATATGTGAAAGAAGTTTGACTCTTTGCTATACTGATCTCTCTCCTAGATGCTTTATTTTAATGTATTGTACTTAGTGAACATTGTCGTACTAATCTATTTACACATTTGTTTCCCACCATTAGATTATAATATTCTTGAGGACAAGTTCTTATCTTTGTGTCTCTGTATCTTCAGCATATCACACAATTGTCTGTTGAATGACTAGATGAGATTTTATTCTCAAGGCTTTGACTCAGAGTAGGCAAGTCCCCATTTCAACCCTTTTAAAGAAAGCTTGAAATCACTCTGCTACCTTCTAGCAGAGTTAAGGTCAAATCATATTCTGAAAGATAAAGGATTCTACCTTATTTTTCCATTTGAAGTGATTCCCAAATAATTCTACTCCCTGTTGGTCTCTTAATTCACGCAAAGCCCACATTTCACAAACTATATCCAGAGAATTAGGCTCTCTTTGCCAAAAATACTGTATTCGAAAATTTTCTCCCATTCTGTAGGTTGTCTGCTCACTCTTAATAGTTTCCTTGCTAGATCCCATTTGTTATTTATTTTTTTTGCCTTCATTGCAATTGCTTTTGGCATCTTCATCATGAAATCTTTGCCCATTCCTACGTCCAGAATGGTATTGCCTAGGTTATCTTCCAGAGTTTTTATAGCTTTGAGTTTTCCATTTAAGTCTTTACTCCATCTTGAGGAACTTAAACAAATTTACAAGAAAAAAGAAACCATTAAAAAGTTGGCAAAGGATATGAACAGACTTTTCAAAAGACATGAGTGCAGCCAACAATGATGAAAAAAAGCCCAACATCAATGATCATTACAGAAATGCAAATCAAAACCACAGGAAATACCATCTCACACCAGTCAGAATGGCTATTAAAAAGTCAAAATATAACAGATGCTGACAAAGTTGCAAAGAAGGAACCTCCCACTGTTGGTGGAAGTGTAAATTAGTTCAACCATTGTGGAAGACAGTGTGGCAATTCCTCAAAGACCTAAAGACAGAAATACCATTGGCCTCATTACTGTATATATACTCAAAGGAATGTAAATCACTCTGTTACAAAGACACATGCACATGTATGTTCATTGCAGCACTATTCACAATAGCAAAGACATGGAATCAACCTAAATGCCCATCAGTGATAGATTTGATAAAGAAAATGTGGTATATATACAACATGGAATACTATGCAGCCATAAAAAGGGACAAGATCATGTCCTTTGCAGGGACATGGATGGAGCTAGAGGCCATTATCCTTATCAAACTAACACAGAAAGAGAAAGCTAAATACCACATGTTCTCACTTGTAAGTGGGAGCTAAATGATGAAACCATATAGACACAAAGAGGGGAACAACACACACTGGAGTCTATGCAAGGGTGGAGGGTGGGAAGAGAGAGAGTGTTAGGAAAAATAACTCATGAGTACTAGGCTTAATACCTGGGTGACAAAAAAATCTGTACAACAAACCCCCATGACATGTTTACCTATGTAACAAAACTGTACTTGTACCCCTAAACTTAAAAGTTAAATTTTAAAAAAAGATATTTTCTTCTCCTTTGTTTGATTGTACTGTTAAAGACAAAATACAACAAATTTAGTTTGAAGATCTAATTGGCTTTTATTTGTGATTCTAGAATCAGGCAACACTTCATTCTATGAAACAGAAGTAGTGATCCACTGGATATGATAGAATGGTTGGTTTTTGTAAGGTGGGAATAAGACAACAGAACGATAAATAAAAGTGCATTGATAGCATAAGTTACTACAAGTCACTTTTCTTGTAAGAGTTAAAACAGAGAAGACCTCTTTATTATGCTGACTTAGGAAGATTGAGCTCTTTGACTAGTTGCTGTGAATCTCCTGTTTTCAGGAAAAACTGCTCTGTTTGGGGCTCTATCAGCTTCCTTAAAGTTCAGTTTGATTATGAGGCACTTTGCATGAGTGACACTATTTTGGTCTGGTCTGGTCTGTGGGAGTCTGGTGCAGAAGGCTGGTCCAAAACAATGGATTCCCATAAACTGTAACAGCACTTAGTCATAAACATCTCTTTCAGAATTATGTTCAGCATGTGAATGTCCCTGATGTCCATTTGTAGTCAGATATCAACTCCTTTGGAATCCAGGAAGAATTTTATTTTGACTACATTTAATGTAAATCTGTTTTACAGAAGAATTTAAAATATATATCTTGCAGTATATGAACAGAAGATACACTCCTATTGAAAAAGTTCTTGATGACATAGACAGAATCTAAATAGTTATCTAGCATTTAGTCTGCAAGCCTACAGAATGCTAGATAATGTGATACAGTTAATTTTAGCCAAAGTCTTGCTCATCTGAATGTAACAGTTATAATTTGTAAGAGTTGTGTTAAAGATAAGGCAGTATTATTTAAAAATTAGTACTATAATGCCACCTACCTGAGTGATACATGGTCTAATGTATTTGCTTGCATGTTTTAAAGAAAAAAGTAGGCCGGGCGCAGTGGCTCACGCCTGTAATCCCAGCACTTTGGGAGGCCGAGGCAGGCGGATCAGCCAAGGTTGGGAGTTCAAGACCAGCCTGACCAACATGCAGAAAACCCGTCTCTACTGAAAATACAAAATTAGCCAGGCATGGTAGCGCATGCTTGTAGTCCCAGCTACTCGGGAGGCTGAGGCAGGAGAATTGCTTGAACCTGGGAGGCGGAGGTTGCAATGAGCTGAGATCATGCCATTGCACTCCAGCCTGGGCAACAAGAGCAAAACTCCATCTCAAAAAAAAAAAAAAAAGGTAACATCAAATTCTATTAGTACAATTATATTGTGCTCAAAATATCTGACTATGTATTTTAGGCTAGGTTCATAGTCTTTGTAGCAAAAAATATTAATCTTACTAAATTCAGCTTTCAAGAATCATTAAATAATAATTTTATTGTCAGCACTATATGTAAGGCTACATTTCATGACTATAGATTCAAAGCAACAAAACAGCATGACTATAATGAGAATAGTTAATCATAGTGATTTATTAATAATGCCAGTGTTTACATTTTATCTCTTTTAATGCAATAATCCCATGAGCTGTAAGTACATTTTACTATCATTATCCCTATTTTACACATAAGAAACACAAAGCACAAAGAGTATTGAATATTAGCTGAATATCACATAGCTGATAAGTGGTAGAGCTCGTATATAGAGCTGACTCCAGAACCCTGGCTCCTCACTGCCATACTACAGTACCTCATATATATGAGGAAAATATATATAAGAAAAGTTGCTTTGTGTGAGATTTGCTTTAGCTAACTTTTACTACAGTATCATTATTTGTCATTTAAAATTAGAAATAGCTGGGCATGGTGGCTCATGCCTATAATCCCAGCACTTTGGGAGGCCGAGGCAGGTGGATCACGAGGTCAGGATTTCGAGACCAGCCTGACCAACATGGTGAAACACCGTCTCTACTAAAACTACAAAAATTAGCCGGGTGTGGTGGTGGATGCCTGTAATCCCAGCTACTCAGAAGGCTGTGGCAGGAGAGTTGCTTTTTAATCCAGGAGGCAGAGTTTGCAGTGAGCCGAGATCACACCATTGCACTCCAGCCTGGGTGACAGAGCAAGACTCCATCTCAAAAAATAAATAAATGAATAAATAAAATAAAACTAGAAACACTCTAATTGCGGCATTAATCCAGATAAATTGAAAAACATTGATATTACTGATGATTACAAAGAGTCTTGAGGTCAAATAAAAGATTTAGAAAAATTATGTTTTGATGAAGACAGAGTTCAGATATGTTACAGTAAAATGAGTTTACATACTTCTTATGACCATTATTAGTAAGCAAAAATGTGTAATTTTGTTTTTAAAAAATGGCACTGATGACATTGACTATAAGTTCATTCTATTCTAATTTATTTAGACTTTTTATTCCTGCATTCAGTAACACCCTTAGCAGTTTTGAGGGGCATTATGAAATTTGGTATGATTATGAAGACTATAACTTCAGAAACTAGAAGAAATTTGCAGTTACCTTGATTTTGTCAGGTAAGAGAAAGAACAACAACCACAGAGAATAAACTTCATCAGTTCTTTGCTCTAACAGGAGCTTTGTTATTCTTCATGTCTATGTTTGATACTCCGAATAACCTTCATTTTGCATCCTTTCTTTGTGCCTTCCTTTCTGTCTCTTTCTCTTTCTTTCTTTCTTTCTTTCTTCTTACCTTCTTTCTTCTTTCTTTTTTTTTTTTTTTTTTTTTTGACGGAGGTTTGCTCTTGTTGCCCAGGCTGGAGTGCAGTGGTGCAATCTCGGCTCACTGCAACCTCTGCCTCCCGGGTTCAAGCAATTATCCTGCCTCAGCCTCCCTAGTAGCTGGGAATACAGGTGCCTGCCACCAAGCCAAGATAATTTTTTGTATTTTTAGTAGAGACGGGGTTTCACTATGTTGCCTAGGCTGGTCTCAAACTCCTGACATCAGGCGATCCACCCGCCTCAGCCTCCCAAAGTGCTGGGATTACAGGTGTGAGCCACTGTGCCCAGCCTACTATGCATCCTTTCACAGTGAAATTTTTTAAATGTGGATCTCATGAATTTAGAGTTCATTATAATTCACAGACAGAACCAAAGATTACCTTTGGCTTAGGCGCAGAGAGAGTGGCAGGCTCAGCTAAGCAATTTGACTCACACCCAACCAGCAACTGCAGTTTTTGTTACCTAATGTGCAAAATCCACACAGCTTATTCTATTTACAAAGTTGTAAAGTGATAGAAAGCTTTTTCCATTTTCCAGTCAAGTGTTGTACAGGGTGTCAGCAGCATGTTTATTAAAACGAAGCAACTTCATGACAGTTAATCAAAATTCTCCAGCTTTCCATTGTCAAGAATCTCTGGACCTCTGAGGGCTTGCCCAGACATTTTTGCCCAGGTCCATGTGGAACTACAAGTTCCTCTATGCCTCCAAATAGCCAAACAGTGTCCCAGAAATGTTTGCTCCAATCTTTCTCTTATTTGTCTCATGCGCCCTGTGCTAGAAGCTCTGTTCATCTGTATCCATTTACTGGTAACATGCTCCTGTTCAACAGATAAATGAGTTGGTCTTCTTGTCTGTAACTGGCTGAAAAAGTGCAGGGTGAGATCTCCTCCACCCCAGTCCTGTCCGTCTGTTCATCATATTCCATGACCATGTGTCCTGATCTTTTCATCTCCCATAGCTGATGTGGCTACTCTATGCTTCCAAAAACTTACATAATGTTAAATCTTAGAACATTTACAAGTTGTCAGGGAACATGTACCCACCCAAAAGTAATAACATTCCCCCCACTTTTCTTCCTTTCTTTTTTTTTTTT
The DNA here is from genome assembly GCF_000001405.40 of Homo sapiens. Taxonomy (NCBI): domain Eukaryota; kingdom Metazoa; phylum Chordata; class Mammalia; order Primates; family Hominidae; genus Homo; species Homo sapiens. The sequence continues at coordinate 116,339,327 of NC_000006.12, forward strand.
AATCTCATGGTTTATTTCAGTGGAATTGAAAAAAGTAGCCAATTTTTTTCACAATTGGAATTTGGGGTTGATGAAGGGAACTGGTAAATACAGTTTGGAAAGCAATGTTCTGCTAAGAAATTCAGATTTTATGAGCCAAGGAAAACCATCATATCTTTTTGTTGTTGTTTTAATGTGAAAAGATCAGAGCTGTGCTTTAGGAATATTAATCTGACTACTATGTTTTGAATGAATTAAAAAGAGGAGAAAACAGAGTCATGAAATCCAGTTACTGCTGTAGGATCAATCTGGGTGAGCAAGTAATGAAAGCCTGAACTAGTGAAGCAGCAGTGGGAATGAAGAGGAGGGAGACAATGGTCAGTGGAATTCGTATGACTTGGCAATTGAGTTTATAGTTGAGGAAGAAGGAAATGTCAAAGGTAACAGGTTTTGAGATGTCTATTGCCCATTCCTGGTGCTAATAAAATTATAGAAATATGGAACAGAAGAAGAATCTCCATTCTGCATTTAGGATGTTAGTGAAACATCCACAAAGAGGTTATTAACCAGGCAATAGAAATATAGAAACCCTATTATAAGTTTTGAATGTCTCTTTACTGATGGACTATGAAAATAGATGGAATTTCTATATGCGAGTGTGGAGTATACAAAGATATGAATTGCATGGGATTTTAAAAGTCACTGAGAAAAAGGATTGAGGAAGGAACAAAGTAAAGAAACAGTCAAGTAGTGTGAGGGGACTCATGAGAGTACAGAATCACAGAGAGCCAGAGAGAAGAGTTTCAGGCAGAAGGTTTATCTGCTTGTGGTTTGTTGAGCTTCTTGAACCTGCAGATTAATGTTTTTCGTCAAATTTAGTATGTTTTCAGTCATTCTTTTTAAAAATATTTTTCTGTCTCCTTCTCTCTCTTGTTTCCTTCTGGAGCTCTCATTATATGTATATTGGTATACTTGATGTCCCACAGGTCTCTTTTCTTCAGCTGGGATAATTTCTGCTCATCTGTCAAGTTCATTGATTCTTTCTTCTGCCATTTTGAATATGCTATTGAGGGCTTCTAGTGAATTCTTCACTTCAGTTTTCAAATCCAGAATATGCATTTGGTTCCTTTTTCTAATTTCTATCACCTGAGAGTTTCTGTTTATTGATTCATTGCTGTCATTTTTTTTATTATTATTATTCTACTTTAAGTTCTAGGGTATATGAGCACAACGTGTAGGTTTGATACATAGGTATACATGTGTCATGTTGGTTTGCTGCACCCATCAACTTGTCATTTACATTAGGCATTTCTCCTAATGCTATCCCTCCCCCAGCCCCCACCCCCTGACAGGCCCTGGTGTGTGATGTTCCCCGCCCTGTGTCCAAGGGTTCTCATTGTTCAATTCCCACCTTTGAGTGAGAACATGTGGTGTTTGGTTTTCTGTCCTTGCGATAGTTTGCTCAGAATGATGGTTTCCAGCGTCATCAATGTCACTACAAAGGACATGAACTCATCCTTTTTTATGGCTGCATAGTATTCCGTGGTGTATATGTGCCATATTTTCTTTATCCAGTCTATCAATGATGGACATTTGGGTTGGTTCCAAGGCTTTGCTACTGTGAATAGTGCTGCAGTAAACATATGTGTGCACGTGTCTTTATAGTAGCATGATTTATAATCCTTTGCATATATACCCAGTAATGGGATTGCTTGGTCAAATGGTATTTCTAGTTCTAGATCCTTGAGGAATCACCACACTGTCTTCCACAATGGTTGAACTAATTTACACTCCCAACAGTGTAAAAGTGTTCGTGTTTCTCCACATCCTCTCCAGCATCTGTTGTTTCCTGACTTTTTAATGATTGCCATTCTAACTGACATGAGATGGTATCTCATTGTGAATTTGATTTGCATTTCTCTGATGGCCAGTGATGATGACCATTTTTTAATGTGTCAGCTGCATAAATGTCTTCTTTTGAGAAGTGTCTATTCATATCCTTCACCCACTTTTCGATGGGATAATTTTTTTCGTGTAAATTTGTTTGAGTTCTTTGTAGATTCTGGATATTAGCCCTTGTCAGATGGGTAGATTGCAAAAATTTTCTCCCGTTCTGTAGGTTGCCTGTTCACTCTGATGGTAGTTTCTTTTGCTGTGCAGAAGCTCTTTAGTTTAATTAGATCCCATTTGTCAATTTTGGCTTTTGTTGCAAAATGCCATTGCCATTTGCATTTTGGTGTTTTAGTCATAAAGTCCTTGCCCATGCCTGTGTCCTGAATGGTATTGCCTAGGTTTTCTTCTAGGGTTTTTATGGTTCCAGGTCTAACATTTAAGTCTTTAATCCATCTTGAATTAATTTTTGTATAAGGTGTAAGGAAGGCATCCAGTTTCAGCTTTCTACATTTGGCTAGCCAGTTTTCCCAGAACCATTTATGAAACAGGGAATCCTTTCCCCATTTCTTATTTTTGTCAGGTTTGTCAAAGATCAGATGGTTGTAGATGTGTGCTATTATTTCTGAGGCTTCTGCCTGTACCATTGGTCTATATATCTGTTTTGGTACCAGTACCATGCTGTTTTGGTTACTGTAGCCTTGTAATATAGTTTGAAGTCAGATAGTGTGATACCTCCAGCTTTGTTCTTTTTGCTTAGGATTGTCTTGGCAATGCGGGCTCTTTTTTGGTTCCAATATGTTAATTTTTAAAACATGGTTTATTTTAGTTATTTGAATGAAATAGAGTGAAATAGCTGCTTTTAAAAATAGCTGCTTAATATTTTTTTGTCTACAAGTTTAGCATTTGGGGACAACCAGAGACTATTTTTGTTCAATTATTTTTTTTCCTGAATATGGGTCACGTAATCTTGGTTTTTGCACATATTATAATTATTTTGTTGGAAAGTGGATATATTAGATAATATATTGTAGTAAGTTTGGATTCTAATTTTTTTTAACTTTATGAAGGCTATTATTGTTGCTGTTTTTTTTTTTTTTTCGAGATGGAGTCTTGCTCTCTTGCCCAGAGCCAGAGTGCAATGGCGCGGTCTTGGCTCACTGCAAGCCTCTGCCTCCCAGGTTCAGGTAATTCTCCTGCCTCAGTCTCCTGAGTAGCTGGGATTACAGGCACATGCCACCACACCTGGCTAATTTTTGTATGTTTAGTAGAGATGGGTTTCACCATGTTGGCCAGGCTGGTCTTAAACTCCTGACCTCGTAATCTACCCGCCTCAGCCTCCCAAAGTGCTGGGATTACAGGCATGAGCCACCGCACCTGGCCTATTTTTTGTTTCTTTAAGTAACTTGCCTGGGCAAAATTTGTAAAAACCTTTTTCTCTGCCATTTGCACATGCTGATATTTCTGCTCAGTTAAAATATATACATACAGGAGAGGTTCCAAGATGGCCAAATAGGAATAGCTCCAGTCTACAGCTCCCAGCATGAGTGATGCAGAAGACAGGTGATTCCTGCATTTCCAACTGAGGTAGCAGGTTCATCTCACTGGGGCTTGTTGGACAGTGGATGCAGCCCACGGAGCAGGGCGGGGCATCGCCTTACCTGGGAAGCGCAAGGGGTCAGGGAATTCCCTTTCCTAGCCAAGGAAAGCCATGACAGATGGTACCTGGAAAATCGGGACACTTCCACCCTAATACTGCGCTTTTCCAATGGTCTTAGCAAATGGCACTCCTGGAGATTATATCCTGTGCCTGGCTCCGAGGGTCCCACGCCCACGGAGCCTCACTCACTGCTAGCACAGCAGTCTGAGATTGAACTGCAAGGTGGCAGTGAGGCTGCGGGAGGGGCGTCTGCCATTGCTGAGTCTTGAGTAGGTAAACAAAGCCACTAGGAAGCTCAAACTGGGCAGAGCCCACTGCAGGTCAAGGAGGCCTACCTGCCTCTGTAGACTCCACCTCTGTGGGCAGGGCATAGCTGAACAAAAGGCAGCAGAAACTTCTGCAGACTTAAACGTCCCTGTCCAAAAGCTCTGAAGACAGTAGTGGTTCTCCCGGCATGGAGTTTGTGATCTGAGAATGGACAGACTGCCTCCTCAAGTGGGTCCCTGACCCCCAAGTAGCCTAAATGGGAGACACCTCACAGTAGTGGCTGACTGACACCTCATACAGCCAGGTCCCCCTCTGCGACAAAGCTTCCAGAGGAAGCATCAGGCAGCAACATTGGCCATTCTGCAATATTTGCTGTTCTGCAGCATCCACTGGTGATACCCAGGCAAACAGGGTCTGGAGTGGACCTCTAGCAAACTCCAACAGACCTGCAGCTGAGGGTCCTGACTGTTAGAAGGAAAACTAACAAACAGAAAGGACATCCACACTATCACCATCATCAAAGACCAAGGGTAGATAAAACCACAAAGATGGGGAGAAACCAGAGCAGAAAAGCTGAAAATTCTAAAAATCAGAGTGCCTCTTCTCCTCCAAAGGAATGCAGTTCCTCGCCAGCAACAGAACAAAGCTGGATGGAGAATGACTTTGATGAGTTGAGAAAAGAAGGCTTCAGACGATCGGTAATAACAAACTTCTCTGAGCTAAAGGAGGGTGTTTGAACCCATCACAAAGAAGCTAAAAACCTTGAAAAAAGATTAGATGAGTGGCTAACTAGAATAAACAGTGTAGAGAAGACCTTAAATGACCTGATGGAGCTGAAAGCCATGGCATGAGAACTACGTGATGCATGCACAAGCTTCAGTAGCCGATTTGATCAAGTGGAAGAAAGGGTATCAGTGATTGAAGATCAAATGAATTAAATGAAGTGAGAAAAGTTTAGAGAAAAAAGAGTAAAAAGAAACGAACAAAGCCTCCAAGAAATATGGGACTATGTGGAAAGACCAAATCTACATCTGATTGGCATACCTGAAAGTGACAGGGAGAATGGAACCAAGTTAGAAAACACTCTTCAGGATATTATCCAGGAGAACTTCCCCAACCTAGCAAGGCAGGCCAACATTCAAATTCAGGCAATACGGAGAATGCCACAAAGATACTCCTCCTGAAGAGCAACTCCAAGACACATAATTGTCAAATTCACCAAAGTTGAAATGAAGGAAAAAATGTTAAGGGCAGCCAGAGAGAAAGGTTGGGTTACCTACGAAGAGAAGCCCATCAGACTAACAGCGGATCTCTCGGCAGAAACTCTACAAGCCAGAAGACAGTGGGGGCCAATATTCAACATTCTTAAAGAAAAGAATTTTCAACCCAGAATTTCATATCCAGCCAAACTAAGCTTCATAAGTGAAGGAGAAATAAAATCCTTTCAGACAAGCAAATGCTGAGAGATTTTGTCACCATCAGGCCTGCCTTACAAGAGCTCCTGAAGGAAGCACTAACCATGGAAAGGAACAACCGATATCAGCCACATGCCAAATTGTAAAGATCATCAATGCTAGGAAGAAACTGCATCAACTAATGAGCAAAATAACCAGCTAACATCATAATGACAGGATCAAATTCACACATAACAATATTGACCTTAAATGTAAATGGGCTAAATGCTCCAATTAAAAGACACAGACCGGCAAATTGGATAAAGAGTCAAGACCCATCAGTGTGCTGTATTCAGGAGACCCATCTCATGTGCAGAGACACACATAGGCTCAAAATAAAGGGATGGAGGAAAATCTACCAAGCAAATGGAAGACAGAAAAGCAGGGTTTGCAATCCTAGTCTCTGATAAAACAGACTTTAAACCAACAAAATCAAAAGAGACAAAGAAGACCATTACATAATGGTAAATGGATCAATTCAACAAGAAGAGCTAACCTAAATATATATGCACCCAATACAGGAGCACCCAGATTCATAAAGCAAGCCCTTAGAGACCTACAAAGAGACTTAGACTCCCACACAATAATAATGGGAGACTTCAACACCCCACTGTCAACATTCGACAGATCAATGAGATAGAAAGTTAACAAGGATATCCAGGAATTGAACTCAGCTCTGCACCAAGCGGACCTAATAGACATCTACAGAGCTCTTCACCCCAAATCAACAGAATATACATTCTTCTCAGCACCGTATTGCACTTATTCCAAAATTGACCACATAGTTGGAAGTAAAGCACTCCTCAGCAAATGTAAAAGAACGGAAATTATAACAAACTGTCTCTCAGACCACAGTGCAATCAAACTAGAACTCAGGATTAAGAAACTCACTTAAAACTGCTCAACTACATGGAAACTGAATAACCTGCTCCTGAATGACTACTGGGTACATAACGAAATGAAGGCAGAAATAAAGATGTTCTTTGAAACCAACGAGAACAAAGACACAACATACCAGAATCTCTGGGACACATTTAAAGCAGTGTGTAGAGGGAAATTTATAGCACTAAATGCCCACAAGAGAAAGCAGGAAAGATCTAAAATTGACACCCTAAGATCACAATTAAAAGAACTAGAGAAGCAAGAGCAAACACATTCAAAAGCTAGTAGAAGGCAGGAAATAACTAAGATCAGAGCAGAACTGAAGGAGATAGAGACACAGAAAACCCTTCAAAAAATCAATGAATCCAGGAGCAGGTTTTTCGAAAAGATCAACAAAATTGATAGACTGCTAGCAAGACTAATAAAGAAGAAAAGAGAGAAGAATCAAATAGATGGAATAAAAAATGATAAAGGGGATATCACCATCGATCCCACAGAAATACAAACTACCATCAGAGAATACTACAAACACCTCTACGCAAATAAACTAGAAAATCTAGAAGAAATGGATAAATTCCTGGACACATACACCCTCCCAAGACTAAACTAGGAAGAAGTTGAATCCCTGAATAGATCAATAACAGGCTCTGAAATTGAGGCAATAATTAATAGCCTACCAACCAAAAAAAGTCCAGGACCAGACAGATTCACAGCCGAATTCTACCAGAGGTACAAGGAGGAGCTGGTACCATTCCTTCTGAAACTATTCCAATCAATAGAAAAAGTGGGAGTCCTCCCTAACTCATTTTATGAGGCCAGCATCATCCTGATACCAAAGCCTGGCAGAGGCCCAACAAAAAAAGAGAATTTTAGACCAATATCCCTGATGAACATCGATGCAAAAATCCTCAATAAAATACTGGCAAACCGAATCCAGCAGCACATCAAAAAGCTTATCCACCATGATCAAATGGGCTTCATCCCTGGGATACAAGGCTGGTTCAACATACACAAATCAATAAACGTAATCCAGCATATAAACAGAACCAAAGACAAAAACCACATGATTATCTCAATAGATGCAGAAAAGGCCTTTGACAAAATTCAACAGCGCCTCATGCTAAAAACTTTCAATAAACTAGGTATTGATGGGATGTATGTCAAAATAATAAGAGCTATTTATGACAAACCCACAGCCAATATCATACTGAATGGGCAAAAACTGGAAGCATTCCATTTGAAAACTAGCACAAGACAGAGACGCCCTCTCTTACCACTCCTATTCAAAATAGTGTTGGAAGTTCTGGCCAGGGCAATCAGGCAGGAGAAAGAAATAAAGGGTATTGGATTAGGAAAAGAGGAAGTCAAATTGTCCCTGTTTGCAGATGACATGGTTATATATCTAGAAAACCCCATCATCTCAGCCCAAAATCTCCTTAAGCTGATAAGCAACTTCAGCAGAGTCTCAGGATACAAAATCAATATGCAAAAATCACAAGCATTCCTATACACCAATAACAGACAAACAGAGAGCAAAATCATGAGTGAACTCCCATTCACAATTGCTTCAAAGAGAATAAAATACCTAGGAATCCAACTTACAAGGGATGTGAAGGACTTCTTATGGAGAACTACAGACCACTGCTCAATTAAATAAAAGAGGACACAAACAAATGGAAGAACATTCCATGCTCATGGATAGGAGGAATCAATATCCTGAAAATGGCCATACTGTCCAAGGTAATTTATAGATTCAGTGCCATCCCCATCAAGCTACCAATGACTTTCTTCACAGAATTGGAGAAAACTCCTCTAAAGTTCATATGGAACCAAAAAAAGAGCCCGCATTGCCAAGACAATCCTAAGCAAAAAGAACAAAGCTGGAGGCATCATGCTACCTGACTTCAAACTATACTACAAGGCTACAGTAACCAAAACAGCATGGTACTGGTACCAAAACAGCATGGTACTGGTACCAAAACAGAGATATAGACCAATGGAACAGAACAGAGCCCTCAGAAATAATACCACACATCTACAACCATCTGATCTTTGACAAACCTGACAAAAACAAGAAATGGAGAAAAGATTCCCTGTTTAATTAAGTGGTTCTGGGAAAACTGGCTAGCCATATGTAGAAAGCTGAAACTGGATCCCTTCCTTACACCGCATACAAAAATTAATTCAAGATGGATTAAAGACTTAAATGTTAGACCTAAAACCATAAAAACCCTAGAAGAAAACCTAGGCAATACCATTCAGGACATAGGCATGTGCAAGGACTTCATGACTAAAACATCAAAAGCAATGGCAACAAAAGCCAAAATTGACAAATGGAATCTAATTAAACTAAAGAGCTTCTGCACAGCAAAAGAAACTACCATCAGAGTTAACAGGCAACCTACACAATGGGAGAAAATTTTTACAATCTACCCATGTGACAAAGGGCTAATATCCAGAATCTACAAAGAACTTAAACAAATTTATGAGAAATAAATCAAACAACCCCATCAAAAAGTGGGTGAAGGATGTGAACAGACACTTCTCAAAAGAAGACATTTTTGCACCCAACGGACACATTAAAAAATGGTCATCATCACTGGCCATCAGAGAAATGCAAATCAAAACCACAATGAGATACCATCTCACACCAGTTAGAATGGCAATCATTAAAAAGTCAAGAAACAGGCTGGGCACGGTGGCTCACGCCTGTAATCCCAGCACTTTGGGAGGCCAAAGCGGGTGGATTGTGAGGTCAGGAGATCAAGACCATCCTGGCTAACACGGTGAAACCCCGTGTCTACTAAAAATTAAAAAAATTAGCCAGGCATGGTGGCTGGCGCCTGTAGTCCCAGCTACTCGGGAGGCTGAGGAAAGAGAATGGCGTGAACCTGGGAGACGGAGCTTGAAGTGAGCCGAGATCGTGCCACTGCACTCTAGCCTGGGCGACAGAGTGAGACTCCGTCTCAAAAAAAACAAAAAAAAACAAAAAAAAAACCCCAAAAGTCAGGAAACAACAGGTGCTGGAGAGGATGTGGAGAAATAGGAATACTTTTACACTGTTAGTGGGACTGTAAAGTAGTTCAACCATTGTGGAAGACAGTGTGGCGATTCCTCAAGGATCTAGAACTAGAAATACCATTTGACCCAGCCATCCCATTACTGGGTATATACCCAAAGGATTATAAATCATGCTGCTATAAAGACACATGCACACGTATGTTTATTGCGGCATTATTCACGATAGCAAAGACTTGGAACCAACCCAAATGTCCATCAATGATAGACTGGATTAAGAACATGTGGCACATATACACCATGGAATACTATGCAGCCATAAAAAAGGATGAGTTCATGTCCTTTGTAGGGACATGGATGAAGCTGGAAACCATCATTCTGAGCAAACTATCTCAAGGACAGAAAACCAAACACCACATGTTCTCACTCATAGGTGGGAATTGAACAATGAGAACACTTGGACACAGGGTGGGGAACATCACACACCAGGGTGGGGTGGGTGGAGGGGGGAGGGATAGCATTAGGAGATATACCTAATGTAAATGATGAGTTAACAGGTGCAGCAAACCAACATGGCACATGTATACATATGTAACAAACCTGCACGTTGTTCTCATGTACCCTAGAACATAAAGTATAACCAAAATATATATATACACATACATATACATATATATCAATATTTATATACACTAATATAAAATGGATATGTATACATATATACATATATCTACACACACACACCCATATACATACATACACACCTCTAAACCTGGATTCCTAAAGGTTTTCCCATGCCAGTATGGCTTAGTGATTGGATAGAGGTTGTGCTGAAACACTTGAGCCAATGAAGTTTCTGTCTTTTGCCAAAGGATCTCTGTGTGGTAGGGGAGCTCACTCAGAGTTCAGGTGCTTTCAAGCTGACTCAAGCTCCAGCTTTTACTGACCACTGGACCTTTTCTTATCTCTTTTATGCAAACAAATTCAGGGGTAGCCGGGATTGAGTGACTAGCTCGGGCCTTCTCCAGGAAATATACACAGCCAGAGAAGTATTCTCCAACTGTGACTACAGCCTCAGACTAGTAGAGCAGTTGGCTTTCCCTGTTTACCCACCTCAGAGATCAGCACTTTTACCAAATATGCTGCTGGGAGTGGTCATTTCTCATCACTCCAGATTGAGTGAGCTCTCATGGATCGTGACAGAGAAGCTGCCTGTCCTCATGGCCTGGCCTCCTTCTATAAAACCTCTGTCCTTACTGAAGTGAGGAGGAAGGGAGGGCAGATATGTGAGTAGCTTCAGGCTAGAATGCCACAGGTTCTCATTATTCTTATATTCAGCAGTTTTTCAAGCCTAAACACTTCTCAGGTTGTATGCCTTTGGTTGATTTTCAGAGTGCTAAAATGATTGTTTTTGTCAATTTTATCCAGCTTTATAGTTACTTTTTACAGAGAGAATTTGTCTCCTCACTTGGCCATAACCAAAAGCTCACCACTTACTACCTTTAAAAGAATCACTTACATATTAATTATTTCATGTTTACATGCATAGTCTTTTTAAAAAAATACCTAAATGTACTACTCCCTTTTATAGTGTTTAGGAATCTGAACTTATAATTTTAAGAGGCTAATTAGCTCAAATCCAGTTTCATTTTTAAATTTTATATCTTGCTTTTTTCTATGTCAAAATGATTTATCTCATAAGAGAACAGGATAGTAAGAAAACTGAAAAGTGATCAGGCCATTTCGTATGCCTTAATAAAAACTGCCCAAGATGGTATGGTTGAGGAAGAGTATGAAGATCAATGGGTATGGGCCTACATTATTCTAGGACTGACTTATTTCCCTATAGAGTGGAAATCTTCTACTTCTAACTTCTGTGGCAATAAATTCTTTTTTTAAAAGCATGATTATATGAGAACTCTTCAGAGAAAAGAACTTGTATCTCTTCTTTTCGTATCACAAAAGCTTACTCTAGTGAATTCTGGGTAACCCAAACTGAAAATTAAATTTAGAATTTGCAGGGTCATGAGCTTCTACCCAGATTATCTCAGGAAAAGGTATTAAACAGGACCATCATTACCCCATTAATCATAAAAAAGTCCAACTGACACAATTGTCTATTCTTTGAGGGAACAAAAAACCCAGTCAGGCAGACATTGTTTTGTACTCATTTGGTAATTTTGATATTTAAGACTATTCCTTGGACAGAAAAGTATATGACTCTCTAAATGTCAGGCAAGTCCATACCACTATGATGATATTCTCAAAGATGAGTTATGTTCCATGCAAGTATATTCACTAAACGTGTACGGTACCAAATACTCTGACTCCAAGTAATAAAAAAAAATAGCTTTTGGGTCTTTTCCATGCCTTTAGACATGACGAACATAGACTATTTAATTGTATAAAGATTTTCCTGGCATATCTTCCTTTTGGAAAAAAAAAAAAAGTCCTGAAAGTCCTTCTGTTTTATGAAATATTCTAGTCTCTGTTCTGCATTATATTATTTTACATAGAACTTACAGTCTTAAAAAAGAATGTTCATTTGTTAAAAAGCTCCCAAATTGACTAATATTATTGCTATTATAGTTTGTTTTTACATAGTGTTTAATAGAACATTTGTTGTGATTAAGCAAGATTGCTTCTTTGTCTTCTTTTCTCTTTTCTTCCAAATAGTTCAACGCCATTATAACTTTCCTGTAACAGAGATGGGAATGTTTTCCTTCACTGAATCCCCATCTCATGAATCTACAGTCTTGAAACCCTTATTTTAACAGAACAGTCATCTGACTCGGTTTGGCTGTCTCATACCAAGATCTCAGGGCAGCAACAGAGTAACCCTTGCTGGTACCTGTGAGAGAAAACAAAGGGTCTGTTTTGAGTATAGTAGAAGGTAAAAAATGAACTTGATACTTCTTCACATCTTAAAACTTTTATTTTTTTATTTAAGAAGTATGCTAATAAGTTGTAACATGAACATTTAAATCCCTAGGAACCATCTTTATAGTTGATTATAATATATTTTTATTGGCTGAATATATCACAACTACATTCTATTCCACTCTATTATAGTGATGTTTGTTATTTATTAATAACTATTATTTTTACCTCATTATAAAATAGCTACATAATAGGAAATGTTTAGTAATGTTCTGCAAAGAGGAAAAAAAAGAATAAGGGATATTGACCATCTTGGATAGTTTTTCATGAATTCAAAGTCCTCAGTAAGTGATTTTAGAAACTCAACTTTATCAACTTAGTTCAAATAAGCAGTCTTTGCTGATTAAAATAGTCTTTTCTGTCATCAGAGTATTCCAATTCTAAACTCAGAGAATTTAGGAATTTCAGTTTATAATCAGAAAGCTCCCTGGTGAACTATGAATAGTGACAAAGGCCTTAAGGAATATTTATCCCAACTTTGGTAGAACCTGGAGAGTTGTCTTTTACATTTTATCATGCACCTTTCTAGTAACTGCAGTTCTTCTATCCCACAGTGGTACTCTTTAGTTTATGGGAAATTTAAATCCCGATATTAAATCTTTATTAATTTGTGTAACCTCCTTGGTTACACTGGCCTGTAAACAAAGCTCATTTCAGTCTCTGCTCAAACCCTTGGAAAAGTTAGTTAATATCTCTGAACCTCAATTCTGCCTGTAAATATGTAAATGAAAGGAACCAATTAGATGTCTAGCTATAACATTTCTTGATTTTAAGTGTTTATACTTTTTTAGAATCACCACTCTCCATATATTTGTGTGAGCTAGTCAACTATTATCTATCTACTCATGGCCTCCTTGGTACAACCAGTCCTTTCAGACCTTAACTTATCCTGTTCCTGCATCCAAGAATCAATTCAACTAAAATGGCTGGTCAGAACCATTTTTTCTCTTGATCACAAGGGTTCTCCAAACACAAGGATTCCTCAAATGATAAAATACCTGCTCCAGAAGAATCTCTCAATATGGTGCTGAATTTGCATAGGTTATTGATCCTAATTTCTAGACTCTGAATGGAGGCTAGTTGTGCTTGGAGCAGTGGTTCTCCAAGCATAAGGACTTAAAATCCACAGGGTTAGTGCTGGGTGAGGCAGAGGTCAGTAGCTCTTGAACTGGATAGTAAACATCAAGAAATTGAGAAATAAAAAACAGGAACTTTGGGATGCTTTTTAAAACCACCACAGCCTCAGATGTTTGTGTTGAAGGAGTAAGATGGCCAAGAAAAAAAAAATGTTAGGTCTGAGAGTTTACTCATTCCAATAACAGACCTGGCAGAGAAATCATTACCCATTTTGCAACACAGCCTTAGGGCAAGTCTGGGCAAGCTCTGGGTGGGCAAAAAATAGGCTTTCCAAAACTCACCTAGCTTTCCAGCCCACCCCACGTACATGCCCCACACGTGAAGTCTTCCTTTCTTTCCTCGTTTCTTTCTCCTTCCCCCCTCCTCCTTCCTCTCTCTCTTTCTCTCTTCCAGAATGAATGATTTGTATGACTGTGGAATGTGTTTGTCAGACAAGTCCATCAGGGACTTATAACAGTCCCTTAATAGGGTAAGAGAGAGATATGAGTCTTGTGGTCATAAGTGGTTGGGCTTCCCCACTACCTCATTCATTTATGTTAGCTAACTATTAAAATCTAGGTCTTTACTAATTTATAGTTAAAATATACATAGGAGTAAATGTGTGTTTGTGTGTGTGGGTCTGTGTGTGTATAAACACTGATGGATATTTTTCCAAATGAACTGATGATGACCTCTAACTTCTGGTTCATGAGAAGGAACTTTATGTCCTACTTTTGCTCTGGAAAAATGAAAAGACTGCTAAGGGGGAGTAGTCATGATGGAATTGTGCATGTGTGTGTTAGGTAATATTGGGTGGAAAATTAAGGGATATTTTCCTTTGTAGTATTCCAAATAAATCTGTTTATGTGATAGATAGTTACTTGGAATAAATATCTTTCTTCATGAGTGCCTTCTTAATTTCCAGAAAAATCTTATAAAGGTTTCTCAGTAAGGTTCTTTAAATAAACTTTGTTTCAATCATAATAATACTAGCTACCATTGAGCATTTACACTTCCTAGCATTGTGTCCAACACTTTACATTCTTTATCTCTCATCCTTATACTCTCAAAAGATGAGGCATTGATATTCCCAGAAAACTGAGATTTGGGGAGGCTAAGTAAATTTGCTTAAGGTTATGGAACAAATACATTGCACAGCTGTTACTTGATCATAGATCTGACTGTCTCCAACCATTGGACACTTACTGTTGTCACATAAGGGGATTCAGACAGATATCTAGCTTATTTTATAACTGTTCTCATTTGATGAGAGATTGTCTATAAAGATGTTTGGTTTTTGTGAGCTTTAATGGCTGATGTAAAACAATTTGGTAATTATTTTAAATTTAAAAAAATCTTATAATCAATCTAAACATACTCCTATGTCATATACTGAGACTCTTAGAAAATATTTTAGAGTAGAGGCAAGCAGTCTTCAGATACTGAATTATAATGCCTATCTACTTTTAAAGAGTGATATGACACCACTTTCAAAAATCTAGACTTCAGATGGCTTCCAAATGTACACCTATATCTACAGCAATACTTGGATATAGTATTTCCTGAAATATAGTCTTTCTCTTAAAGAAAAAAAGAATAATATTAGTTCAGGTCCTTGATATATGAGGCAAGGATTAGAGATTTGTTAAGTAAATGTTGACCCAGACTATATAACTCTAATGAGCAAAATCCCTTTAAAATTTTTAAGGAGATGGGATAACAGTAAGTAATATTTATTGAAAGCCTGTTGTGTGTTATGTGCTACTAGGAGCTTAGACAACATAACCTCATGTGGACCTTACAACTGCTCTGGAGGTCAGTCATTGTTCTTGAGTCGGGCTCTTTTTTCTGGTATAAGAAACAGAGTCACCCCCTCATGCTGTCTCAAAAGGCATGAGTTATTTTAAGGGAGAGTGGGTGGAGGGTTTGTACAGTAAGGGAACCAGGAAGCTCATGGAATTGTCATACAATCTGGCCTTACAAGCACTTCAGTTACAACTCTGTCAAAATGGGAAGGGGCTCAAGAAACTTGCTTTTCCCATCTAAGGAAAGGATGGTATTTTCTGGCTTTTGGTGAGGTGATTTATCTTCAGAATGGGTCTAATCTGAAAACAGACCCCACTGGGCAGAAACATGAAATCCATGTTCATAATTATGTAAATGAAATGAAAATTACTTGCATTCTTATAACATCTATATAAAAATTATAATTTTCTGTTTATTTTCCCACAGTTTTTCCTGTAATTATATTTTTTGGTTACATTACTTTTTATAATAAAATAGTGACATGTTTTACATTACTTTTTATAATAAAATAGTGACAGGTTTTATAATAAAATAGTGACAGGTTTTATAAAAAGCCAATCTGTAATTGGCTTTTTAATGAAATGTGCTTTCCATGGAAATACGCCAAATTTGACACTGGTGTCAATTTCACTGTACTCATTCACATATATAATACACACTACACATTTTTACATAGACACATACATATATAAAGGCACACATACCTATATGCGTAATTCATTTAAGCATTTTTATTATTGGACACTTGAGTTGTTTTCAGTATTTTGCTAATTTAAACAACACCATGTTGAACAACTTTGCATACATACAGTTTCACACATACGTGCATATATTCTAAGGAGTGGAATTGCTGGATGCAAATTTACATACCTTTTAAAGATTTGTTACATATTTGTCCTCCGAATCCTCTCTCAAAGTATTGTACCAATTTATACTTCCCCCAGCATTATATGAGACTCACAATTTCTGTGTACCTTCCTCAAACCTTCACATTCTTCTAATTTGAGCACTTCAGGTATGACCAGACTGTAGAGCCTCAGGTTACTGCTTATTTACCAATTGTTTTTCAGCTGATACTTTTAAGCCTTCTACTCCAATTAGGCCACAGACTCCTATTTCCTTTCCTTTTAGGATAATGCTGGCTAGGGCTCATTTAGCCTAATTTCTGTTTTGTGCCCTAGTAGAGTAGCTTCCTTTGTCCATGCTTAAATGATTTCAGAAGTCTAAAAGCGAATTTTCCAATACATATACCCGCTTCTTTCATGTCAGTAAAATAAAAGCATTATGGGACTGCTCAATTTGATATGTTATCTCAACTAATCTGTTAATACTAAATTGCAGACACTCAAAGGTGAGAATCAGTCCTAGGAAGATTGTGAGCAACCAGTCTACAATGCAAATACTAAGCAGGCTCAAAAGCAGATCTATAACTACAGCTGCAGCTCCATCAAGGCAACAAGTGGACACATCCTGGCAAAGTACAATCTGACCTCCTTTGTTTTACATTTGCTCATTGTTCTTTAACACATTTTAACTTGAAAAAGTTAAATAGCCTTCAATAACAAGACAATTACACTGTCATAGAATTAGTGTTGAAATCTTCCAGCTCACATACTAGACAAAACATAGTTCGCCCAATAACTATCTGGAGGATCCCTGAAGAGGATGCTAACCACATGACTATTGCTTCCCTTATTCAACCCACCCCTGAATGGCATGAAGGCTGTTAGCTCAGAGTGAAGAGGCTTTTAAACGCTGTCCTGTAGATTGGTATGGACAGGCTGCACTTCCGATTTATCTAGAGAGATATAAGACATGATCCATGGCCAAGGTAATGGGGTGGGCTCAGACATTTTTAAGTTCCTCCAGTAATTTTGGTAAATAGTTCTAGTTTTTGGAACTATGGCTCAGAGCATCAAAGAGAAATGTAGCTCCTGCTCCCATCCTGTGAACTTTACACAACTGCCTAAAGCTATGATATCTAATATGGTAGACAGTAGCCACTAGGCACATGTGGCTATTGGCCACTTGAAGTATGCATAGCTAGTCAAGATTTCAAAGACTTACACTAAAACCATAATGTTTTGGACATAGGGGGTTACATAAAAGTATTATAAGACCTAATTTCATCTTTTTAAAAACATATTTTAATGTGGCAATAAAGCATTTAAAGTTACATAAGTGGCTTACATTATATTTCTACTGGACAATTTTGATCTAGAAGGCATAGGTTCCATAGCTCAGGAACTTTGAGTCATAAAATTTTAAAGTTATAGGAATCTTGTAGATGAAACAATTATCTCACTTTGCGAATGACGAAACAGGTACCCCATTGGTAAAGTGACTTATTCTGGTAACCTGAGTTGTTGGTAGAGCCAGGGTATTCCCGAATCCCACAACTCTGGATTTCCATCCAATGCTAGCTTCTCCCTCCCGTGCTGCTTGTCTTTGGCGACAGTAGCCACACTGAGTGTTTTAGGATTCCTAGAATTCTGAGGCATAGAAAGCCTCACCACTCATAGCCCCTGCTGTAGTCTCTGCTCACCAGATTCTGTTTGCATAACTAATGCGTCCAAATTCATTACTACAGAACCATAGTCATGCCCTTAAGCAGATGCCTCCTCTTTTCACCATCTCACATTATTAGTTTTGCCTCCACACGGAGCTATGGTTTAAGTGAGGCCTTAGTATCTTTGCAAAATATGGTTCCAAAAAACAAATTCTACTTATTTGAGTAGTGTGACATTCACTAATAATATTTCTCCCACCCGCATGTTTACTAACATTCTGGTTTTCTCTGGCATCCAGAGAACAATGTTTCTTCTTCTCCAGTACTAGTTAGAAGGATCAAGTGTTGATGGGTGGTGAGCCCCTCCCTGGCTCATGCCCTTTAGCCACAAAAACAAGTTATCAGCCGGGCACGGTGGCTCAAGCCTGTAATCCCAGCACTTTGGGAGGCCAAGGCGGGTGGATGACGAGGTCAGGAGATCGAGACCATCCTGGCTAACACGGTGAAACCCCGTCTCTACTAAAAATACAAAAAATTAGCCGGGCATGGTAGTGGGCACCTGTGGTCCCAGCTACACAGGAGGCTGAGGCAGGAGAAAGGCATGAACCCAGGAGGCAGAGCTTGCAGTGAGCCGACACCGCGCCACTGCACTCCAGCCTGGGTGACAGAGCGAGACTCCATCTCAAAAAAAAAAAAAAGTTATCTTTTTGCATGGCATCAGCAGAGCCTTGCTTATATAACAGTTATTTTAAGCCAAAAAATTGTTTTTCTTCTTTCTCATCTTTTAATAAAATATGTAAGAACTTTAATAGTGTTATTGGTAAGCATCCAAAATATTTAGAAACTACTTCCCCTACCACAGAAATATTTGCTGCTCTGAAGGGTGCAAAGGATCTACTTTCCCCAATGATTCCAAGCCAGTTGAGATTCATGCATATATGTCCCAAAATGTATTAAAATCCGCGTGCGCACGTGTGTGTGTATTTTTCAAAGTCAGTGCAGATGCATAGAAATGCCCGGCCCATGTCTGTTGCATTTTGATGTATTTCCTTCTGAATGCCTCAAGTTTAAGCTGATCTGTCAAGTATAGAATTTATAGGGAGTAATTAACCCAAGTCACTGATAAATTAAAATGTCCCTAGGCAAATAAGAGTATGTGAATAAATCTGATTTTTTAATGATTTCTTAGAACAGGTCACAGAAATACTTTCAATTTCAGTCCTTTACTGTCTAGTTGAATCCTTGCTGCTGGAAGAAGGCAGGCAAGTCTTCTTTGCCTTTCTTCAAAGCCTGGTATCCAATGCAGCAAAAATTCCTGATCATGAGTCTCTTTCCTACATGACTTGTAGGTGATTTTTTTGTTTGTTTGTTTTTTCTGCTACTGACTGTTTCTGATCATAGAGATCTAGGGCAATGACATTCACTTTGTGAATAGTAATAAATGAAAATGTCATGTTTGGAGATATAATATCACTACCATCTGTAATAGCAGACTGCAGCCTACATTGGCATAAATACTAGTGCCATACAATTATTTATAAATGGAGCTTTGTTGAGGGGAAGAGTTATTCTTTAATTAATAAAAATCTAAGACAAAGTGGTGATGGAATATGCCAGGTGTAGGGTAGAAAATGCAGTTCTTGGAAGTATCCTTCCCAGTGGCAGGAACTGAAGACTCCAGATCAACCAGGTGGACCTTTTCGTTGATGAGCTGATAGCTTCTAGGCTGTGGGGAACCTCAGGTGCCTTACAACTCCAACTACTGCAGAATTTCTTGTTGTGCCTCATAAACAAATGATCTTCCTATTGGAAGAGCTACGTGGTCCTTGGACAAACAAAGATAGTGTATTGCTTTAAACCTTATCTATTTGCTACAGTTTCCTTCTCCTGCCAATATGAGCATGCCTCTAAATGCCACAAGGTGTTTGAATTTAATCAAAGTTGGCTCTACTTTTGCCTTTTGTTTGGCTAAAGCATCAAGCCATCTTCTTGATGCTTTATTGTGTTTATCAGTCAGATTTATGTAGGTTAGAAAGCATTCAGAAGTCATTATTTCAGTTTCATAGTTCTTAGAGGTCTATACCCTTAAACTTTGAAAGTAAACATGAACAGTATCTCTCTACACATACACAGTAACCTCAGTGCAATGTTTTTAAGCTTCAAGTTGCAATCTATTAGTGGGTCTTGAAATCTATTTGGTTGATCAAATTCTCTTTCTTTTTTAATGAAATAGACTGAAATAAAAAATAGAAACATTGACTTCTGAAACTTTAATATATATATATTTCTATATCTTTATTGTCTATCTTCCTATTTATCATCTGCCTATCCATATTAGTTTTAGTTTAAAGAAAAGGTTTGAAGAAAATCTGCCTTAAGGGAACTCTCAGAAATAGATTATTAGAGTACATAACAATTCTTATGATTTCATGCTAGACTAAATAGGGAACACTTACTATACAAGCATTTGTAGGTTTGCCTCTATGATATCTTTCACAACTTCCTCCTTCTAAACCTCCATACTATTATTTTTTTAACGGTAGATTAGAAAAGGGGGTAATCATAAGTCTTAAGGATTTTAGTAATTGTTGTCAACCATCTATGATCAAATTTAAATATACTTTTCTTCCTATTTATAATTTTAGTTCAGCTACTGTAGTTATATAGCTTTTGTTTCCTATATATAGCAAATACTGTTTTAATATTAGTAAAATTCAGAAGCTTCTTGTCTAGGTTTAAATTTCAGAGAACGACAGCTGATAGATCAGGGATAAATAAAAGTTAGTATTATTCTTTCACACTCAGAATAAAAACTGTAATACAGATCATTAATTTCAGTACAGTGTATAGGACAGGTAATATGGTTAAGTGGAAACAGATAGGCTTTGCAATATTATTACAAATTAGGAATCTATAATACTTCCATTACTTTTCAAGCATATGCTAGCTCATCTATCGTTCTGAGTGTTGATGTAGCTCATTTTACTCACCAAATGGCATCTGTTGACTTGTGAGGCAAGATCTCTTAGGTTAGTTTGTTAAGCCATAGTCATTCTTAGTAGCATCCAAAGAAAGCACAGTTCATATGGCAACATTATTTTCAAATGATTCCCCACAAAATTGTTTTACTTAAAAACTTGCTTAAAGAGAAGGTATATTACACCATGGAATACTATGCAGCTATAAAAAGGAACAAGATCATGTCCTTTGCAGAGTCATGGATGGAGTCATTATCCTCAGCAAACTAACGCAGGAACAGAAAACCAAACACCGCATGTTCTCACTTATAAGTAGGAGCTGAATGATAAGAACACAGGGAGGAGAACAACACACACTGGGGCCTGTGGGTGACAGGGGAGGGAGAGCATCAGGAAACACAGCTAATGGATGCTGGGCTTAATACCTAGGTGATGGGTTGATAGGTGCAGCAAACCACCATGGCACACATTTACCTATGTCACAAAACACATCCTGCACATGTACCCTGGAACTTAAAATTTTTAAAAATTTTGAAAAAGGTAAGGAATATTTATCTGCATCTGCATCTGGAAAAAAAGTCATATCTTGACATGTATTTTAATATTTCATTTGTAATTTCCTGGTAATTTTACTTATTGAAACATGGGGAAAATATTCAAAAGCTAGTTTTTAAAAGACTTGAAAATAAAGGTCACACCATTATCCCTCTTTAAATAGAGCATGAATATTTGAATGAATTTACCAATTTAGTGTTAACTCTCAGTCCCTTTGTAACATTAGTGTGGATACTTAATATGTACATAAATTTGGAAAAGGTCGCCACGTTGGCCGCATCATAATTCTAATAAAGTCAGATGCTCAAATACCACTTTTAATAACTTTCCTATTAAGCCCCAGCACTTTAAAGATGATAGTTAATTTTGATTCTTCAGTTACTTATTCCTCTGTGATGAATTTGACATTTTTAATTTTTTTTTAATGCCTTGCATGCCTTGGGGAGAAAAGAAAAACTATGAGTTGAGTTTTCTGCTTTTATGTGCTAATATTTGTGCTGACTGCATGACAATTAAATTCACTGGTCAGAGTTCTGATGATTTGGGATACATTTTTTAAGATGCCATTTTTTACAGCTATTATTGTAAAATTTGAGGAAAATGACATCTATAATTTTTATCATAGAGCCATTTATATTCTAATATTAAAAGAGATTTTAAAATTATGTAACTGAAGTTTTTTGTTTTGTTTTTGTTTTTTTTGAGATGGAGTCTCGCTCTGTTGCCCAGGCTGGAGTGGCGTGATCTCGGCTGACCACAACCTCCGCTTCCTGGGTTCAGGCGATTCTTCTGCCTTAGCCTCCCCAGTAGCTGCGATTACAGGTGTACGCCACCACGCCTGGGTAACTTTTTCTACTTTTAGTAGAGGTGGGGTTTCACCATGTTGGGCAGGCTGGTGTCAAACTCCTGACCTTGTGATCTGCCTGCCTCAGCCTCCCAAAGTGCTGGGATTACAGGTGTGAGCCACTGCACCCGGCCGAATATAAGTTTTAACATCAAGAAATACCCATAGCTTCTTAGTTTATATGGCTTAATGAGCTTTTTTGAGATTTACAAAATAATCAGATTGTTTTCCAGAATTATTCCTGGACTCACAATTTGTAAGATTCTTTTAAAATATCTCAAGAGAGCTGGGTGTGATGGTGCACATCTACAGTCCCAGCTGCTCAGGAGGCTAAGGTGAGAGTATCACTTGAGCCCAGGAGTTTGAGGTTGTAGTGAGCTATGATCCTGCCACTGTACTCCAGCCTGGGCAACAGAGCAAGACCCCATCTCTGGAAAGAAAAATTTGTGTGTGTGTGTATCTCATAAGCCTCTGGCTGCTCTCCAAACTCTTATTTAGTCTTATCCAGTAGAAACACATTAACCATCAAATAAATCCTTGATTTTTACTGAAAAATAAAGAAGCTTATATTTAGCAAATGTACTATCACAATAGTACTTCTCAAAAAGTTCCTGTTTAATGCATTATGTCATCAACTGATTAATGAAAAGGGACTCACAACAAACGTGAGTCGTATCTGAAGCTACAAAATAGAGCTATTCTATCATCCTCCTTCTGATGAAAATTATCTAGACTATGTATTGTATTATATACATATTTTGTATATGTCATTATATTAAAATATATACCGTTTTAGACTGTAAAGACCCTCAGAGATATTCTGCACCAGTGGTTCTCAGATGGGATTCACTTTCAAAAGCTGTAAAACTTGTTTAGACTATGCATCCTGCAACAGGTAAACTGGAATCTCTGTGATAGGGCCCCAGGTATCAAAGGTTTATAAATTCCCTAAGTGATTCCAATATACAGTCTAAGTGTTAAGAACTATTGGCTTAGGCCAGTGGTCTTCAAACTCAAAGGTACATAAGAATCACCTGCAGAGTTTTTTAAAACATGGATTCCTGGCCCTCACCCCTAGAGAATCTAATTAAGTAGATCTGGGATTGGTCTGAAAATTTTCAAGATCTCAAGTGCTATGGACTGAATTTTGTTCCCCAAAATTCATATGTAAGCCCCAACCCCCAATGTGACCATATTTGGAAATAGAGCTTTTAGGATTAAAGAAAGGCAAAATGAGGTCATAAGGGTGGTGCCTTATAAGAGGGAGAAAGAGAAATCACTCTATCTCCATGTGCAGGCCACGTGAGAACATAGGCTACTGTCTGCAAGCAAGGAAGAGAACCCTCATCAGAAACAGAATTGGTTAGCACCTTGATCTTGAACTTCCTAGCCTCCAGCACCGTGAGAAATAAATTTCTATTGTTTTAGCCATCCAGTCTATGGTATTTTGTCATGGCATCCCAGGCTGACTAATGAATCAGTGATGCTAATAGCAGTGGTCCATGGACCATATTTTTGAGCACCTCTAGCCTAGGCCACATCCCCCAGAAATTTCGCTTTAATTTGTCTGGAGGTAGTACAGGGCATCATTTATTTTCCCAAAGTTTCCTGGGTGGTCCTAAAGTATAACCATACTTGAGAACAAATGAAGTAGAATGGTTTCTTCTATTTATAGCTAAGGACACTAAGACTCAAAAGAAGTTAAGTGATTTTCCCAAGTTATCATGGTTTATGCTACTGCTGATTTTTCCAAATGTACAGGGGAAGTAAAAACAGAATTTCTTCTAGGGTCAATTTAGTCCTAGAACCTAGAACTTTCAGTTTCCAGAATTAACCCATTAATTTCCCCCCAGACAACATTAAAATTTGTCAATTTCAGGCAGATTCATTTAAAGTAACTTTTCCATTATACTACAATCCAAGATTGTTGTATCCTATATCTATTTCTACTTTGTAACAGTTGCTTTTTTTTGCCACGTTTAATGACTGATCAGAAAGTGAGATATTTAAATATATATATACACACACACATATATGCATATATGTGTGTGCTTGTGTGTGTGTGTCTATATGATAGATACTTGCCACATGTTTAATGACTGATCAGAAAGTGAGATTTTAAAATATACATATATATACACATGTGTGTGCTTTGTGTGTGTGTGTGTATATATATATGATAGATACTTAGCTGATCTTCACACCACAACATTAATCTGCCCACCATGAACAGAAGCACTGCTATCAAGTATCAGCCTTCTTGTATAATAACAGGAAATTCAGAAAATTGATTCATGCAATAAAAAGATGGAAATTTATTAGAACTTTTAAATACCTTAATTCCCAGGTATAATCAGAGGAAAAATAACTCAAGATGGGTGAAAGTTTATTAAAGATTTCACCTCAAGGACAGGCATTTAGTTAGATAGTGATTTTACATATGTAGTGATGTGAACTTACATTGTTCATATATCGGGGAGAAATTACATCATAAGTAAAACAACACATTAAGCTTAACGCTGCTAAATGAAAGGTGCCATCCCCTGCACATTCTGAGTAGGCACTTGATTTCTTTCAAAAATCAACCTTATTTCTTCTTAGGCACTGATATTTTGTTAATGGAGCAAATGAATCTACATTTTTTCATAAATTGCCAGAGTTAATATGAAATATGCACTTCCCAAAAGGAGAAGTTAGTTGTACATTTTTGGCCAATGATTCAGCAAGGAGAAGTGAGAAAAAGAAAATCTGGCTAGGAATCAGGAGGCTTGACTTCTCCTTCCACTTCTAACTAATTAGCAGCAAAAACTGGTAACAGTCCCCATCTATGTTAACCTTGGTTTCTTTGTAAAACAAAATGGTTAGAATATAATTATTCCAAGTTTCCTTATACTTTTCTCACTTAGATGACAAATACTTCTAAGGAATGCTGTGTTTTTTGTTTGTTTGTTAAACTGTTGTTGGGTTTTTATTTTGTTATTTTAACATTTTTTTAAAATGGCAGTGTTTCCATTTGGCCAAGATGAGTAAAAATGGCAAAATCAAAATGTCACTATTAAAAAATCAAAAATGAAAGAAAACATGGAAAAAGAACCAGTGTGTATTCTTTGGAGTTTGGTGAGAAAGGACATAGAAACATGTCACTAGACTACATACTTAAGTTTAACATCAGCAAACTGTCGACTATTTCCCATCTAAAAGATACTATAAATGCAAAATAGCCAAGATTTTCTTTGCCTGACACGGGTAATCTCATCAGCAGAAGAAAAGGCCTGAGCAGAAGGAGAAGTCTGAATGGCCTGGCTGTTAAATGTTTTACTGGAATTCACTATGTGTAATACTCAGGCAGCAGAAACTTGAAGTGAAACATTAACTGCAATATGAAGTCAACTTCACTAGTTCAGCCAGTATTGACATCAAATATTATTTTTCCCAAACTGCATATCCAACAAAAGTATTTAGAAAGAAATACATTAGTGAGCTTGAGTTAATAAAAACTAATCTTCACAATATTTTATATAATTAATAAACCAGAAGAAATGTGGCAAATAAACATATTCTCTAATTAATACTTCCTTTGGTTCAAGTACCTGTTTAGTAACACTTTTTTTTTTTTTTTTTTTTTTGACACCGAGTTTCACTCTTGTTGCCCAGGCTGGAGTGCAGTGGTGTGATCTCGGCTCACTGCAACCTCTGCCTCTTGGGTTCCAGCAATTCTCGTGCCTCAGCCTCCTGAGTAACTGGGATTACAGTGTGCGCCACCATGCCCGGCTAATTTTTTGTGTGTGTTTTTAGTAGAGATGGGGTTTTGCCATGTTGCCCAGGCTGATCTCGAACTCCTGGGCTCAAGCAGTTTGCCTGCATTGGCCTCCCAAAGTGCTGGGATTACAGGTGTGAGCCACCTCACCCAGCCTATTTAGTAACACTCTATAAAACAGTGGTTCCAAACTTTTGGTACATTGGAATCACAGAGTTTTAAACACCTCAAACTTTCTAATTTGGTTGGTACAGACTATAACTGGGGCATCGGAAGTTCTTTTTTTGTGGGGGGGATGGAGTCTTGCTCTATCGCCCAGGCTGGAGTGCAGTGGTGCAATCGGCTCACTGCAAGCTCCGCCTCCTGGGTTCACGCCATTCTCCTGCCTCAGCCTCCCAAGTAGCTGGGACTACAAGCACCCACCACCACGCCTGGCTAATTTTTTGTATATTTAGTAGAGACGGGGTTTCACCATGTTAGCCAGGATGGTCTCGATCTCCTGACCTCGTGATCTGCCCATCTCGGCCTCCCAAAGTGCTGGGATCACAGCCGTGAGCCACCGCACGTGGCCGGAAGTTCTTAAAGCTCTCCAGATGGTTCTAATGTGCAGCAAAGTTTGGGAAGCACCACTACGTAGCATTGGTTCTAACTCTGGCTGCACATTGGAACTATCTCGTACCTTTAAAAGCATATGGGGTATCTGGACTTCATCCTAGAAGGAATTAAATCAGAATTTCTAAGAGTACAACTAGGCATTGGTGTGTTTTGGGTTCTCCCAAGTGATGCTAATATGCACCCAGGGGTTAGAATTACTATTATAGAATACTGCCACGACAATCCTTATCTCCTCCTGAAGAGCACAGAAGGCTTGATTTCCAAACTATTGCAAAAACTGGCATGACCTCAACTACTTTTAGCAGGGTTCTGAGAGGTAGGGTATCACTCACCTTAATTGCTTCAGATCCTGCCTGAAAAATGCCCAGGCATGTTCCAGTCCACACAAGACTGATTCCAAAGGGTGTATCTCTCATTGACAGCCCCTAGAACCATTCTAAGTTATGACAATAAACACCTACTTACTGAGTTCTCATTCCTTGGCAGGTATTTTATATACAACGTTTGGTTTGCTCCTTCCAGAAACTGTATGAGAAAAGTTTGCATATCAAAATCCTACTGATGAGAAAGTGGAACTCAACAATGTTAAATGACTTGCCTGCCTAAGGTCACACAGTTAGTGACAGAGTCTAGATTTCAGCCTAGTTTTGTTCAACTTCAAAGTCCTTGCTCTTATTTGATGGACACATTAAATTATCCACCATGGTATCTAGACTGGGACACAGCCACAATCTGAAAATTGAATTCTAATTTAATAAACGTGCCCTCTGCCAGGAAATATGAGGAATGGCTATAGAAATGAAGAAGAGTCTCTACCATGAAGGAGCTTATAATACTAAATGTTACACTCCTTTTGGTCTATTAAGTCTAAGGAAAAGAATAAACATCTAATTTCATTCATTCATGTAACAAATATCAGTAATTTTTGTAATTTCAGAGAACAATATTATAATTTGGAAGGTGTTTAGGACACCTTAGGTAGTTTATAATAAGAGGTGATATAAAATCATCCATTTCAAAAGTCAATTGTCAATGAATGGAGAATAGCTTTCAACTGAGGCCAGGATACGCAAACTGTAAATGAGGCTTTAGACACAAAAAGTTAGTCTAGGCCAAGTGGTTTAGTGGAAGGATCCTAGATTTTATGTCAGAAAACATAATTGTTATGTGGTCTGAACCATTTATGGTTTGGGAAATTCACTTTAACTTTCAGAGCCTCTGTTTCCTCATCAGTCAGTGCCTGTGAGGATAAAAGGAGACACGTATGGACGTGCCTGGTACATTTCATGACCTATTAGAAGATTGTGAGGCCAGGAAGTATGTACCTGCAGAAATCTCAAATTGTGACTTGCAGTGGAGGTGGAATTCAATTATTATTAAGAATGTAGGTCAATGTTTCATTTTTTTTAAAGATGAAAACTAAGCCCACGAAGCTTGAGTCATCTGGAGATGAAGCAGTCGCAGCGGAGCAGTCTTGGTAATGGAGAAGATCATGTCAGCGCTGAGAAAGGCAGGGAGGGAGGCCTGAGCAAGGAAGCTTGGAGAAGCCTCTGGAGGATGCCTGGCCAGGGCTGAATGCTCAGAAATGGAAGGGAAAGCTCAGGAGATTATCACTGAATCAGTAAGTACAAGTACAGGGCAGTATGGCTTGAGCAAACCAAAATGATCTTACTTCTTCTGTGATCTGAAGATGAGAGAATCTATAGGTGCAGGGTAAGGCAGTTTTACAAATAGAATAATTTTGGCCTGAGGAAGAAAAACAAAAAGCATTTCAAGAATGGAAGCAGATGTATAGTCATGGACCAGACTGATTAGTAAAACATAAAAGGCAGATTAAAATTTAGTTTAATGAATTAAACTCAAGAGGAGAACAGAAGCCGCATACCTGTAACAGCCCTGTAATATTGTTACTCTGTTATTTTAGGCTAAAGCCAAGAATAAACTAAGGACGACAACAACAAAAAATAACATTTTGTTTTGTTCAGACAAGAAGAACATGGAAGGGATGCCTCTGCTTGAGATAAAATGGATGACTAAACAAAACTAATTCCCTTTTTTTTGTCTTCTCTATTATGTAAAAATAAACCATTAAATGTAAGGGATAAAATAAGCTTTCAAAGAGTTAACTGAAAAGATAGGTGAAGAAGCTTGTAAGAAAATATGTCCTAGCTGTCTAAAGCTTAACTTCTTCTTGCCTAGTAAATTTCCATCTCAGCAAGGAGAGTTTACCAATAAGGACTCTCAGCTAGAATCAGCAGAGGGAGATGAACACTAAAAAACTGGAGGTGGACAGATGGAGTTCCAGTTTTTGCCTTAGTCTGAAACCGAGGCAAGAAACTTTTCACAGATACTGAACAAAATGAATAAACCTATTATTAAAATGACATCTGGATACTTAGAAAAGGAAGACACAATTTTGTAGACATGAACCACAATTCACTAAGTAGTCATTTCCTTTGTTTTTTGACAATATTACAGTAGAGCAAAGACATCCAATAGACAAAGCTCATCTGCTGTCTGTTTGGAGCTGCATCTAGGCGTAAGGGGTCACTTTTTCCTAATCCTTCAGCTAAGGTGAGAGTGGGGATACCTTTTTCTAATTCTTACAAAAGTGCCACGTACCCATGTACACAGGCTGCTACCCTGGGACAACAGACAAAAATAGGACAAGGTAACATGTGGGTCCTCAACTGATAAGAATGTTCATCAGTAGCATTCAAATCCAGTGTCGGTTGGCAGAGGAAGGTACCTGAGAATGAGAACTTAAATGATGGCATGGCATACAGACCGGATTTACAGAGGTCATGAAATTGAGAGGTGGAATTACTCAGTTATATCAATGATACCCAATATGTCAACAAGCTAAGAGGCCTAATTTAACACAATAAAATTCAGTAGAATCACAGGTAAAGTGCTGAACACTGCATTGAGTGTAGTTGTTTAGTTCAGTGATTCTCCAACTAAACTTTTAACACTTTAAGGTTTTATTTGGTAGATTGTAATATGGAGTCAGCTGGGTAATATTGCTGCCATGGAAGCTCCAAGGATATACTTAGGGAAATACAGTAATTACAACAAAGCCATTAAACATCTTTCTAGTTTGTCACTTGGGTGAAACCTTGAATTCAATTCTTGGCATCAGGGTTTGAGAGAGATGTTGGCAAAGTAAATCTCCTCCTGAGAGCTTTCCTAATGGATGAAGAAAAGCTGATGGAGTTAATATGTACCCAGGTAAATTGAAGTATTCTCCTGTGGAATCAAGGCTAGGTGTATCCTGTAGATTCCAGAGAGCAGAATAGCAGATCTGTTGAGACTTACTGTAATGGGGTGGGCGGGGGCGGGGGGACGGGGGGGGCTTTGCACAAAGTGAATGTCATCCAGAGGCCAATTCGCAGGTCACTCAAAAGCAAAATTGTGGGGGGTGTGAGGGTAAAGGGGAGCAAATGACAGTCAGTACTACCTCCTTTGAAGAATTCTCAATCCTGGTTGTACATTGTGATCATCTAGGAAGAGATTTTAAAATGCAGATGCTGATGCTTAGACCCTAACCTCAGAGATTCTGATTTGTTGTTCTTGCGTGGGGGTCCCCATTGGAAAGAATTTATTATAGCTCCCCTGCTGATTCTAAAGTTCTAGGTTGGAGAATCACTGAACTAGACTACTACTTGCTGAGAGGTTACGTAAATTAAACCAGATGTTTTTTCTAAAGTCTCTTTCAAATTTGAGAAGATAAATGGAAATTAACACTTACGGATTACATAATACAGCTAGACACTTTCACAATTTATTCTAATAATTGAATTAGTATATGTAAATCTCTTAGCACAGTGACCGTCTGATATGGTGTAGTAAACTCTCAATAAACATTAGCTATTTTTATTATATCCTCTCCATAACTGTTCAAACAAGGTATTATATTGTTACACTATAGATGAGGAAACTGAGGTTCTGATGTTAGTTTTCCAAGGCCCACAGTAGTAAAAGCAAAGTTTGGATTTGAACCAAAGATTAGTTCCAGTTTCCAGAGCCCTCTTCTCTCCTCGACAGGCCTTCCCTAAAGCATCAAGAAGTTTATGCAAATTAGTGGTTCACCTGAGTGAACATTTAAAAAATTTAATAGTACCACTTCCTCTTGACCTGTTTGTAAGGAGTTCCTCTTAAATGCAATTTCTGAAAAAGAGAAGCATAAACTGAGACATCCACATTTTTTCCTTATTTGGCCAAATAGAAGTGAGAACCTCTGAGGATAGAGGAATTGGATGGAGGTGCCCTTCAGAACTCATGGAGAAAAGCACTGCTCCCAGTAAAATATCTCTCATTCTAATGAATGGGTAAGTATCCTACAAATCTTTCACTTCTGTACAATCTAGGTCTGGTAGGTTACTTGCACACACTGGGTGGAGGTGGAAGGGGCAAAGTATTCCTGAGGTGATGGCCCTGATCCTACCTCACATCTCCTTGGGGCCTGGTTGGACCTGGCTGAGCGTGTTTGAGCAGTGGCTGATTTTTGGAAAACAGGAGGACTCTTCTCCAGGAGGCTGTGACTACCAAGGTTGCAAATGCTCCACCTGAACTTGGGTGCATGAGGGATCTCTCTCTCTCACACACACACACCCCCCCACCGCGTAAGATAAATTTCTGTTTGTGAGCTGCCTACATTAAATGCTTTGCTCCTGACCTTCTGTGATTAAAATCTGTTCCGTTTGCAGGGTTCGGTGCGCTTGGATTTAGTGTATTTTGTTGGTACAGTAAAAAAGAGAACTGCTTCTCTATAGGTGACCCCCGCCCCAAAGTCCCCCCTCCCACTAACTTCTCTTTGAGAAGAGAGTAAAACCGAATTCGAGAGAAAAGAGGCAGTAACTATTCGGGAGGAGGCAGACTGGAGTGGGCACCAGTCCCGGTAGTAAGAGTCTTAACGTCTTCCTCGCTTTCCTCTCGCAGAGTAGTATGGAAGCATCAGCTCCTCCCCCTGGGCCTCCAAAAGTTACCTTTCCTTTGGGTGTGATTCTCGAACCCGAAGCGTTTGAGTCCTAAGAAACTAGAACAAGTTAGAGCCAAAGAGGCCTGGCGGGCGGGGGTGCGGGTGGAGTCCGGGCCGGGTGGCGTGGAAGGCCGAGCACAGCTGCGAGCGGCGAGTCCCGGGAGAGGAGGAGCGGGAGAAAGCGGGGCGGGCCTGCGGTCGGGGTTCGGCCGGGGGAGGGGGTCCCCGTTTCCCTCTCCTCATCCTCGTCTCCTCTGGCTCTGGTGACGTTGCGGTTTCCTCCCCCCTCCAGCGGAGCCTCAGCGCCCGCCGCGTCCCTCCCTCCGCCCCTTTCGCCCACACCTACCCGCCCCCGCCGGCCCGGCTCTCAGTAGCGTCGCCCGAGGCTGCAGCAGCGCATCCCGGGGCATGGCGCGGCGGGGGCGCGGAGGGCTCGGTTCGGAGGGGGCCGGGAGCCCGGGCGCCCTGGAGTGAGGAGGACCGGGAGCTGGCTCTGGAGGCTGCGGAGGCGACGCCGGAGAGAACGAAGCCTCGGCTGGGAGCGGTAAGTGGAGGGGCGCGCAAGGGACGAGCTGGGGCGCGCGGCGCAACTTTCTTCGGGAGTTTCGGGCGGGTAGCCTTCGGGGCTGTCCCGGCGCGGGCGGGAGACGGAGAGCCACGTCCCCGGCTGAGAGCGGAGCGCCGCGGGTTGCGCGCCCGGGCCCGGCTCGGCTGGACTCCGAGAGAGCGCCTGACGCGTGAAGCCTGAGCCACGGGCTTCCCCGGCGGCGGAGCAGCCTCGAGGGGCAGCTTTTCGATCCTCCCCACCCCCTTGAACGCCGAGCACCGAGCCGGGAACACGATGAGAACCTGGAGATCGCATTCCGTGCGTCGGATCTGGCCGGCCCAGCCGCGATTTCCTCGACGGTCCTTGGGGCCTCGGCTTCACTCTGCGGGGTTGGGTGGCACACCCTCGCGTCCTCCTTTCCCTCCGTACCCCAGCCATTTGGGGGCAGGGGAGGTGGCGGCGGCTTGTGTGCAGATCCTGGCGCTGGCAACCCTACTTTGCGGCTGCAGAAGCCGAGGAAGAGCTCCCCAAGCCTCTCCCAGACGCTGGATTCCAGCGCTCCTGGGCTCCGCCGGCACTCGGAGAAATTGTTAGTAAACCTCATCCCCGAGGCAGTCCCGGGGAGGGGAGGAGGCGGGGGCTTGACTCACAGACTGGGAAGCTCTGAAAGCGATGCCACATGGGCTCAAGATCTGTCGGGGCTGGAATCTGAGCTAAGTTTGTGACCTGAGAACTTTTTCGTTTATATCGCTCCTTTAAAGCAGCAGCCTCCTCTTAAGCCGGCTGGCATTCAGATGGAAACCGAAGCCTTTGGTTAAAATCAGGAGGTGAACCTCACTTACCTGAAATTCTTTAGGTCAGGCAATGACGCTTTTAGTTCTAGGAATCTTCGTGTAATAAAGTTCTTTTTAAAAATTTTTTCGTTGGTCATGGTTTAGAAAGTCATGGTTTAGCACTGTTAATTAAATGCATGAAAGATCTCACTTATACATATTTTTAGTATTTTTCACATTATAGAATTTAAACTTTAAGTAATTCCCTCAAGTTTTTAAAAAATTTCTCGGCCGGACGCAGTGGCTCACGCCTGTAATCCCAGTACTTTGGGAGGCCGAGGCAGGCGGATCACGAGGTCAGGAGATCGAGACCATCCTGGCTAACACGGTGAAACCCCGTCTCTACTAAAAATACAAAAAATTAGCCGGGCGTGGTGGCGGGCGCCTGTAGTCCCAGCTACTCGGGAGGCTGAGGCAGGAGAATGGCGTGAACCCAGGAGGCGGAGCTTGCAGTGAGCCGAGATTGCGCCACTGCTCTCCAGCCTGGGCGACAGGCTCAAAACAAAACAAAACAAAATTCTCAATGATAATCTCTATGTGAAATAGTGATAAACAATATTGTATAGAGTATTCTAACTATATTACTAAATGGGATCACAAAAAACCTAATGTGCATGGAAGAAAATAAAATATAGGATTATCTGAGTATTTGTTTCATGCAAATACTTAGATTTCTGTATTGTGACCTCTTCCTTTGACGGTCACGATACAGATATAAGTTCTTTTCTGAAGTATGTAGGTAAGGTCTGTTCTAGTAAAAATGGAGAAGATAACAGATTGAATTTGATGTCTCCATCACCTAGTGACCCGTCTGTGTGGGTTCAGCAAAAAGTGCAAGATAGTGCTGGTTACCTAGGTTACATACACAGGTATATGAGATCAGCCTTAGCTCTCTTGGAGCTGCTAATGTAGAACCTGAGAAACATCAATAAGCAGCACTTCCTAAGTTTGAGCTTGGGAAGAGTTATTTTTCATTGACTAGTATATGACGTCAGTATCCGTTTTTATGAAGTTTTAGTTAAATAAAAACACTGGCCTAAAAAGTACATTCTGACAGTTTAAAAAATACTGAAAGTACAGTCACCAAGTGAAGGGGAATTAAAAAAAAAAAAAAGGGCTGGGTGCGGTGGCTCACGCCTGTAATCCCAGCACTTTGGTAGGCCGAGGCAGGTGGATCACCAGGTCAAGAGTTCGAGACCAGCCTGGCCAATATGGTGAAACCCGGTCTCTACTAAAAATACAAAACAAAAAATAAATTAGCTGGGCGTGGTGTCGCGCGCCTGTAGTCCCAGCTACTTGGGAGGCTGCGGCAGAAGAATCTTTTGAACCCAGGAAGCGGAGGTTGCAGTGAGCCGAGATTGTGCCACTGCACTCCAGCCTGAGCGACAGAAGAAGACTCCATCTGAAAAGAAACTTTGACCAAGAGATACTTTGATAACAGTACAGGCAGTTGCCATGATGGGGTTATTAGGTTCCATTCTCAATACTGCTAGATTGAGGCTGTCCTTCCTGATCTTGGGGACCTGTTGAAAAAGCACTGGGTGAGACATCAACTAGGTTTGCTATGTGAGATCAGGACCATCTTAGTGACTAATGTTTGTGTGTACATCTGCTTTAGTATTTACGAAATTCGTTCAGAAACAAGCTAATACAGTTCCTTTCAATGAGATTTTATGGGCTGTCCGGTTCAATATCTCGCAGTGCTGCCCTGAGAGGACCTGGTGGTCATCCATGAGATGAAGCTCTTAACTTCGCAGATGCTTCCCAGTGCCTCGTTATAGTCTCTTTTTAATTTCTGAAAAGGTGCTTTAAGATCACTGATGAAAGTGCATTTTGCGATTAAACAATAAAATATTTATACATTTCTTAATGTTATTTGTGATACAATATTTTGGTATTTATTTATACTTGCCTTGGATCACACTGTGTTGCATGAAAGAAATTGCATGATTTTCACTCAATAGTATTATTTCAATAAATAATTGTAGAGAAAAAAAGAAAAAATATTTAAATTTGAGTTTTAGTATATTGGTAATCTTTGTTTTCAAAAAGGAACTCCCAAAAGACTAGCATTTTGTGGTTGTAGCATATATTAAATATTACATAACCTGAAACTGTCAAAGGATTTTTACCTTTACCGATTGTGTTGCTTACTTCTGCCATGTGTAGGCAAGCTCCAACCTGTTGAGGGTGTGGATTCCAGATCCTCTTTCAGAAGAAACTCCCAAAAGACTAGCATTTTGTGGTTGTAGCATATATTAAATATTACATAACCATTAGCATACTTGAATCATAAATATAGTAAATATTATCCTTTTTCACCACCCCACTGCCCCTTCCCCAAATAAAAAAAGAGAAATACTGTTACTGACTTAGGATGTGTTTGTGGCAGGCCTTTGAGGAGAGCCAGAATCTGTGGTAGAGGGAACTTCATTATAGTGGATACTATTATTCTGTTTGCTGAGGGGGCTGGATCTTTACTATTTTGAAGGAGTGGGTAGGGCACCTGAAGAGATTTAGTGACATAACCCTACTAAAAGAATGTGCCTGAGAAGAGGATAGGACAGTTCTTAAATGCTTACTCTATTTCCTATTGTTTATAACAGAATACTTGAATCTGGGTAGCTTAAGAAGAAAAGGAATTTATTTTTTACAGTTATGGAGCCCAAGTCCGAGGTTGAGGGGCTGCATCTGGGGAGGGCTTTCTTGCCGGTGGGGACTCTACAGAGCTCCGAGGTGATCCAGGACCTCACATGGTGAGGGAGTTGTTCATGCTAGCTCAGGTTTCTCTTCCTGTGAAACTATCAGTCTCATTCCCGTGATTACCCATGAATCCATTAACCTATTAATCCATGAATGGATTAATCATTCATGAGGGTAGAGGCTCATGACCCAATCGCCTCTAGGTCCTACCTTTCAATACTGCCACATCCACATTGGAGGTAAAGTTTCAACATGAGTTTTAGAGGTGGCAGTTATTCAAACCATAGCAAATATGTTAAGGTTTTCTCATGGGATTATGTTATCTTCCCCTATAGTGATTGCTAGAATAAAACTCTCTGGGAGCACCAAATTACCAGCAAATGTTTGGGTGACACAGCAAAATTCTTTATACCTCAAGTTGGTGCCCAACATGGCAATGAGGCAAGTTATATATAAGCCCAGAGTACTGAAAAGGAAAATTATTTTCCTATGAAATTCATATGGTGAATTAGAATGGGAAGTAGAGATTAAAATCCCAAACTCTTGAGGTGTACTGATCGATGTACCATTTGATGATAACAATAATGAAGAATGTATGTTTCACAAAGTCTTCTCAACTCTAATGCCCCATTCTAATAGGAAATATGCTTTTAAAAATTAAACTGTTCATTAATTGGATAGTATGTTTAATTGAAATAATTTTTCTTTAAAGAAAAATCTTTCTTCCTAGCTACTTGGGAGGCTGAGATGGGAGGATCACTTGAGCCCAGGAGTTCGAGGCTGCAGTGAGCTATGGTCACACCACTGCACTCCAGCCTGGGCGACAGAGCAAGATCCTGCCTCAAAGTCTTTTTTATGTGTATGGTAAATAAATGTATCCCAAATTTCTATCATCTCACTTTAGTGTTTCACAACTTCTAGTTATGTATAGAAGAGTGGCTTGATTAGTTGATGCTGAAGTCTTGCAGAAAAGAATCAAACTAGAAAGAGAAATACAAGGTATTGTGCATAGGATAGCAGGACCATTACTATTAGTAAACTCTCACTTATAAATTCATATGCATTTAGAGAATTGCCGTAAAGGAAAATCCCTGAACATACATCTACATAAATACTTGCATTTTGAAATTGCCCAGTACTTTTAACTTTTTTTTCAAAGAATTCAAATATTTTAATATTTTAGTGTAGTAGAAATGGACAGTGATATAGAGCTAGTGTCTTACCCTCATTTTAGGGGTATGGAAATGGAAATACTAAAGGTAAAAGACTTGTCTTTCATTTTCAAGTCATTAGTGGTATACCTTAAATAGAAGATTAACTTAAATTACACATTTAATCCTACTTTTATCCCTTGTGACTCCAAATTCATATTATTAAAGACTCTAACATTTTATTTTCCTGTTGTCTACTTTATTATCCCTTTTACTACTCACTACTCCTCATGAACCATCAGCTCCCTAAAATGCTTATGTGCTTCCTAGACTAATGTAACTGGCTATTTACAGACCCCCTTTCCGCAGCCCCGTCCTCTTCCACTTCTCTCTATCTCTTCTCATGCCTTCTGAGGATTCCATTGTGGGGCCACTTCTAATTCCTGCAAAGCCCTGGGCCGATTGCTCAGTTCTCATTAGCTGGCTTCAGGATTTTTACCTTTACTGATTGTGTTCCTTACTTCTGCCATGTGTAGGCAAGTTCCAGCCTGTTGAGGGTGTGGATTCCAGATCCTCTTTCAGATGCCCAGAAGAGTATAAACCTGCTGGAGGAAAAGTGTTCAGAGAGCCTGTTAGAGATCACAAAGAAGAAGGGAATGATTTTAATTTGGAAAGAGAAGAAAAGATTATTGAGGCGATCTGTTTATTTCTTGAATGGAGTAGTTTGTTCAGTCTTTAATTCAGAATAACATATGAAATTTAATGTGTACTGATTACCACTGGATTTCCTTCTGTTTGCTTCAGCTCCCTTGGAATATTTTGTAAACATGATTTTGGTAGTGTTATCATTAAATGTTAGTAAATAAGTCCTGAAAGAACAGAATTTGCCCTTCAGTAATATGTAGAAGCTATGAACAATACTGACAAATAAGCATAATTTGCTTTGGCATTTTATATTTGGGAATAGTTATACCTATTAGGTAAGTGTAGTCTTGTTAGAGAAAATATAACAAAAGACATATAGGCAGTTGGCTTTCAATTACATATATGTGACATATCCATTGTAGATTATTTATGTTCATCTGCTTTGTCCAAGACAGAGTCAGAAAGAGTTTGCAACTGAATGTATGTGTCTGCATGCCAACCCCCACCTTTTGAGTTTTATTTCTAGACTTAATAGTTTCTCTCCTCTCAGTGCGAACGATAGCAGAATAATCATATAGAAATCCCCAGTGTGTGTATAAATTAGCATTCATGCTCTTTTAGTAGAAATTGAATAGGTATACAGTCAGTTTAAGAAGCTGTCCTTTAAATCTTTCCATTTGAAATATTCGTAGAGTTTTAAAGTTGTGTTTGTTGCTTAAGTCAGGGCTTTGCATTTTTTATCATGCATAACAATAACAAACTTAGCTACTAAATAATAGGCATTTAATGCGTACAAACATTATACCGCAACAAAGTTGAATCAGTACTTCCTAACTTTTAAAAAGGAATTTGTAAAGGAAATAGGCTCACCAAGCTTGTGGGTCTGTAATGTTTTTATTGATGAAGTACGAAGGCAATATATCAGCCTTATTGTTGCTGTCAAATGGCTGTTGCAAGAAAAATGATGTTTGTTAGCAGTTCCTGAAGTAGGTAGCAACATTAGTGTTGTGTAAGTTTTTTTTTGTAAAATGCAGTAATCTGCAGATGATGTCGTGAATCCATATACATTGCTCATTTAAAGAAATAACTGACTAGAAATGGACACTTGTTTATAGAGTAGTCCTTTAGACTGGGGTACTGAAAGGGATTTCTAGAATTTTTCAGTTTTAGAAATGAGAAATGACAGTTTCTGTCACTGAGAAAATTGCCTCAGTGACAAATACTCAGGAATTTCATGATAAAAATCAGTAGGTCATTTAAAAATACTTTACACCAAGGTGCACTCAATATCCAACACGGTGTAGAGCAGTAATGAAGACCAAGGTACCCGCTGTAATACAACCTTGTTTACCTTCTAGACAGTTCTGACTAAACTTTTATTCTTGAAGCTGTGCTATTTTTGTCATTTTAATATATGTGAGGACAGACTATATCCAATGAATTTCTAGAATTTCACAAATTCTGGGGAAAAATCTTTTCCTGGGACCTTTGCAGTTTGATGATATCATTCCAGGTGGTATGAATGGGGGCAGGCTCACCAACCCCATGGGTAATCAGACTTGGGCCAACTGGATTTTGGAATCACCTGCAGTGTTTACATTTCTCCCAAGGAGGGTAGGGACCTGTCAGGAAGGAAAAAAGTAGCCTGAAAGGGAACGTTGAACAGCTGTTTTCCATCTTCCCTGAAGAAAAGAAGGGGGAAATTAACTTAAAGCAAGCATCAAGAAGGATTTATGGTAAATACAGGGAAGTTTTTCTGAATGCTTTTATCCTTTAGGATGGATTTCTGAAAAAGGCCTTTGAATTCTTTTCTGTTTAGAAAGGTTTAAATGGGGTTGCCTTGAAGGGATGTTAAATTTATCTTCTGGGGCTCTAATTTATGACTTCTGCTTATTTAAAGTTGAAAATCTTAGAAATTAGAAATGATTTAAATATGTGAATATAGAAGAAAATATTTTAATGTTTTACATAGAAGATGCCTTTACATTTTCTACTTGGTATTTTTATAAGAACAAAGTATTTATTGACTGGTTAAATATTGATCATATATAAGATCAATCTTTCATTGAGGTAAACATTGCAAAACTCCTCCATCCCCTGCTTAATCTGTTTTCTCCCAAACAGGTCATTTTTCCTCCATATTTCTCTTTTTTATTTTTAAAAATTTTGAAGAAACATTTAATTAATAAATATCTATATTCCAGGTATACAACCTAAGTATTTGATATTCATATGCATCATGTAGTGATTGTCACAATCAAATTAATTAACACATCCATCACCACCTTACTGTACCTTAAGTCCCCACCCACATTTCTTTTTTATTCTAGATAACCTTGTTTTTTTTAAGTCTTGTCTTTTACCATTCTCTACATCATTTTCTATGGTAGAACCAGACTGGTAGTGAGAGGGAAAGGATCTCAGTGGTTGCATGAATGTAGGGGGCATTCATCAGTCATGTGATTAAAATATGGGTGTTGCCCATGTAGGAAAGAACCTGGAAACTTCTGTCATACCATGCTTCTTATTGCAGTGTTTATGGTTAAAAACAATAATGGTGTTTTTATAAATAGAATGCTAACTTTATTTTATTTTGTTAAGAAGATGCAATCTCCAGCAGAATTGATCCCATGGTTTTAGGCCTGTGGTTCTGTTTTTTTCTCAATATCAAGATTAGGCTTATTGAAATTAAGATAGAAGTATCTTAAAAGCAAGATCATTTTGATGCAGCATAAGGTGTTGGAAAATGCACTCTGAGCTGATAATGGGTCAGTGGGCTTGAAGGATGCCAAGAAATGGAGCTCAGCAAAGTTAATGTCTTAGGCATTTCGAGTTCTGTTTCAGGTTAGTCTTATAGACTATAGTTTTAAAGCAATTTCAAAATACTTTTCAAAATTACCTTTCTCAAAAGAAACTGATTCTTGGGAACATTGAAAACCTCCAAAGTTATCTTAGGTAAGAATGTCTTTTGCTGGCCCCTTTAGTTTCCAGATTACTCCTAGTTCTCTTCCTCCTCTATCTTTACTTTAATTCTTCCGTAAGTTAGAGCTTTTGGTTTTAATGAGAACCCAAGAGAAATAGGGAGCAAAACAGGAATTGATCTGTTGCTGTTATGCAAGTTCAGTTTATTCCTTCTTAAACTATTTTGTGAAAATTTAAGATCCACCTTTTTTTCTAAGGAAACAAGTACTGTTCAGGGTGGATTCATCCCATTATCTATGTGCTTTGTTACAGTCCCAAGATATTCACCATTAAAATTTTTAGACTTCATGTGGCTTGCATAGAATTATTCTGTGTAAAATTTAAATTAAGAAATGTCATTTGAATGTCTGCTGTGGTAACTTTAAAAGTTGAATTTCATCTCAACTTGTTAAATTTCATCTTGCAAATTTCAGATTGTTGGACCACTTCCAATATCTCTTTCTTAAGAAAGGTTATGTATGGCAGTATTTAGACTACAAATTGCCATAAAATCATAAACCCTGCACATAAGGAAGTGGAGTTAGTGGTGTTAGGGTGGTTATATTACAGATCCTAGGGTGGTTATATTACAGATCCTTCTTTATGTGCTTACACCTTTTTTTCTTGTTGGTGAAGCCACTGATGTTTGGTTCAGTGATTGCAAGTTTTAGAAAAGATAAATCTGTGTTACTTGGGAATGAATGTTTTAATATATAACTTTTCCCAATGTACTTTTGAACTTGGAGAGTCAGATGAAAGGATATTTTACTTTAGTGATAGACATACTGAAAGGATTTAGTCATTGAGTAAGTATTTGCCAGGTACTTCTGTGTTTGAGGGGATGTCTAGGTGGAGGGAAGAGGGGAAGGCATGCAAAATAAATATAACATAGTTTCCAGCCTTGAGGAGCTATAAAATCTGGTTGGAGAAGAATAACTGAATATGAAACTTTGTGAGAACAATTAGGTGCCGAATGGACATAAATGCAGTAGGATTGCAGGAAGGAAGAGGTTCCAAGGGCAGAAGAGGGGGAATGAATTGGGTCTCAGAGGATTTTATACAAAAAAGAGGAAAGGAGAAAGCACTACAAGCAGATCAGCCAGCAGAGCAAAGGCACAAGAAGAGGAGCAAGCAGATATGGAGCAGCTGCCAGGTCAAGGAGAACTTCAGGGAAAAGTCATGGGAATTCACTTATCTCCATTGATGACATTCTCTTTTTCTCCTTCCTTTCTTTGTATATTCTTTATTATTTTCCACAAGGGTGTTTGACACTACAAGAAAGACAAAGAAGTCTCAGACCCTGCCTCCCAGCAGTTTATACCTGAGTTGGTGATCAAATCCCTTTTGGATACAGAGAGGACTGAAATAATAAATGTGAGACAGGAAGATAACATGTATATTCACATAACTCAGTATGCACATAGTTAGTACTAAGTGTATAGCAGAGACAGTGAAATCTGTACACATTCTTACCGACCCTTTTTTAATGCCCAATTCAGATACTACCTCCTCAGTGCATCCTTCCTTCTTCACCTTAGCCAGAAGTGTCAGCTCTTCTGTAAATTTCAGTTGTACTTTGTCATTCTTATGCAAACTTCATTTTATTTTAGTGTTTGTATAAATATTTATTCTATCATTTTATAAGATGATATAAGCACCTTCATGGCTGGCACCGTCCCTGAATTCTCAAAGAATATTGAGCAATGCATACATGGGTTCCCAGGGGAGATTGCTTATGGATGGAGTTGCCAAGAAGGCTTCATTAAAGAGTGTTGTGTTCTTTGAATGAGGAAAGTACCACGTTGGATGTGGAGCAGATAAGAGAGAGTAACATAGGGAATAAAGGAATGAAATGTGAGTCATGCTCAAGCAATGATGGGCAGGTAAGTCTGAAGGGGGAGTTTATGTAGAGAGGAAACGAGGGATGAGATTGAGAAGATAGGCCAGAGCTAGATTATGAAAGCTCTTGGACAAGACTGTTGCTCATTTTGCTGAGGGAAATACAGGCTCTTGAGTAGGGAAATGATATGAAAATGGTGACTTTATGATTTGTAAAGATAGTTATTTCCTGGGTAATTTGATCAGACTGCCTGCATTTATGTCTTGGCTTCTTCACATTCTATGGGACCTTGGGTAGCTTAATTGTTCTGTGCCTCAGGTTCTATCACCTCAAAAGGTGAAGATACAAATTATACAAGTAACTGCATTATGGGGCTGTGGTAAGGATTAAATAAGTCAATCTACGTGAAATATGTAGCGTAGTTCTTGGCACTTGGCAAGCACAATAAAGGCACTTTATTGTTCATTGGTGTAGATACTGTAAGAATTACAATGTTTACTTTAGAAATGAGAAAATTCTAGAGCTAGGACTCTATTAGTTATCTGCTGTAACAAAGTACTGCAGACAAGGTGGCTTAAACAATAGTTTATTGTCTTACAGTGGTGGAGGCTAGAAGTCTAAAATCTAAAAATCTGTCAGCAGACTGTTTCCTTTTGAGGCTATGAAGGAGAACCTGTACCAAGCCTTTTACCAAGTTTCTGGTGGCTTCTACCAATCTTTGGCATGCTCATCTTGTAGATGCTTCACTCCAATCTCTATTTTCATCTTCACATGGCATTCTGTGTGTGTGTGTGTGTGTGTGTGTGTGTGTGTGTCTCCAAATTTCCACTCTTTATAAAGACACTGGTCATATTGGAGTAGGGGTCTGCCCTATTCCAATATGACCTCATCTTAACTAATTAAATCTGCATGACCCTCTTTCCAAATAAGGTCCCATTTAGAGGTTTG
This sequence comes from Homo sapiens, assembly GCF_000001405.40. Taxonomy (NCBI): domain Eukaryota; kingdom Metazoa; phylum Chordata; class Mammalia; order Primates; family Hominidae; genus Homo; species Homo sapiens. The sequence goes on from NC_000006.12 coordinate 116,382,206, forward strand.
GGGGTTAGGACTTCAACATATGAATTTTTGTGGAACAAAATTTAACCTTTAACAGACTGTAAGTCAGATATTTCGAGCCTACCATAACATGGCCATGATATGCCAAAAGGATTGTAGAAAAGAGGAGGAATCTGTAGGTTTATATGATAATCAGTTAATGAACTTGTTGTCTCTTCTGTCTCCTTTCTGCCTGGGCCTACACCATTCCCCTACGTAGCCACATTAATGGACATTGCCATAAAGGGCTTTGGGATTTTGCTGTGCCCCCTGTTTCCTGAAAAGATATTTTGTTTTCTTCCTTCTTTCCAGCATGACATTCCCTGTGACTTATTTCTGTCTAGGATTAGAGATAAGGATATTAAGATAAATGAGACATTATGCTTATACCACATAGTTTCTGTCTTCTCTAAATTTGGGTGATATGTCACTGTCCAAATGTATAGGTGACAAAGGAAGAAATGAATGCTTGTGGAAAGGGGCAAAAACTCTTGAAGTGTCAATGGTAAGGATTTTACTGAGGAGTCAGTTGGAGATGATAAGTGAGTAGGTATGCAGCTGTGTGGCAAGAGAGAAATTTTTCCCCGCCCTACCCCCAGGCTTATGGTGGGAATTGAGGTAAGTGAACAAATAGGATCAAGTTTCCTTAAGTCACTGAGAAAGTTAGAAATATCCCCAGAGTGATAGAAATTACCAGTGAAGGTTTAAAAGAGTATATGGACAAATGGTGATTTCAAATGATAAAAGTGCCAGGAGAGTCACACCTAGAGTCATTTAGAGAACTAGGCTGTCTCAGGAATTGAAGAGGCTGCCTCCATGTTGCTTGTGAATTGGTAGGATGTGAGATTTGGCCTGCATGGGAGAGCACAACTGGAGACAAGTTGTTATTGAAAGACTCAGTTGTTTCATAAAATCTGTAATTTGGAAGGATCTTAGGTGTTCCCCAACCCCACCTTATTTAAATTCTGAATCACCTGACAGGTGATCATCTAGTTTCTGCATTCATTTAGGGCTAGACATAAGAAGAGAGTTTGAAAAATAAGTTTACTACAAAAGGGAGTTTTTTTTCCAGCATAGACAAACAGGAATTCCATTAGGTTTGATCAAAAGAGAAGTAGCTAGGGGGACTCAGGCTGTGAATAGACATGGGGTAAAAATGGGTAGGGTGGGTATGAAAGTTTGGGTGGAGAAGTATACAAGCGAGAGAGAAGTATATGCCTAGATTAGGAGATGCCAAGAATGGGGCTAACACTATGAGAGCAGTTTGCTAAGACAGAATGAAATAAGGACAACTTACTCACCTAGATAAGGATATAGACTCCGCATTAAACATTCATGAACTTGTGCATGCACACAGACATGGGCATTAAATATCTGGCCATATTTCAGGCCCTCGGAGTTTTTAATTTTTTTAAATAATCATACCTATTAAGCACCTTTCATATGCCAGTCATTGCTCTGGGCACCTTTCTCATATTATCATTCATCTTCCTTACAGTCCTGGGAGATAGATATTTCTATCCCCAATTTACAGATGTGGAACTGAGTTGGAATATTTCTGCAGCAGCATGTTATTTGTCCTGTGTATCCATGGCCAGCAATTCAGAAATTATTCTCTTGTTCTACATAATATATGTAGTCTCCAGCAGTCTACTAGAGCTTTACTTTTCCTCAAAAATTATTTCCTGACTGGTAACATTTCATAGACTTAAATATACACCATATTAAGTTTTTTTTAGCAGGAAATACTAGCAATTGTGTAGATGTAGAAGAAATAATAATTACAGAGTATTCTTTTGAATTCTCTAGATAAAAGTTAATAGTACAGAAAGATTGTTTAAATTTACAAATAGTAACACTAATCAAGTCCTTATACCAAACCATTAAATAATAATTACAATCCTTGGGCATGTGATTAGACATGGGGACATGAGGGAATCACTTTAAATTTCAAAACAGAGCAACCTAAATAAAAGTCAGCACAGAAACAGTCATTCAGCAGAAAGGAAGGCTTGGCTGGTCTGGACATGGATAGACTAGGGAGAGTGTGAGGTGCCTAATCCCATGCAAGATGGGCCGAAAATTTTGAGATGGCATTTAGAAAAAGACCCATAGAGGACTCATGAAATCTATCCTTGGAATGTCAGGAAATAATGAGAGACATTCAGGCAGTGGTCTGCGATTAGAGGCATGTTAGTTAGGCATGCTAATAATGGGATGGCGAAAGTTGGGGGTAAAGCAAGTCACCTAGACCTAGCAGCCTGAGGTGGACTTAGTGGGAGCTTTGTGCCTTGGGGGAGGCTGGGAAGGCACTGGCCGTGATCACGGCTCTCAGTAAACTCTGTGATAATCACTCAGAGTAACCTTTAGAGTTCAAACATTGTAGTACATTTTATCTCCATATGATTTGTCTTCCTACACAAATTTTTATTGTTTCTTTTAATGTAATTATATTTATGTAGCTGTATAACTATATGTTTAGTTATCTCTGAGGATTTAAAAGTTTACCTCTTGACGCAGTTAAATTTATCCAACTAATATATATTTTTTAAGTGTTTACTAAGTGCTAGGTACACTTTTATGTGCTGGAGATATAGCAGAAAGCAAAGTGCCCTCCTGAAGCTTACATTCTAGATGGGAGAGCCAAGCACACAAAATAAATAAGTAAATTATATAGTAGATTAGAAGGTCATAAGTGCCATGAAGAGAAATAAAACCCAGGAGGGAATTAGAGAATGGTAATGGTTGGACTTGGTAATGATGTCATTTAAATAAGGTAGTCATTGCAGACCTCACTGAGAGAGTGACATTTGAGCAAAAATTTAAAGGGGATGAGGGAGCAAGCCACATGGATATCCTAGGGTAGGCATTTGGGGCAGAGGGAACAAATGTGCAGGCGCTGAGGAGGGAGCTCACCTCATGTATACAGGAATAATAGAGGCCAACATGGCTGGAGCAGAGAGAGACTGGACAGTCGGACATGAAGGCAGAGAGGCAGTATGGCCAGGCTGCTTAGCCCCTTGAGAGCAATGCTTAGGAGTTTGATGCTTATCTGAATGAGGTGGGAAGCCATTAGAGTGTTTTAAATAGAGTGGTGACATACTCTGAATTAGGATTGAACAGGATCACTCTGGCTTCTATGTGGAGAATGATCTTAGGGAGGTAAGAGTGAAGGCAGGTAGACAAATTTGGAGGCTGTCGCAGGCAAGACATGGTATGGCTGTATGGTGGTGGTAAAAGTGGCTGGATTCTGGACGGATTTGGAGTAGAGCCAACAGAATATGCTGATAGTTTGGATATGGAGAGTGAAATAGGGAAGGGAGAAAAGGAGGGGGTGGGGTTGAGTCCAATTACTGGCAGGATTAGTTGCCAGTAACTGAGTTGGGGAAGTCTAAGAAGGCAGTGCCTACGTCTTTGGGTTAACTACATCTATGTATCATTGTTTTACAAACCAAGTCTGTGGTATTCTGAGTTGATTATGATTCACAGGAGGACATTTGAAAAGTATGCTGGGATTTTAATGCCAAAGAACTCAAAGGTTTTCATCTGTGTGATAAAAGTGAGAATCAAAATAAGTACATATAAAAATGTTTGGAAATGTTAAAGACAGCAAAAAAAAAAAAAAAGTAAATTTTATCACTGATGAGTACTTGAAGTCTGGAAAAATGAGGAATGCTTGTATATAAGTAAAGAATGTAAAAGAACTTCATGTGTAGTAATAAAAGCACCACTCCATATATACTCATCCAATATATACAATTTTTATTTCAATCAGATGTACTGCAGTTACAGGTTTAATGCCCATAAATTACTTTCCAATGAACTTCCTTTTAGCCCTTTGCTTACCATCTGTATGTTTCATTTTTGGAATATTCCCAAAGCCTTTTAAAAAATGTGTCAGTCCAGTGTATTCTGCTTTGTCCTTTGCTTCAACAGCAACATTCTTAGTCATTTTTCTGGGTGTAAGTCAGAGAAAAATAGCAAAAGTTGACTAAAGAGAAAGATGTGGTGAAAGTATCACATTTTCTTTTATAATGGGACAAAGTATTATGGCAAGCTACTCATAATTCTAACAGGAACTTAGATGATTTAACTAAAAAGAAGATAAAGGGCATATGGATGGGGAAGCAGTCCCCAAGACCACCATCAGCCTTGGCAATTCACTAGAAGGACTTACAACATTTGTTATCATCTGGTTATGCTTTATTTAACACAGCCAAAGGATACAGATTAAACTTAGCAAAGGGCAAAGGCACATGGGGCAAAGCCCAGGAGAAAACAGGCATAAGCTTCTAGGTGTCCACTCCTACTGAAGTTGTACTCAAAACAACAATGTGTGCCAATACATGCAAAGCGTTGCTAGCCAGGGAAGCTCACCTGAGCCTTGGTGTCCTGGGCTTTTATTGTAGTTAGATGTGACTGACTTCAGCTACTCAGACTCCAGCCTCTCCAGAGCAAAGATAGGAGTTTATCATGAGTCATCTAGTTAACTAAAGTGTTACTGCCATGTAACCCAAGGCCTCGAGTGTATAAAAACCTCTTTATCAGGCAGAATATTCCAAGGGCTCGTCTCTCATGAGCTGGTAAAGGGCCAGTCCTGAAGACTTCTCTTGGGAATGTGTATGGTTTGAGCAATTCAGGTCTGCTAATATAACCCTTTCCCATTTAACATAGTAGATCCTTGAACATTGTATTAGTGCTTCTTAGAGGCATTATTACTATTAGAGAGTAAACTTATAGTATCTTATCCTAGAAGATATGATATAAGGACATACCAAAAATACACATAATGTCAAGAACGGTTTAGCTAAATTCATAAATGAGTGAACCAGATTAGATTGCATAAGTGAGGTTAGTAGTACTTTTTTTGTGGGGCGCTTCCCCTGAAAATCTGTAATCAGTGTCATGACTCACCCATAGGAGTTTGCAGACAAAGGGCTAGAGGAACAGAGAAACTAACCCACAAGTATATGTGATATTTATTGGGTTCAGGAAAAAGGTCAAAAGGAGGAAAGTTACCCTGGAGGTTGATGTTGAATTCTGGAATAGTCTCAGGAATCTGTTGAAAAACTGCAGAGTAATGAAACAGTACTTAGGAAAAAAAAGCATGACTTTGGTGAGAAAATTGGAATGAAAGAAAAAGGATAGGGAAGAAATGAAGATGATTTCCAAATAATTGGTTTGAGAAAATGTAGTGAAGAAGTTAAGAAAGTTCTGATTGGAAGAATTTAGTTTTAGGTGTATAAATGAGCACCTTAGACGGCAGGTTATGAGGAAGGAGGTGGGAGTGAGCAAATGACCACGTGCAGCCATGCAGCCATATTCTTGTGGGAAGTCCCAGGATTGAGACACTGCAGGCAGCTTGCAGGGAGAAAGGAAGTGAGGCATAATGGCTAAAATCTTGACTGTGACTCAGACACACCTGAAGTCAAAAATAAACCTGACCACTCACTGAATAATGCTGGGTAGGTTATTTCACCATTCTAAATCTCACTTTCCTCATCTATTTCCAACAAAATTACCCATAAAATAATTTTGGGGATTAAATATGATAATGAAATACACGTTCTTTGCACAGTAAAAGCAGTAAAAATTTTCTGGGAAAAAAGCATAAGAAGGATTTTCCACAGAGGTATTAAGAGAAGCAGGAGAATACGGTATCCCAGAAACTAATTTCCCAAAGTGTCAGGGAAGAGGAAGAGTGTGGTGTATTATCCTAGGTGGGGAGATTCTGGAGAGTGAGTACTAGGAAAGGGATACTGGGTTTTTCTAATGGGAATTTGAAAAAGGGCTTGGCCTGAGCAGCTTTAATTAGTATATTAGGGTTCTCCAGAGAAACAGAACCAGTAGATCCATGTCTACACCTACATCTGTTTATCTATCTATATCTAGAATTGGCTAGATTATGGGAATTGGCCATTATGGGAATGGGCTTTTGTAATTTGGAGGCTGAGAGGTCCCACAATCTGCCATTTGCACTCTGGAGACCCAGGAAAACAGGTGGAATAGGTCCAGCCTGAATATAAAGGCCTGAGAACTAGGACCACTGTTGGTGTAAATCCCAGGCAAAGGACAGGAGAAGACCAATGTTCCAGCCCAAGCAGTTAGGCCGAGAGAAAATCTTCCCTCTCTTTTTGTTCTGTTTGGGCCCACCCACATTGGGAGGACAGTCTGCTTTACTCAGTTTAGTCTCTTCTGGAAACACCCTCATAGACACATCCAGAAATGATGTTTGACCAAATACTTGTGTACCCTGTGATTCTGTCAAGTTGACACAAAACTATCACAACTGGTAAGAAAAGAAGTCACATATGTAAACATCAAAGGGGGAGAATTGGTGATACAGAATTAAAGATATTTAATTTACAGATTCAAGGAGTTACATTGCCAGTTGAAAGATAATATACATTGGCATTTGTGGAAAGTGGAAAATGTATTTTGATTAAACATCAAAATTTTAAAAAATTATATTTAAGTTTATAAGTAATTTTTTTCATCTGTTGCATTTCATCAGGACTTATATTTCTGCATTTAGGATTTTTTGTGACTGTGTAAGCATGTTTTTATTAGTATGGTGAATCAGTTAGCTTTATCTGTATATAGACTTTGGTTGATGAAGAAGTAGATTGGTAATTGCTTTTTTCCTCAGATCTGTTTGGTTACTTGGAATATTTAGCTGAAAGTTATAAATGTGCAGTTGAGCAGGAAGAAGAAGAAAACTTTTGGCATCAAATATTCTATATTTCTCAAAATATTTGATATTTTTAGTCTCCTGAAGAGACTGCAAGGTTGAGAATAAACAATGCATTGTACATATTTTAAAAATAGCATTCTCTGAGTGATAGTTTTGTGAGCGTTTCCTCCTGGGGTCATGGTGCACTTCCCCTCAGTTGGACTGACCTCGATGTTCTCATTGAGAAGATGATGATGGCTGCTAGTATTTATTGAGCACTTTCTAAATCCTAGGCACCATTTTAATGCTTTAAGTATATCAGCTAATTTAAGCTTCACAGAAACCCTATGAGGGAGGTACTATTATTTGATCCATTTTACAGAGGAGGAAACAGGAACGTAGGTAAGGATGTGATGATGCTAGGATTCAAACCCAGGAAGTGTGGCTCCAGCTTGCACCCTCAAACACTGATAGTGTTTTGAGGTGAATGATAACTAGCTTTTTTTTTTTTAAACACTTACTATGAAGTGAGGGCTTTAAAGGTGCTACCTCATTTAATCTCCCAACCAGTCAGTGAGACAAATAGCATTTTATTTTAAATGAAGAAATAGGTTTAGATAGCTTGTCCAAAGTCATACAGTGACAAACAACTGTGACCCCATGCCAGCCCTCTTAACCATCTCACCAGTCTGCCTTCAGGAATGTATTGCAGGAAGAAAAATTTTACTTTGGTTTTCAGGAGCATTTTGTGGTTTAGTTTAACTGTTATTTGAAACTGTATAGGGTTGAGATTTAGCTGTTGGCTTCATTATTTTTATTCATCCTCTTTTCTATACTTTATTTTTTAGTCAGTAATGCTACAAAAGTGTTTTCATGGTTAAAGCTATTGCTGAGAGAGCCATAGCTTGTCCTTCAGACCATTACAGAAAATCTTTTACTCTTTAGAGAAAGTTTTTAAAAATATATTGCAAATTTTCTTTAGTGGCCAAGTTCAATAGGTTAAATAAATTGTTTTGGACTAAGGGAGACTGACTATTCATCTTTATTTTCAGGCAGAGTAATACAGTACTACAGTTTTTTAAAAAAAAAAACCTCAGAGACATCATTTTCTTATATTTTTGTTTATAGTTATTTAGGGAAGGTATAGATTTTCTTGCCCACTTTGTATTTTCAATGCCTAACATAGTTCCAGGATTTTATTTTATTTTATTATTTTTTTTTTGAGACTGTCACCCAGACTGGAGTGCAGTGGGGTGATCTTGGCTCACTGCAACTTCTGCCACCCAGCTTCAAGCGATCCTCCCACCTCAGCCTCCCAAGTAGCTGGGACCCCAGGTACATGCCACAACACCCAAATAATTTTTGTATTTTTTTGTAGAGACAGGGTTTCACCATGTTGCCCAGGCTGGTCTCCAACTCCTGGGCTCAAGTGCTGCAACTGCCTCAGCCTCCCAACTGCTGGGATAACAGGCATGAGCCACTGTGCCTGGCCCATAATTCCTGGATTTAATACTTTTTCAATACATAGTAGAATTTATTGGTATTTATAAGAAATTCTTATCCCCAACTTGGGTAAGGAATTGATATTCCAGTACTGGATCACAATGCACTGCAAAGCATAACAGGCAAAAATTACTACTTTTTAAGTGATTCAGCATAAAAAATACACTTAATTATGCTCAATATTAACTTCTGAAAATAATATTAAAATAAAAAATTCTGAAAATAATTTAGAATAGTGTATTCTAAAACCATCATTAAGAAAATCAACTAAAATTGTAATAAAGAAATACTAATCAGAAGATCTTCAATTGTTAGACTGCTAGATAAGCTAGAATTTATTTATAGCTTATCTTAGAAAGTGTAACCGTTTCATTTTCTCTTTTGGCCTTCTGTAAGCAAAATTAGATGCCCCAGTACTCTCATAAGTGACGTTTGTACACTCGTATCTCTACCCTCGTTTCCCTTTGCCTCCATGAAAATAATACAGATTTTACTTTTTTTCTACATATGAAATGATAACCAATCTCTGAAAAGCTGGATACTAATGGTTTGTAGTTTAGTAGTAACATGCACCAGGCTAACCTCTACCACTAAATTATGAATTTAGTTAGATAGCCACTACATTTCTCACTCAGGTGGTCTCTGGTGGATGGGGGAGGAACCCTTCAGACTTGACATCAGAAAATGTTTGTGAGCACTTTAAACATATTTTACATGAATTATTCTAATATAAGGAAGTTATACAATTATCATCACTGGTATAACAAAGAAAGTGGGCTTCACATTATATAATGAAAAAGTGTGCTGTCTTCATGAAAACCTTTCAGGGGACAATGATAGAAATGTTCTTTGACTGTACAGAGCTGCAGTTAATAAAAGCCTGACCTAAAGTTTTTTTTTAATGTTGTATTTTAAGGTGGTGAACACCGTTATTATACATGGTGTGGTTTTGCTGTGTGGCCTCAGGTTTCTAATTACTCCTTCAGCAGCGTGTGCAAATTCTTGGAGGTTCCATATACTATCATTTCATATTGTGGATTTTTGTTTGGAAATTACCTTTTAGGGAGCAAAAGTATTCTTGATTTTGATTAAGAGCTCTCGGTTTTGGCCAGGCACTGTGGCTCACGCCTGTAATCCCAGCACTTAGGGAGGCTGAGGCGGGCGGATCACGAGGTCAGGAGATCGAGACCATCCTGGCTAACATGGTGAAACCCCGTCTCTACTAAAAATACAAAAAATTAGCTGGGCGTGGTGGCGGGTGCCTGTAGTCCCACTGCTTGGGAGGCTGAGGCAGGAGAATGGCATGAACCTAGGAGGTGGAGCTTGCAGTGAGCCAAGATTGCTCCACTGCACTCCAGCCTGGGCAACAGAGCGAGACTCCGTCTTAAAAAAAAAAAAAAAAAAAAGGAGCTCTCAGTTTTAAGATTTTCCTTTTTGTCTGAGTCCACGGGCTTTACACATCAGGGAGTATAATTTTAGGGAACGATTCTGCAGTACCAAAGCCATAGGTTTTCTTAGGATTTGACATATTTAAGAATAAGGTTAGATTTATTTCACTACAAAAATTTACCAAGGACATGTAAGGTTTTACTTTGGTATTGAGGAAACATTCTTCAAAAAATTATTTTAATTATGCATTTAATAAAACTGAAATAGAAAAGTGAGGAGACCTTTTAAAATATATGCATTTTATTACTATAGTTAAAATATGTAGCAACAGTGAAATAGTATGTGAGACCACAGCAAGGTGTTCCCCAAAGCACTTGGAAGGTTTCTCTGAGAGTTAAATCCTAAAATGGATCAGAGAAGGCAATGCAGCCCTGTCTAGTATATCCTAATGCTCTCAGGCAATCAGGGTTTTCCTAAAACTTCAATGGAGGCCTGAAGGAGGAGGGAACTTGGACTTAAATGGAAGCATGAGCAAGCGAGTCACAGTGCCTAACCTCGGCAACATCTGTCTGTTTTCCACGGGAGAGGGTGCAACGTCAGGAACATTCATTTGTCGGGTCTGCCTGTTCAATCTTGCCATGGATATGGGCACACTGGTTCTAGTGTGGGGGATTATTCCTAATCATGTAACTAACTATGGGGCCCATCCATTAAGTTGAGCAAACTGGAGCAGCTGCTCTTAGGCTGAGCTTGGCGGGTGTGGTGGCAGGAGCTATAGGGGATGTACATTTCACTCTTGTTTTCTAAATATGATTACAACTCAGTTTTTAAAATTTTGTCTTTAATGATACCCCCAAGGACATCTGTGACAGCTGCTGGCAATTTCAGCAGCCTCCTTCAAATGAAGTTATGGTAGCGATCTTAACTGGTCAAGTTGCCCCAAGTTCAGGGCCTTTCCCATTGCCTTTGTTCTGATTCTTTACTTGTTCACCAGACAGTTATCTAATAATTCACTTCCTGTGTTGGTTTCCTGTGAAGTCAGAAAATATTTCCCAATCTGCTTGACGGTAAACGAATATGCTGACATTCTGGTTTTTCATATGTGAGAGGTAGGGAAGCCTAACATTAAGTAGCATCTCATCTCCAGGATGATCAGCTGAGATACTGATGGCAGTGATGGAGCCAGGACCAGACCCTGTACTGAGGTTAACCTATCCGCCTTGCAGTGGCAGCAGGTGTCCCCTAAATTTTAATGTACTCCTTCCGTAATATAAATGTGTTACTAAGAAACAGCTTTCCAGCCAGGGACTGTGTTTCCCAGTCGCTGTTAGATCGGCAGGCCTTTCTCCTGACAGAATAAAGGAGAAAAAAGAAGTGGTCGCCTTTTGTATATGAAGAATTAAATTACTGACCCTAGGAAGAAAATTTAGTTAATAGCTCATTTAATCTATTATTCTTTTCTTTGGGGCAAAACCTCTAACAAACACTTGAAAAATTTAAAGGGTCGTATACTTTCCTTTCCAGTGAGTGATGAGCTTACTATGAGTGATGTGTTGAAGAGTGAGAAGCATTGTGTTCCAATTTCAACTAAGTCTCTAATAAGCAGTATGATCTGGCCCTAGTCAGTTAACATCTATAGTTCTTATATTTTTACCTGTAAAGTATGAAGATTTAGTTTCTTTCAAATAAAATATTTTATCAATAGGTTAGTATAATCTTGCAGGTCTGAAACATCTTCCTTTTTATAAATATTATTGAGCTCTTCATGTCATGTTCTATGCTAAGTGCATCACACATGTCTAATCACCCCATGAAGCATATTTCATTTTGTGGATGACAGAAGGGAGGTTTTGAGAGTGGACGTCAGTTGATCAAAGCTAGGAGGCAGCAGAGCTGAGATTTATGCTCTTGTCTGCCCAACTCCATGCCCCATACTGTTAATCATTATGTTGTGTTCCTCAAATTTGGCACATATTATAAGAGGGTTTTTTAATCCATCTTAGTTTGGGGCATGTTTTACTCTCTACAGGGTGATTTCTTTCTCCCATCCTTATACTTTCTCTGTTTTCTGAAGCCTGTGGAATTGAAAGAACTTTTGTACTACCATTTGTTTCATTCTATAAACAGTCCCAGATCATTTGAAACCCAAATCTTTTTTGAAACTTGATGTACTAGTTTAGTGTTCAGTTTTTTCTTCTCAGCATATTCTTCTGTGCTTTCTTTGTGTAAGGATGGCAAAAAAATGGAACTTTTAATGTTATTGAACATTCTCACAAATTAGTTTGGTTAAAGGAAAGAATCTTGGCTTAGGATTTAGGAGGTGCAAGTTCTAGTTCTTTCTCTGAAATTTATTGTGGAACAAATAATACTATTTTGCTATATTAAGTTATTGAAGAGTAAAAGATCAAATATGTGAAAAGCATTTAGGATCACAGAAACGAAGTTTTTCTGTGTGACTGCTGAATCATAATAGCTGCAGTGGATTGTTGGAACCAGAATTACAGCAAAATAATTTGGGGCCTATCTTTGCTTTATAAAGATCTGCTTAAGGTAATTGTAATTCATAATTCACGTGGCTTGGCCTACACGTAATGCTAAACTTGGACTGCTGAATATATACAGGCAGAGAGATGATCAAATTGCTATCTGAATTATAGCAGTAACAGCGTGATTTTTTTTTTTTTTAAAGACAAGGTCTCACTGTGTCACCCAGGCTAGAGTGCAGTGGCACAATTATAGCTCACTGCAGCGTCGAACTCCTGAGCTCAAGCAATCCTCCTGCCTCAGCCTCCCGAGTAGCTGGAACTACAGGCACATGCCACCACATCTGGCTAATTTTTTTATTATTTTATTTTATTTTTGTGGATATGGAGTCTCACTATGTTGACCAGGCTGGTCTCAAACTCCTGACCTCAACTGATCCTCCTACCTCATAGATTTAAGAATGTTTTACTATCCAAGTTGTGTGACATAAGACAAATGAATGGGAAGAAAAAGTGGATCATGAAAGTTGTAGAGTTAAAAGAGGAAAAAGAGAATTTCAGGGGACATGATGCTCAATGGAATCATTCAGAAACAGCCTGAGAATTGAGTTGTAGATAAAGTACTTATTAGTAGCATCAGCTGCTGAGAGTCGCTGGTAATTTTGCCATGTTGAAAATGCTATGCTCTTGAACTGGGCGAAGTGCAACTTAAAGATTTAAAGGGCCTGGGAGTGCTCTGCTGTTTTTGAAACACAATGAAGTAGGGGGTGAATAGCTTGAGAGATCATGCACAAACATCTTGAAGTTCAGACTTATTTCTCCAGGACAGAAGGCACATTTTGAGATAGTGTGTGTGTTTGTGTTTGTTTCATAGTGTTGAAAGTGGGAGGGTTGGCTGGGCGCGGTGGCGCACGCCTGTAATCCCAGCACTTTGGGAGGCCGAGGCGGGTGGATCACGAGGTCAAGAGAGCGAGACCATCCTGGCTAACAGGGTGAAACCCCATCTCTACTAAAAATACAAAATATTAGCTGGGCATGGTGGTGGGTGCCTGTAGTCCCAGCTACTGGGGAGGCTGAGGCAGGAGAATGGCGTGAACCCAGGAGGCAGAGCTTGCAGTGAGCCGAGATCGGGCCACTGCACTCCAGCCTGGGCGACAGAGCGAGACTCCGTCTAAAAAATAAAGAAAGTGGGAGGGTTGGGGCTGACCATTCCCATAAACTCATTAGCTTTTAATGCCCTTTGTTTCGGTAAGCATTTTTGGCATCTCTCAAACTATAGTTATTCAGGTACCACCTTCAACAATTTTTGCCATATCCATTTACTTTTTTTTTACTTTTAAATTTAAATATATTTTAAACAGGAGTTTTGCATATCTGTAGAAATCTCAGGTTTGATGTGGTATAGTTTTTCATAATGCACATTAAAATAAGTACGTAAAATTAACGTAAAGCCTGTCCATTTTTGGTCCACCTAAAATTATCTTGAAACACTCTTTTCATTTAATTTTGGCTCTTCTCTTTGTACAATGAGCACACACAATGTCTAGAGTGGAAGGTCAAAGAGAAAACTCAATGACTGGAAATAGAGATTTTTCAGTGAAATTTTCTAGACAGATTTAAAATGATGGGTGGGTATTACTTCCTCTTTTAGGTTATCAGCCTAAAACAAGTTTGGTTTAGATTTTAGTTAGATTTAATTTCTTTTCTTTTTAAACTAGTGGATAGTTTTTAGGCTACATAAGTTTCTAGGCTTCATACGTGTTTTCTCCCATTAGTTTCCTAGAGGGACTTTTTTTCTGGAAAGTTCCACACTTTCCTTGGCTTCAAATAAGGGGGAACAAAGTTTCTCCATGCTTATTTTATTGATGAGGTCTGCTCTACCAACAGCTAAGCCCAGGGATTTGGTTCAGCACAGCCAGCATGCTGCCTTTTAAAAGCCAGATTCAGTGCTAAGCTCCATGATACATAGAGGAAGAAGGTTCTCACCTTCTGTGAGGCATTGCATGTAAACAACCGAAACAGTCCGGTGTGATATAGGTATGTGCCAGATACAAGAGAGATCAACTCTTTGGGTGAATCAACAAAAGCCTTAATAGCTGGGAGAGCACTGGGGGCTGAGCACACTGAGTGGGGCATGGGGAAGGTAGTACACCATTTGTGGTATTGAGAATGCCACGGTTCTTTCTCCTCAGTCTTCATAGATGATTGTTCTGCAGAATCTCTATGGGTTCTGCATTGGCTAACGTGGTGTTCTGACGGAAATTAATATTTTAAATGTACAGTAATGCACAACCTTGCTGCTCTGACTCCCTTGCACGAATTCAAAGTAATAGCTAGAGAACCTTCAATAACAGTTGGCATGTTGAGATGGCATCCTTCCCAAAACAACATCTTAATGAGGTTCTATGCTTCAGGATCAGCTTTTCTGGTTTAAATATATTCAGACATATCCTACGTAACTGGAAGCAATGTGGCAGAAGTGGCAGGGGTCACATTGTGAGTTTTGCTGAGTTAGGCATGTAGGCCCCACAGTGTGAGGGACTCTTCGGAGCAGTCCTGAATATACAGTGATTCTGTGCCTGGGTGGGAGTGTGGTTGCATAGGGGAGGACAAAGAACATGATGAATTAACCTTACCCACGTTTGGGGAAGTTTGTACAGAATGTGAGATGGAAAAATTCTAGTTTCCATGTATTAATGCCTTCTTACCCATATGCTCATAGCTGGAGCCACTCCCCTATCCACCTGAGCTCCCACACATTCAAAAGCTGGTAGTTGAGGGATCTTTCACTGCATGTACGTTGGGTGTGTGTATGGGGGTTCAGTTAAAGGAGAAAGTGTCTAAAACCCCCACAATGCTGATTGCATTGATGAGAGCATTCAGACTTAGACTTTTAGGGACTTAATATATACAGGATTTTTTTTTAATCGTTAGCGGTATATTATTCTCTTTCTTTCTTTTTTTTTTTTTTTTTTTTGAGATAGAGTTTCTCTCTGTCACCCAGCCTGGAGTGCAGTGGTGGATCTTGGCTCACTGCAACCTCCGCCTCCCAGGTTCAAGCGATTCCTGCCTCAACCTCCCGAGTAGATGGGAATACAGGCACCCCCCACCACACCTGGCTAATTTTTGTATTTTTAGTAGAGATGGGGTTTCGCCATTTTGGCCAGGATGGTCTTCAACTCCTGACCTCAAGGGGCCCGCCCGCCTCCGCCTCCCAAAGTCCTGGGATTACAGGCATGAGCCACCGTGCCTGGCCGGTATATTGTTCTCTAAATGGAGCAAGGAATAAGCCCCTGGGGGGACTGAGCATTACCTCAGACCCAGCCATTTCTGTGTGCTGCCAGAGACCACACCCCTCCTCAGGCATAACCACAGAAGACTATTTCTTTTGGCTGGGTCTCTGACCTTGAAGGATCCAGCCTGCCAGCTGCCTTGAGACTTTGGGTGCTAGACATAATACTGGCAGAGTCCAAGAGTTATTTCTATTTCATATGTTTTATTTAGTATGGCTATATTAATTTTTTATTCATCAGAAGTTCTGCTGTTGAAATAAATGTAAAATGTTTTACAAAACCAAAACCACTGCCATCGAGTTTCATATATAGGTAGAAATATAAAAAACTCCAGAATAAGGTAGCACCCTCAAATGATGTCTCATTGCCTTTTTCTTGGAAACACACACAGCAAGTTGAAAATGTGGATTGATCTGCCATATCTGTTAAATTATTAGTTTTTCTTCTTCTAAATATGATGAGGCAGTTTTTCCTTGGAAAAACAGTTTGTGTTCAGCTTGGGAGGTTGATTTTCCACCATCAGTTTCTCCCTTTAATAATTGAAAACCACTGTTCGTTATTTACATAAAACTGTCTTTTTCTGGTCTGCTTTCTATAACCTTTCCCCTCTTAAGAATTTTAAGAATTCCCTGACTTTCCTCTGAGGGATTTTCTGCCTGCTTTATCCCAGATGTGGGACATTGACTAGGCTGAGGTTTTGGGGATTTTATTTTATTTTTTTTAGTGTTTCTACATTTGAAAGATGTTCTTTTAACCAGTGCACAAATCTGCCACTGAAAAAAGGGGCTTTGAAGAAAAATCAAGTAGTTAAGAAAATATGTGAACTTTGTTTACATTTCTCACTTACTGAATGACACCAAAATCCCATATGCCAAATGAAAAAGTAGACAGTAGTTTCAGATAATAAGGGGAAAATGCACCCGTGTTATTTCAGCCTTTTAATTCTGGGATTTTATTCTCTGAATGAAGGCATGTCAGTTTCTGGTCCCAGTGGCACTGTGTTTGGTCTTCACTACATGCTTGCTGATGTCAGCCCAGGAAATACACGGGCTTGGCAGATGTTTACATGGCCTTTGTCTTCTCTCTTTCCACCTTCTGCTCACATAAAGAGGATATTTAACCTTATTCATAATATTTTGTCTGCTTACAGATGTATTGATCCTAATCCCTGGTTCAGAAATGTTAGGAAAAGGAGATAAGTTACAGTGAAAGAGGCTGTAGTAAGAAATACAGGATTTTCTGGTTTTTTGTAATGTCTACTCAGATTCCCAGATGATTGTTCATTACCAGCTTTTGGTTATTGTGGTTTATGTATTAATGTCTAAAAAAATATACCATGTGATGTTTTTTGCATGATACTATGTGAGAAGAATACCAAGAATAATTTTTTCCTTACTTGAACAAATATTATACATTTTCCCTTAGTCCAAAATTCTGTTTTCCATAATGAATACAATTCTGATGTAGTATGTTTAACTCTATAAAATCAGAACTTTAGTAATTTTCTTCCTAATTAAATTTTTTTGTTGTATTTTTAAAAATCTAAATTCATAAGCTTTATTTTCACATATGGTTTCTACCTCTTATATGTTTCCACACCTGTGCCATGTTCCCTTGGCTGACAGACACTTTTTTTCCTTTTTATCTCACGTAGGATCTTTCGAAGATGGTTTGGCTGCCTTGGAGATTTGGAGATCTGATGCCACGATGAGGACTCACACACGGGGGGCTCCCAGTGTGTTTTTCATATATTTGCTTTGCTTTGTGTCAGCCTACATCACCGACGAGAACCCAGAAGTTATGATTCCCTTCACCAATGCCAACTACGACAGCCATCCCATGCTGTACTTCTCCAGGGCAGAAGTGGCGGAGCTGCAGCTCAGGGCTGCCAGCTCGCACGAGCACATTGCAGCCCGCCTCACGGAGGCTGTGCACACGATGCTGTCCAGCCCCTTGGAATACCTCCCTCCCTGGGATCCCAAGGACTACAGTGCCCGCTGGAATGAAATTTTTGGAAACAACTTGGGTGCCTTGGCAATGTTCTGTGTGCTGTATCCTGAGAACATTGAAGCCCGAGACATGGCCAAAGACTACATGGAGAGGATGGCAGCGCAGCCTAGTTGGTAGATTTTTGTCTTGTTCTTCTTACTGTGGTAACTCTGCATTAGAAAGAAACAAATCCATATGACATCTCAGTGGCCAGATCTTCATGTACCTCTTTGTGTATGTGTGTGGGGGGAGGTGTTATTTGTTATTTGTGTTGCCAGTCTTATGAATGGCCCTTAGTTTCAAAAGATGTAGTAACTTCCATGTTTAAAGTTAGAAGGAAAATATTTAGATGCAGCCTAATCTAAAGAAAAAATAATTTGCTGAATTGAGTAAAGAGTATCATCGTGATTGCTGAGAATTCTTTCTTCCATATTCAGCATGTATATATTACTATCATCTGGTGTTAGGTTTGATTGATCCCAAGTAGTTAAAACATTTTGCAGCAAGACATTTCAAGTAATTAAGACTTACTTGCATTTTATGATCGTAAGGAACTAAATGTGAATGGGATGGGACTGACTGGCAATTTATAAACACATCCCCTCCAATAACCAGCAGATTTCTGAGACCTGTAGGAAAACCAACATTATTGTGTAATTGTGTGAGGAATTCTAACTACATAATAATTTAGTTTCGAAGTTTAAGATTTGAGAACAAATTCCTGTCTTTTCGATTAGCTTAAATTTATTTGATTAATTTATAATTAATGCTTCATATGCTTCCAAACAGATATGGGATGAGTTGATTAAACAAGGGATTCTACAGATGTTTTTACTCATGCAATTTTTAAATACACATTTATGGTTCAATTGCAATAAAAGAATTTACAGATTGATGAAATTTTTTTAAAAAATTACATAAGCTGCCTCTTGTCATAGGGCTAGAGAGAGCTCATTTTAAATGCTTAGAAAAAAATCAGTGAATGCACCTAATGCTATGATGAATTACATCTTAACATATCACAGGGGTGAAGGATGGTGGTTTGCAAGCTTTCCGATAAATTTCTGGAATTTTGTAATGAAAAGTATTATGCAAGAGTTGGCATTAAATCCATATCAGAGCTGATATTTTAGGCCTGTTGCTAAGTACATGTAGTCATTTTGAAGTTTATAATATTGTAGGTTGAAAAGAATTTTTTATTTGATTTATTTCAAAGCTTAGCCATGTATGTAGTTGTTTCTGACTTTGACTGACATTAACTGATCTTATTCTATTCTTGACACCAAGAAAGAAAAGATGTATGAAAACTTATCTGATATTTGAATTACCAGATTACATTATCAAATGCTACAGTAACTCACTGATTGATTTGTTCAATTAGTTTAAAATAGCAACCATATTTACATTATTTAGAAAGAAACCTTTGTCATCTAGAAGGGTACTTTAAAGTCCTTTTTGTTTTAGATAAGTAGATTTTGGCAAATTAAGAAATTGATGTAAATGTTCCAGAGATAGAGCCTGTAGAGAACCGTGTATTTAATCTCACAAGAAAGTAATGGACTGTGAAATACCATTTTTGATGGAGATTGTTTAGCACAATACAGTAACATGAGAATTGTACAAGACTAGTACAGTTTTCTCATTATAATGTAAAATATTTGGGTATATAAATACCAATGAATGAATGCTGCCATTAGGATGAGACTCCTTCTATGAAAAGAGAAATAAATAACTTGAAAGAAATATTATAATTTTTACATAGTTTCCACAAGTCCAGATTTATTGATCACTGGAGGTGTATAGAAACTTACTAGGGGTCTAGTACTTTATTCATGGCAATATTGATAGAAATAGGTATAACTCTAGGCCATTATCTAGTAAACTAAAAGCCAATTTTTGACTTAATAGAGCTGAACAGTTGACTTCTTTCTCTTGACCTTCAAGGTAAAATCTTGAGAATTTACCTTTACATCTGGTTTCTAGTTGCAAAAGTGAACTTGGCTTAGAAAGTTGAGCTACTTGAACATTTTGTTTTGGCAGGTACTATTATTAAGTTGTGTTGTTTAATAACTTCACAGAAATTTTAACTTCTTAAAAACTACCACACCCAACCCTTAGACTTTTAAACTTTCATTTAGATTTGTGGTTGAACACAATTACAACACAATTATGTGCTGTAATAATTTAAAACAATGTTCAGTGATTTTACAGTTCAACTACCTCTGTTTCAATTGCTCCATTAAATCATATTCTCACTATGTACCAAGAAGTACACAATGAGTATTGTCATTGACTTAGGATATAATTCACCTATATTTGATTTCAGAAAAAACAAAAACAAAAAACTAGCTGTTACTTACAAAAGAGATCAATAATTGATATTATGAAAGTAAAAAAAAAAAAACTTTCTACAATAGCTTCATCAGGCTGAATGCATTTTCCATTTTCTTTGAAGAGCATTTTTACTCTTTTGAAAGCCAGTTACTAAGTTATGTTCATTCACTGATTCATTTGATCAACAAACGTTTATTGAGCATCTACTGTGTATCATGCACTGTGCTAGGGTGCTGGGGATTCAAAGTTGAAGAAATAGCCCAGTAATTTTATAATTTTTACCTATGGCAAAGGGTACAAACATTGGGTTCTTAAAGCCTAAGCTAAGGATATTTTCTCTGCTCAGAATTGAGTGTGTGGATCATTTCATAAGGAGTTTCCTTAGTTTTCATTCATGACTTAAACATTTGTATCATGCTGCACCCTAGTGTGGTAGAAAAGCACCAACTCTGGAGTCACACTGCCTTTGAATCCCAGCTCCCTCACTCTTCAGCTATGTTAATTTTCTTAATTAACTTTCCAGATTAATTTTCTTAATTTGCGTGAGCATTAGTGTCCTGATGTATAATGTGGCAGTAACAACCCTATCTACCTTATAGGGTTGCTAGGAAGATTAAGTGCAATAATCAATGTAAAGTACTTAGCACAGTTCTTGTCTCATAGTAAGCCCTCAGTAAATGAGAATAATGACAATAATGGTAATTATTGATGCTGTTCTTTTACCTACCTAGTAATTAGACCCTGTTTGGTTTATAATTTGGTATATGTAGGCTCCAAGGAAATAGTATCCATTTAGGATTTTACTAATCTTAATTGCTCTCAAAACTAGAACATCTGTTTAACTCATAAAATTTTCCCCTTGGCTTTTTCCATTAAAACGTTCATTGATGCTCCCCTGGGCCCTTTTTAAAATGTATACAAGAATCTAATGTTAACACCAATGAAGAAGGTTTAGTGGAAAGTAACAATGATGTGTCATTTGTCTGGTATTAAAAAGAAGTGCCTATGAGATATACATGCATACAAATTTATTAATGGGGTTCATTTCATTTGAATAGTAAATAAAGAGGTTAAAGTTCACCTCTATAGATTCACTTAAGAATTCTGAAGCAGAAACGTTAAAGGGAAAATATTCAATTGTACTCTGTCCATCTAATAGCCTACAAAGTAGAACGGGAATCTCATAGATTTATAATTATAATGGTGATTGAAAAATAACAGCATGCATTTTTATTGTGTGTGTCTCTGAGTATCCAGACGACTGGGCACCGCAGAATGATGAGACTAATCTATATGCTTTATCTACTTTTTCAGAGGTGCTCGCATCCTATCTCAGAAGCTCTCCCCCGTTTCTCTCCCTTTTGCTAAGGAACACACATTCTTCATTACAGTAAAAGTAACAGAGTAATTTGAGCTTGTGCTGAACTTAGTTTTAAAAGTAAAATTAAAAAGGTATTATTTTAATCCAATATATAATGGCAAAATATTCTTTATTAAAAATTACAATGGCAAAGATATCAGCAATAATAATTTTAATTTAATAAATTTTATTAAATTAATAAAATTTAATAATTTTAATTTAATAAAAAATATCAGCAATAAAGTTCTACTGTAACTTTTCCCCTAGAAGATTAAGGAAGCATAAAATATTGTGCTTCAAATTAGAAGTAGCTGAGAAAGAAAAGAGGGGGGAAAGACTGGAGACATTGACTGGACAAGGAATGTGACAGTTGCTAAAAGGCATCTAAAACGCACCATGAGTGGGCCACAGGTGGACACTGAGGGGTTTGGTTGGTTGGTTGGTTGGTTTTCGTAGCAAAGAAAGTAGGCTTAGTCAATATTGAAGTTTACAGTGACTATGGGATCAGTTACTCTGTAGAACTGACTACTCTCTTGGCCCAAGGATCAGAAGGAAGTTTCCCATAGGGCTTTTATGAAGAACCCTCGCAGCCTTCTCATCCTTGCAGTGTACGTATGATGAATTGCACAGTGTTATTTCTTTACACCAGACTGACCTGAGAGCGGGACCATGCCTGTTTTGCTCATATGTGTATCCCTCGATGGAGGATCTCCAAAGCAAAGTTTACTAAAACCTTGATCAGGGAGGGAGTGGGGGTGGTGAAAAGGATGGATATATGGGGTAGCCCAGGCTACTTTTTTCCTAATCTAGCTTAATCCTTTGGTAGAATTTTGCATGTGTAGAAAAATGAAATGACTGCCTGTCCACCAGGCAGCCTCCCTATACCTTATGAATCTTAGCCAAGCTCTTGGTAGATGGGTTGCTATGAGCTTAACATTACACTCCTCAGCAAATTCTTAGTGATTTTCCGGAGCTAAAAACAAACAAACAAAATGTACTCAAATAATTATTGGAAAACATTACAGATCCTGAATCACTTAAGAAAGGTGCAGTTAAGTTTACCATATTTCACTTAATAATATGGGAAGATGAATGCATTTAAAAGAGGTTTAGGATAGGATTGTAACTGAGATCACTTATTGTTCAAGCCCTGGTTGATAACATAGAATTATACAGCATCCATTTCCAAGCAGCAGGCTTTTCATGGCTCCTTGTCTTAATTTGTAAACCCTGAGGAACAGGTCTGGCCCAGTGGTCTTTGGATCTGTCCTTGCATCTTGGCTCTGCCATTGTGTTAGCCACATGTCCTTTGACAGGTTCCTTACACTCTGTAAACTTGGTTCTTCATCTGTAAAATATGGGTTATTCCTCCCACACAAGGTCATCCCAAGGATTGAATGAAGTAATGCATATAAAGCTCTTAGCATTATGTGCCTGGCACATAGTTTTACTAAAAAGTTTGTTATTATTACACAGGAATAGTTACGAATATATAACTTTATTCTCGCTAGGTTTCTTGGTACACAGTACTCCATTTTAGCTATGTTGTCACTCTGGAGTTGTGTTTTTGAAAAGTATTTGTTGTGACTCTTTAGTTCTCTCTTTATAGTATTTTTCCTTACTTATCATCAGACAGAAAATAAATCACAGAGGAAAGAAATTACTTCACTCTTGCATTGGAGCCAGTTAGCTACAGGAAATCAGGAGAACTGGTGAGGGAAACAAAGAAAGTTGAACTTTTGGACAGAGAAGTAATTGTGTTTTTTTTTTTTTTTTGCAACAGACTGAGTATTAAATTCTTGCCTGTGATTGCAAACTTCTGGATGGTGTCATCCGAGGGTGTATTTGCAAAAATAAAATATAATTATAAAATATAAAGAGAGAAAAAAGGTCTCTAGCATATTGAAATGAACCAGTTTCATTGCTGTACGTATGAAAATGAGGAGTGTGCCTGCCTTGCTCAGCATTGCCTGCTGGGCTTCAAATGCAGTTCTCTGCAGCTGTTTCTCGGGTTTTTCACTTCTCAAAATTGCAAGTTAAAACTGAAAATCAAAAGCCGGGAGAATGTAGCTGGGCCTCAAACATGTGGAGCCACAGCCCTGTGAGTAAAAAGATCAGGTTTTCTTCTCATGACCTTACAGTGAGGAAGGCTGGGCGGCTTAGCCCAGAATGCACCTGGAATCCATTAAAGTGGACTCGTGGAGACAAATGCTGGGCTGTCAGAAAACCCAGCCTCTAATTCCCCTGGCTTTTTCTCATTCATGTTTTTCCCTTTCTCTTACCCTTCCCCCTCACTCTTTCTGCCTCTCTTTTTCTCTGTTCTTTTCATTCTGTGACCTAAGGGAAGCTATTCCCTTTTATGCTGCTGCAGAGACTTAAAAATACTATAGAAGGGTAAAATAACTTATGAGGCTTTTTACAACGATCAAATTATTTAAAATTTACAGAAACACACAGCCATTGGGAATTCACTTCTTGAATGCCGTTTATTAAGCAGGTTGTTGCCATCAGTGTTACAAATGGATTCTTGGGCAGGAATCAAGGTCAGGTGCCCTGTGGTGGGAGGAAGCAGATGAAGAGGACCCGAGGGAGAGGCATAGGCAGGTGTACAGATTAGTTGAGCAGCCCAGTTACAGTGCCATTGGACAGTTGTGTGGTGCACAGTCACACCCTAAATAGGATGTTCTGCTCACCTAAATTGTTAGGACTCAACTAATTTAAACTCTTCCCCATCTATTTCAAATGCAGGTGAAGATAAAGTTACTCTAATAATGCTTCTTTCTAACAATAACTTTAAAAATGTTATGACAGTTATAAATCATACATGATTGAAAGGAAATCCGAAGTTAATTTTCTTTGTAAGATATGTTTATTGACTCTAAGATTCAGTATTGGTATGACCCTCAAGTCATCTCTGCGATGGGTGACTCACTTGCTCGCCTACCTCCCGCCCTTTCAGTGTCATTTGATACCTTTTTAAATGCAACATGGGCGGGCTTTCAGAGTTGTCAGAGGGAACTGTGCTCAAGGCCAGAGGAGTTCTCGTCCCTCTTTAATTGGGGTATAAATCAGTGCCCCTCACCCCATATGAACAAAGGCAACATGAATATATTAAGTTTCATGTAGTCTTTACAATCTGGGTCTTAAATTTTTCTAACATAAAAATCTGGCAAGCATGATGTTTGAATTTTGTGGATGTCTTGCCTCATTATCATAAGGGAAAATGTTAGTTGGCAAGTGCCGCATGTATGTCTGTATTCTCTTTCATTGATACTTCATAATCACTTTTTAAAAGTTGGCTTTATTTTTTGGATGAAATATTCACGCCTAACACCACTTAAGATGTAGGGTCTTGCTGACATTAAGTTCATGCTAATGATAACTTGAGAGTAATAATGACATGAGTATGTTCATGGAGTCCTTTATAAAGCTGGGTAGTTCCTTTTACCTTAGGTATCTTAAGAATGGCTTTTTTACTTCTTTGTCTCCTTCTGCCATGTCCATTAAGGGAACACATTTCAGTCATGCTTACCACAGTCTCTCTCATCCATCTTTCCTTTTCCTTTCCAGTGTCAACATGCGAGTTCTGGACAGCACAGGAGGAGATACCATAGTCGGGGGCCAGATCATTGCTTATCCCACATAAGCCTGTGGTTTAGAAAGCTTTCTGTTTAGGATGGCTTGGAAGGAATGACTCAGGAAAAAAGAAACGGTTAGAAGCTTATAATATTAGTGTAGGAGGGAAATGAAGACCACAGTTAAAACAGTGAGGGTGGGGAGAAGAAAGTATAAATTTAAGAGACATATAAGACTGAAAATCTACACAGAGATTGATCAGATATAGGACACTCTTTCTTAAAGTGTGAGTCTTTCACCATATTGGGTATCCTTAAAAAGACAGATTCCTGGGTTTCGCCCAGACTCACTGAATCATATCTTCTTGGAGTAGGCCACAGAACCTGCATTTTTAACAAGTCCTCTATATGATTCTTAGATGTACTAAAACTTAAATTGTAAGGGAGAGGGAGGCATAAATGATGGCCCTGGGTGACTGGTTGCATATTGATACTCAAATGAGATGGAGAATATGGGGAGGAGAGAGTGGTTTGTGGGAGAGAAAAGATGGTTCACTTTTTTACATGTCTTTTTGTGTCACTCTATTTCTTCTATCTACTTTATTTGTCTCACTTTGTTGATACTGCCAACTGTATGGACAGATGACTTTCAAAGTTCTCTGTCCCTATTACACTGCAAGGGCTCATAGATAACCTTAGCAGGTATCTTGGTGTATAGTTATTACTATAACTTTTAGGACCTCTTGGCCATATCTGCTCATTCTTACAAATTCACTGTCTTCCACTTCTTCTTGTTCTGTGGCTTCACTGCTGCTACTATGCTCATTATTTACCCATAGTCATTTTTCTCTTCCCTCCCCTTGCTCTGTTCTTCACTCTTGCCACTCTACGAATGCATTTTGCTATTGGTGATTCTGTCATTTTTGAATGTAAGTGAGCTCTTCAGGAAAAAGTACCTTTGATAAATAAAAAAGATCAATCTATTTTCACCCATCCAGAGCTTAGAGATTTTTTACATTTTTTTCTAGAATTTTGTGATTTTTATTGTTTTAAAGCTTTTCACTGATAGGTATTTATGTGTGGTCTTCCCAGTGGTCCAGTTGGACCATGTGGCACTGGTATTTTCAACTCTGCCTTCAGTTTGGGCAGTAATGAGTTTGCAGATCAGCCCTGAGCTGGCCTTTCTGCCTACAGACTGATTTATACCTTGTCTTCCACCTTTCTCTCCAACCCTATCCAGACTGTATGATCCACCTTAACTTCTTCCACCATTACATGTTCTCTAGCCCCTCATCCAACCCAATTCCTATAGTTACTTTTTATTTAATTCATTGGTTTGCAGTCATAACTGGGTTGCCTGGTTTTCTGACCAGGAGTGTACATCTTCTAGATTCGGCTCCAAAGAAACTTCTTTCTAGAAAATTTCCAGATTCCATCTTCTATACCCACCCTCCAGTGTGATTCATATGTTCCAAGGAACCCATGCAAAACTGTTATAGGTTGTTTTGCCTGCACTGCAATTCTTGGTTTATTTGTCTCCTCTACTGGCACATAAGCTTATTGAGGGTAGCCCCAGCATTTTTCGGGGTTCCAAGAGCCACATATGGTATACCTGCCACAAAGACACTAATTAATTATATTGAATGAATGGATGGATGAATGAATGAATAATCTGTCTTATTTTTATTGAGAGTCTAAGCTTACTGAGAGCAGAAGTCCTGGATCTGTATACAACTTTGAAACTGATTTGGTGCCCTGCGTACTGTGGCTGCTCCTACTTATCTGGTCTCACTTTCACTCTGAAGACGTGCCTGTCATCAGCCGTTTGTCTGTCAGCCTGTAATCACAGAGACACTGTACCTTTGACGTACTTGGAGGCCAGTAGGAAGAATGTCAGGATTTGACATCTTGGTGCATAGCTCAGCAGAGAATCTCAGATTACCTGGTCTTTGAAGTATTCCTCCTGCACCTGGCCTTCTCTCCTCCCTGATCCCTTGAATTTTGGTGTTCATCTTCTTACATGCATGTAATGTCCATGTGTGCTCCTTATCAGGTAACTACAACAGAGTTTTGTTTTTATTCACTTTAAAGCCACCTGCTTCAGTCTTTGAAATGAATGGCGGTGCTGTTAAGCAAGGGGAGGCGATAGTTTGTTGGAATTAAGAGCAAGGACTGTGGAGCCAGTCTGCCAGTGTTCCAATTACATTTATGAGCTGTGTGACCTTGAGAATGTTACTTGACTTCTCTGTGGCTCAGTTTCCTCATTTGTAATTTGGGGATATATATGATATATACTTCATACTATGAAGGATTAGTTAATGAAACAGTACATAGCATAATGTGTTAACTATTATTGTTATCTTTATTACTTCACTTATATTTTGTGTTCTTATAAATTGATGCCAAAGGCAATTTTCATTTATCGATAAATGTATGCACATATTCACTTTATATAAGTTTACTGTATTTGTTTTTTTGTTTTTTTGTTTTTTGGAGACAGAGTCTCGCTCTGTCGCCCAGGCTGGAGTGCAGTGGTGTGATCTTGGCTCACTGCAAGCTCCGCCTCCTGGGTTCATGCCATTCTCCTGCCTCAGCCTCCCGAGTAGGCTCGGACTACAGGTGCCCACCACCACGCCTGGCTAATTTTTTGTATTTTTTTAGTAGAGACGGGGTTTCACCATGTTAGCCAGGATGGTCTCGATCTCCTGACCTCATGATCCGCCCACCTTGGCCTCCCAAAGTGCTGGGATTACAGGCGTGAGCCAACACGCCCGGCCAATATAAGTTTATTGTATACTTGCTCTGTTCTGGGTATTTTATTAGGCATTGGAGATACAAAAATTTCAAGACGTGTTATGTATCTCTTTTGCCTGGAGTTGTTGGTCTATGGAAGATATAAATACTAATACTATTAGCATATTAATACTAGTAGTGGGATAAGTGCTGTGACTGGGAAACTACAGTGTGTAATGGGAAGATCTAGGAATACTTTGCCCAACATTGGAGTGTCAGGGAAGGCTTTCCTGCTGAGTCCTGAAGGACAGATAGGAACCAGCCACGTGAAGGGGAAAAAGGAGCCGTGCTTGACTGTTCAAGCACAAGTAGCTGCTGTACAAAGGCCTGGAGATAAAAGAAAGCAGAGTGCTTTTGAGGAACTGAAAATTTAGTGTAGGGAGGAAACTAGCAAGTGTTGAGGCTTTGGGTAGAGAGCCAGATGCTGCCAGGCCTTGTCTACTATATAAAGGAGCTTGGACTTTTTTTTACAAGTACTGTGAAGCCACTGAAAGGTGTAACAGGGCAGTGACATGATCAGATTTATGTATGTACGTTAACCTTTTCATTGAAAAATAAAAGTAGAATATTATATGAATAAATGTGTAGCTGATAAAGTATTTTGACGCAAACACCCTGGTAAGTACAACACAGGTCAAGAAATAGGACTTTGCCAGTCACTCCCTGAAGCCCCTTCATGGGCCACATCCCAGTCCCAGTTCCCTCCCTTCCCACAAAGACTACCCTGATGCCCCAGTGCCTACAGGCGTCATGTCCTTGTGTTCCCTTATAGTTCATCCAAATGTGCATCTCTAGGCATTATCATTTAATCTTGCTCATTTTTTAAATGTCTTTTAAGGCTTCAAAAAAAATCTACAGGCCGAGCGTGGTGGCTCACGCCTGTAATCTCAGCACTTTGGTAGGCAGAGGCAGGCGGATCACAAGGTCAGGAGATCGAGACCATCATGGCTAACACGGTGAAACCCTGTCTCTACTAAAAATACAAAAAAATTAGCTGGGTGTGGTGACACACGCCTGTAGTCCCAGCTACTGGGGAGGCTGAGGCAGGAGAATGGCGTGAACCCAGGAGGCAGAGCTTACAGTGAGCCAAGATCGCTCCACTGCACTCCAGCCTGGGCGACAGAGCGAGACTCTGTCTCAAAAAAAAAAAAAAAAAAAAAAAAAAAAAAAAAGAAGAAGAAGAATCTTGTTGTGGGAGTAGATTGCCAATGTCAAACCAGGAAGTCAAGTAGGCCTTTGGTGTTTATCTAAATGAAAACCTAGAATAGGAAATAATTGACAAGTTCCAGTAATAAATAATTAGCATTCATAAGACTTGACAGTTGTATTTGAGGGCCAAAGGAGACAAAGAATTTTCTTTATGGGATGGTGGGATCTCTCAGTGGGCTTCTAATACTTGGAGCTATTGAGGAATGCTATAAATAATAAAGGTTTGGATTTGGATATACAGAATTGAAGTGCCTGTGGGCCCAAGAGGAGATATCCAATTTATATCTCTCAAGCTTTATTTTTAGCTGCTTCCTGTTTGCCAGTGGTACACTGTAACTTAAGAATGGGTGTGTGTATGTGTGTGTGTGTTGTGCGTGTGTGTGTCTCAGTCATAAAAAAATATATCCAATATGAAATATGCTTTCAGGTACAATATATATCCTTTCTGTTGATGATAGAAAAATGCAGAAAGTCCAAAGGAGATCGTATTTAGTTCAAATTATCCTGCTACAATAAATAAATGAAGAATAGCTGGAAGAATGAGAAATCGAGGTGCTGATACAGCACTGCAGCCACGTGGGTGTCCTCAAATCACTTTCTGGAGCTGAAGCCAAAGAAACATTGTGCAGGCTGCACTCTGGGAGGAGGGCATCAGCTTGAGTGAGTCGTGCTGCTGCTTCTCAAGTTGAAAAAGAAAAAAGGTTCCTGATGAAGTGTAGATAGCTATTAGGGCTTGTAACAACTTAGTGAGCAATTTTTAGTTCATATCTGTGATTCATTTACAGTGAGTTCAGTATTACAAGAAAAAAATTGGGAAATGAAGAGATAAGAATAAATAAAATCTGTATGTATTGCTAATATTTTATATTAACTTCAGCATCTTCCCATTCTAAATCATAATTTCTAGAAACCACATGAAGTTTACTATTTTACCTTTTTCCAAGAGCCTGTTGATATGAGAAATATTTTAAAGTATTACTGAAACCAGTTTGAATCTTTTGCCTTCTGCTTTTCTACTATAACCTGTAACTTGGTCAGAGAAGTTGGGACAATATGATTACATTCAGCATTTGGGGTCAACTTTTATTTTCAGTATAGCAGTAACTCTAGATCTAAAACTGGGGAATGTGTTTAATGCCTGGGGCATATTGAAGTTAGCTCACAAGTTTGGCTCATAATTTTAATTTATTTATTCTGTTTTTTTGGCAACATAGGAGATAACTATACCCCACAACATTTTTTATGATTCACAAAGAAAAGTTCTAAATTAACTTTTATCCACTGTACTGCCAAATTACTTTTTAAAGACATATTCTTTGAAACTGTATTCCCAGGACAAAAAATAAATATTATGGGTTCAGGGTGTTGTCACAGGCATTATTTCATTATTTCTCTTGAATGTAAGTGGCTTCAAAGACAAACAAAATTGTTTTGGAGGTCAAGGGATGTTTTTCTTGTTTTTTTTTTTCCACACCATGACAAATTATGCTTTCCTTCCTGAATTGACTGAGCCCATTTAGTGTCTTCATGCCTGCCCCCTTCATACAACACCATCTGCCCTCTACTTTGAACATTCTGAACTTCTCTGATCTCCTGGGTTCCTCCTGATGATCTCACAGTGAGAATTTTGTCTTAGTCCTGGCTCCAGACCCTCTGCTGGGAAGTGCCTGGGCAGCCTGGATTTCAACACAGCTCCTCCCACTGAAGCAGCCCTCCATGCCAGCAGCATGCCTCTGATGGGTGGCTTATTTTGGATCACATTTACCCTCTAAGACAGTGGCTTTGAAACTTTTTCACTGTGACCTACAGTAACAAACAACCCAGTACAGACATAACTTTTTTTATTTGTTTCTAGTTTTTAATTTTATTTTTGTTTCTAATTTTATTACACTGTTTATTTTTATTTCAACTTTTAGATTTAGGGGGTACATGTGCAGTTCCATAGTATGTATATTGTGTGATGCTGCAATTTGGGATTCAATTTATCCTGACACCCAGGTAGTAAGCATAATACTCAATAGGAAGTTTCTCAACCCTTGTTTCCCTCCCTCCCTCCCCCATCTAGTAGTCCCCACTGTCTTTTGTTCCTGTATGTCCATGTGTACCCAATGTTTAGCTCCCACTTACTAGTGAGAACATGCGGTATTGTGGTATTTGGTTTTCTGTGTCTGCATTACTTTGCTTAGGATAATGGCCTCTAGCTCCATGTTGCTGCGACGGATGTGATTTCATTCTTTTCTATGCCTGCCTAGTATTCCATAATGTATATGTACCACATTTTCTTTATCCACCATTGATGGGCACCTAGGTTGATTCTGTGTTTTTGCTGTTGTAAATAGTAGTGCAGTGGACGCACAAGCTGATGCACACATAACTTCAACTTTACATATATAAATATATAAATAAATGTTTCATGAGATAGCCCTTGCATTTAAATTATGCCTTGTCCTCATTTTCTATTTCATTCCGTTAAAAATATGCTGATTGCAACCCATTATATTCATTTCACAGTATATTTATAGTTTGAAAGCCCTGCCTAGCATTCTGATAAATACAAAATTTTTTCCAGAGAATCCCTACCCAATATCCTTTCTTGGACATCTCCACTGTGGAGACCATTCCACTCTTTAAGATGCCCTCTTTATTCTATAATTCTAGTGTTTAGAATGCTTATTCTCAAAATGTATTGGGAAGCATCTTTATTTCATTAAGAAACAGTACAGGCCTGTGATTAATGATTATATGTCAGGTTTCCGGGGCTGAATGGAATAAACTGTGCAGAGCATTATTTCCTACTGCACCCAGAGTAAAATCAGCCACAGTTCATTCACTGTTTTAAAAAGGCCTCTGGATTTTATGAAGCTCTGCATAATTTCAGCAAAACCTTTAAAAATCAAATTATCAAAGAAAATTATTCATAAAACATTAAAAGCAGAAATAGTGGGTAAATATATTAACCGTACTCTAAGAGACAGCAAAATATCATTTCACGTATGCTAGCTCCTCCAGGCCTACCTCACTTTGGATTTGATGTTTTCCCACCATGAGGGCAGCAAAAATTGGTGATTTGACTACGGTTTTTCCCATTGTGAAAAAGTGTCCCTCATTATTTTGAAACTTCATTCCTCAAGTAATTCTTTGCCCTTTTGCCTGCCGTGTTCTCAGAATATTAGGCAAGTGCTCTTTCAAGTAAATGGGAGTAACTGAGTGTTCAGGCAGCGACAGGAAGATGATGGGGAGTGTACGAGGTGGCAGCAATGGCCGGTCAGGTTTTTTAGTGTCGGTGTATTTGTTGCTAGGGCTGCTGTAACAAAATACCATAGACTAGGTGGCTTAAACCAACAGAAATTTATTCTCTCTCAGTTCTGGAAGCTAGAAGTCTGAAATCAAGATATCAATAGGCTTCATTCCTTCTGGAGGCTCTCTGAAGGAGAGACCATCCTAAGCTGCTCTCCTAGCTTCTGGTGGTTGTAGGCAATCTTTGGTGTTCTTGGCTTGCAAATGCATCATCTCTCTCTCACTCTGACACAGATAAGTTATTTCATTACAATATAGATCTGTTTTATTTTATAAATATGCCATAATTTTAATGAGTGGAATATCAAGTGTTTGCTCATTTTTTTTTTTAGGTGGAGTTTCGCTCTTGTTGCCCAGGATGGAGTGCAATGGCCCGATCTCAGCTCACCGCAACCTCCACCTCCTGGGTTCAAGCGATTCTCCTGCCTCAGCCTCCCTAGTAGCTGGGATTACAGGCATGTGCCACCACGCCCAGCTAATGTTGTATTTTTAGTAGAGATGGGGTTTCTGCATGTTGGTCAGGCTGGTCTCGAACTCCCGACCTCAGGTGATCCGCCTGCCTCGGCCTCCCAAAGTGCTGGGATTACAGGTGTGAGCCACCACGCCCAGCCTGTTTGCATATTTTAACAAGGCAAAAGTTATTGACAACTGAACTATATTGTATACTGTAATGACTTTTCAATGTGTGTACAACTCTTTGTTTTCTCTTGGATTCATAATAGCTTTTTGTTTTATTTGGTAAGTTTTTTATATGGTTATCTCTAGTGACCAGCCAGACTCTCACTCTTGTGTAAGTTTTCTATCTATTCAAACAAGACATTCTTAATAAGACATTTTTTAAAAATAATTCATCTTTTTGAAGAAGTAATGCTGCATCTTTTTGACATGCTAGGATGTGGATTGCTTGCAGCCAGGTCTGCTGTACAGCCATCTTTGTTCCTTTTTCTCTTGAATTGGATTCCTTGTGCCATGTCTTCTTTTTGATATACATCCTAATTTAGGTGGAGATATTTTCCACTGGCTTCCAGAGAAAGCATTTATGAGAGGTAAATTTTGAGACCTTGGATGTCTGTATATGTTTTTTCTTCCCTCAAGTTTAAAGGGTAGCTTGGCTGGATATGAAATTATAGTCTGGAAATTGTCTCTCTGAGTTTTGGAGTCATTGTTTTATTGTATACTAGTGTCTAGTGTTGCTGTTGAGATGTCTGACCCCACTATTCCTGATGCTTTGAATGAAACCTGATATTCCACTCTGAAGCATATAGGATCTTTTTTATGTTACTAGTGTTTTGAAATTACGGGATGATGTATCTTGTTTTGAGATGAGTCTGTGTACTGTGCACTTCATGGATTCTTTCAATATGGAAACTTATCCCCTTTAGTTCTAGCAATTTTCCTTGATATATTTGGATCTCCTTTTCTTCCCCCTTTTTTCTTTTTTCTTTCTTTTTTTTTTCCTCTCTTCTTTTTCACATGTTTAACCTCTTGGGCCAGTCCTCTTTTTTTTTTTTCCTCTGCTGTTTTCTATTTTATTTTCTTACTTTTTTTGCATTTTCAAGGTTTCTTCAACTTTTCTCCCCAGCCCTTTTATTGCACTTACCTTCCTGCTATTTTGTTTTCCATTTCAAGAGCTTCTTTTGTCTTGAAATTTCTTTCTGCCTGCATGGTTTAATTTCTCCCAAGCTGCATTAATGAGTTTGTTCATTTGGGTCTCTTTTGTCCTATTATGGGATTTCCACAAATCTCTGGTAGTCCTTGACTGCCTAAAAATGCATACAAATGCTGTAACAAATTACCACATACTCAGTGGCCTAAAACAGCACAGAGTGATCTTACAGTTTTGTAGAAGTGTAACACAGGGCTAAAATCAAGGTGTTAGCAGGGCTACATTTTATTCTGGAAGCTCTAGGGCAGAATACTTTTCTTTGCCTTTTTCTAGCTTTTGGAGTTCACATATATTCCTTTGCTTGTAGCTCCCTGCCTCCACCTTCAAAGCTAGCAACCTTGCATCTCTTTGATTCTTCCTCCATGGTCACATCTCTCTCCGACTACAGCCAAGAAAGGTTCTTTGCTTTTAAGGACCCGTGTGACTAGATTGGGACCACCTGGGTAATCTAGAATAATCTCCCATCACAAGGTTTTAAATCATATCTACAAAGTCCCTTTGCCCCAGTGGAAGGTAATGTATGCACAGTTTCTTGGGGGACTGTTATTTTGCCTGTCACAGGTTCTAAACAGCTAATTGCCACTGTGTGTGTGTGTGTGTGTGTGTGTGTGTGTGTGTGTGTGTGTGTGTAGCTTTTTGACTGCACTATAAGGTTGATAGTTTGATTAAATCTTTTTCATTGGGAAATACTTGGTGTTCAGAATCTTTAGATTTTTATTCTTCATTATAGACTTCTTGTCCTCCGGAGTCATGTTATATTTAAAATAGATGGTATATTTTTGATGTTGTGTGTTATAAAATTTATATTAAATTTTTATAAGATAAATAAATGTGTCAACTACATACAGTTATTATAACTGCTCAGTTCTTGCCCAAGCCAACATTTATATATTATATTTTCTTCTCTGACAGGACTGGCCACTGTCCATCATCCTGGCTATTCTTGCATGTTTATTTTTTTTTTTCTTAAAATCATACTGACTACTGACAATTGCTAACTGGCAGTTGTCTGTATGGCTTCTCACATGATCACTGGATGCTTGCATAGACATTGACTGAGTGATAACATCAAAAAGTTGTCCAGCTGAACTTTTTGAAACATATTTTACACATACAGTTGTAAAACATGTTAGGCATTTAAAATATCAAGCTCCTTTTTAAAATGGGTAAATATCATTAAATTATAATTTTCATGAACAATATAGGCAGACCTGGTTATTCCCTCCTATTGCCTTTCCAGGTTTTAAAATTTCTCCATTATAATAGATTCTTTAAGAATTTGTCATTAGAATTTGATATGTAAGTGTATTTTTAACCGTAGTCTTTAAGCTATGCCATTCTACCAAAATAGAGGTCTTGTTCCTAAATTTGAATAATTTTTACTTATCATGTTTCTTCCTCTCACCTTTTGTAGGTTGAATATTAGGGCAAAGTATACTTACTCAGTTAAAAGGGATTACAATTATAAATGTTGTTTGATTCCATTTAAATAGATTATGTTTGGGTGGCATGCTTGGATATTTGGGTAATAACACTTCATGTCATGGAAGTAAACATTGAGATAATGACATGGAAATGCCTTTTCCCATTTAACAGTACTACTCTACATTTTATTTTAATTAACTTGGTATATTCCGACACTTCGATTCTTTTTATTTACAAATCATCTAGAATACTTTTCATTTGAGTAAAATGTGTTTCTTTTAATGTCTGCTTTGGCATAATTGACTCCTCAGTATTCTGCTTGAGTGGGGCCAAGTTGACTTAAATTTTATATATTTTAGAATTTAATATTTGGGATATTGAATTCACAGCATTAAAATGAAATTAAGTGGTAATGTACTGCTATATTAAATCCAGTGATTTAATTAATATAGAAATATAGATTGTAAGAGGAAATAGTTTTTTACATTTCAGAGCTAATAAGTTATTTTCCCTGAAAAAGTCTTAATATACAATGAGTTCCCATTCTGTCATACCGTTCATCCTTCTAGCAATTGTTTCCAGAAAGGGCAAGTAGTTTTGTTCCCAAAGTAGATATTGAAAAAGGAAAGCTCATTGTCCATTTCTGTGTACTCTAGCCCTGGCCAGTGTCAAAGGTAAACAATACCGGACACTAAAGTGGCAAGGATAAGTTTTAATCAGTAGTAAGTATTTCAGTAGGAAAAGAGTTCAGCATAAACTGAACTGAACGTCAATTTGTACAGAGGTGAATAGGCATTTTAAAGGGAGGAGGGCAAGCAGGGGCTTAGTAGAGCCAGGAAAGAGAAAAATTACAAAGGGTAGTCAATGTACATGTGATTAGGCCAGCTAATCACACATCTGCTAAGTGGCAATTATCGAGGGTAGAATTCTATCCTCCCACAGAGACTGAAAGACAGAGACCCTATCCTCAAATGTTGACAGGAACAAACAAAATTTTTCTGGAAGCCTTGAGTTTCTTAGGCAGACACTTTCAACAGGGAGAGGGTCATCTCAGGGATATGACCTTGAGGTATTGGAAACTTGTTAGTGTTTACTCTTCATGGAATGAGGTTGAGGCCTAGCCAAGAAGGCACAGAGGAGCCTGGCTAGGGTTTGATCACGAAGAGAGTGTTTGTTACTACCTTAAGGGGCCCAAGGTTCTGAAGATGCAAACCAGAACCACCATCCCCTGGACCAACTCTACCTTAGAGTAGTACATTAGGTGTGCAGGCTCATCAGGGAGGGAAAGAGTTGTTCAGGAAATCTACATGATTGGTGTCTCATGTTCCTTGGGTGGGCCCTGAGCAACCACATGAGCACAGAATGGCAGTATCTCTTCTTCTAATGTGTGCCCCTTTTCTCAGATCTCATGCCTTGCTCTGTCTTGCTGTCATGAAAATGGCAAGGCTTAGAACCCTTGGACCCTTCTGCCTAGCTTTTGGTAGAGCCACTGACTCTGGCATGTTCTGGCTCAGTTCTTATTGCAAACTTGGTGACATTCTTTGAAAGCGCCGTTCTTCCCCTCACTAAGAAGGCAAAACCATTCTAGATTCAGATAATTCAGATAATTCTGGATTCCATTCTCAGCTTCACTGTTTAACTGTGTGGCTCTGAACAAGTAATCTCCTATCCAAATTGCTTTTTCACAACCTATAAAATGGGGACGGAATACCTAATGTTGAGTTGAGAAGATGAAATGACACAATGTACTTAGAGGCTTGGGCACATAACATGTGCTTAATTAATATGAAGTACACTCCCCTCTCCTTTCCCTCCCTGTGCATTTTGCTTCACAATGCCAGTGCTAACCTTTAGCCACCTGATCAAACACTTGGAATATGGACGCCAAGCCAGGCCAGAGATTAGCTGAACATTCCCCTTGGACTGCTGACTACCCACTCAGAGCCTCCTAGATCAAGTCTCTATCTTTCAGGCTTAATCTGGTCCTCTTGGCAGATGTCTGCCAAGACCCAATGTGCTTTACAGATGAGGCCTCAGAGGTGAGAAATCCACTTCCCTTTAGCTACATTTATAGGAATTCCATACCAAATTTAACATATTACTAACATTTAACATTCATGGTTAGTTTTCACATTTAAAATGGAGGGAAAAAAGATGAATCACTACTGCATTAGTCATGTTTTTAAAAGGAGTGGTAATACATGACTGTCTTAACTTATTGGAGTTTGTTTCCAAACACACAAAGGTGTTTGGTTGAAAGTTAAATGGTTTTCTATCAAGTTACTGTGTTCAGGAGACTTTTAGAATGAATAGAATAATTTACATTTTTAAAATAGAGTTGACCTAATTCTGGCCTATTTTAATGG
This sequence comes from Homo sapiens, assembly GCF_000001405.40. Lineage (NCBI taxonomy): Eukaryota > Metazoa > Chordata > Mammalia > Primates > Hominidae > Homo > Homo sapiens. The sequence goes on from NC_000006.12 coordinate 116,419,558, forward strand.
TGTGCCCAAGTGCACGTGGACAGAGGTGTGGCATATGTACAGTAGACACAGCTGCAGCAAAGCTGGCAAATGGGAAGCTGGTGGTGCACTACCCTGGTACTTTTAGAGTTTGCAATTTCTAAGGAGTTCACTGTTGTGTTCTGAATGTAAATTTATAATTTTTGTAAAGCTTGTTTCATTTTAACTTAAATTTGTAGTTCCATAACTATCTACTGTATAAAATCAGATTTTAAACGCAAATCTTCTACTTTATGAATTTACGAAGTAAATATTTTATAGGTTGGTAAAACTATAGTTATTCTGAAAATGAGAAAAAGAAGATGGATCATTTTATTGGAGTTATCCTCCTTTGTTGGAAAGGTCTGACAAATCATAAAGTCTCATTTAAATACACTTTAAAAAATATGTAGATTTGCCTATACTGTGGATCAAATTGTGATCTTTGGAGCATAGCTACATATGGAAAAGCCTGCTATAAAGTTGTTAGGTTCTGAAAAGTACTAGGAAATAGGATTAATTATAAAGGGAATTATGAGTTCTATTGTTTCTAGTATTTGTTTCTTGTATACTGTTGATTAATTTAAATAAGTATGAGTGATCTCTTGGCACATCTTTGTTTTCAAAGACCTAATTTCTTTTTATTGTAAGTGTTTATTTTAGCAGTATTTGTGTAAATTAAATAGACAGTTGCTATGAACTGAATGGGACCCTCCTCAAAATTTATATTGAAGCCCTAACCCCTTATGTGGAAGTATTTAGAGAAAAGGGCCTATAGGAGAGAATTAGATTTAGATGGAGGTCCTAAAGGTGGGGCTCTCATGATAGGATAAGTGCCCTGATAAGAAGCGGTGCCAGAGAGCTTGTACTCTTGTGCACTCTCTCTCACGCTTGCCTTATCCCCACACCATACATCTAGGACAGGCCAGGTGAGCACACAGTAAGATGGCGGCGGCCTTCTAAAAGCCAGGAACAGAGCTCTCACCAAAACCTGACCATGCGGGCACCCTGATGTCAGACCTTCAGCTTCCAGAACTTGTAAAAAATAAATTTCTGTTGTTTAAGCTACCCAGTCTATGGCATTTTGTTATGGCAGCCTGGGCTAAGACAACAGTATACAAATTTAAATAATATTCTGTGAACCTTGCAATGTTAAATTTTAATCTTTTCACAGGCAGTTATTTTCTATAGACTGTCTATATCAAAACTATATGAAAATTTTAAAAATAGAAGCATTTAATCACTTGCAGTTCAAATCTATACCAATAAAAATAGATAGCAACATTGTTTTTAGGGTTCCTTTTAATGGTTATTTAATCAAATAAACTGTCACCTTTTTAGTGATACAGACTTCTTCGATTGCCAACTATTATACTCCATACATAATATTTTAAAAAGCATTTATGATAATAGAAGCAGTCTATCCCTTTAAAATTGGTACAAAAATTTGGATTAATGAGACTGCTCAACTTTGGAAAAATAGTTATGGCTCATTCTTCCTTTCAGAATCACAACTTAATTCATAGACACAGCACATCATGACCAAACTCTATGCCTTTCCCCACCAACATTCCACCCTTACACTCAGAAAATCAATAGCTCTTTCCTGTGTTCAGATTAATTTATTTCATATAAATTCACCTTTGAAAATATTCAAAGTATCAGTTTTTAAACTTTTTGGACTTGGAAGCACTTTGTACTCTTAAAAATTAATGAGGACATCAAACAGCTTTGTTTATTTGGGCTGTATCTATCAAAGTTTACCATATTAGAAATTAAAACTGAGAAGTTTGAAACATTTATTTGTTCATTTACTCATATTTATATATTGTCAAAGCTCATTTCATATTAACATAAACATATTTTAGGAAAAAATAACTATATATACATATATATATATATATATATATTTTTTTTTTTTTTTTTTTTTTTTTTTTAGGTACAGGGTCTCACTGTGTCACCCAGCCTGGAGTGCAGTGGTGCAGTCATAGCTCACTGCAGCTTTGAACTTCTGGGCTCCAGCAATCTTGCTGCCTCAGCCTCCTAAGCTGGGACTTCAGGTGCATGCCACCAGGCCCAGCTAATTTTTAAAAAATTATTTTGTGTACAGACAGTTTTGCTATGTGGAACTCCTGGGCTCAGGCAATCCTCCTACCTTGGCCTCCTAAAGCACTAGGATTACAGGCATAAGCCACTGTACCCAGCCAAACTATATTTTTTTAAAACAAAAAATAGAAGGAAGGTGTTGTTTTACATCTTTGCAAATCTTATGTGTCTGCTTCTGCACTTGATTTGTTGCTATGTGTTTTTTTGGTTGAAGTATGTGAAGAAAATCCAGCCTCACAGGAATATGTGATTGACAAGGGAGGAGTATTTTAATAATCTTTTCAAATAATTGTGAATATTCTTCTTTGACGCTACACTAAAACTTGACTGATAGTGGTTCCATAAAAATTAATTTCAGTATAGAATCTGAAGCCATGTTAATGAACTCTTCATACTCTTTTACATTAAAATCCATTGGCATATTTTACACTTAGGAGTGGCTGTCTTATCGGTGCATGGTTTTATAACATCATGCCTTTGTTATTTTGCATGTGTGTTCACTGAGTTATTTCAGTCTACCGAATGTTGACACATTTAATTATACAATATAAAAATCATGTTTGTTGATGTTCTTACTGATTTCATCAGAAAAATCTTTAAGTATTGGTAAGCTCTTAAGCTCTTGGTAGTGGATGCAAATTTTCCAAAATTCTTATTTCCAGTTGAAAGCTCCAAGTTTGTCATTGGCAACAAAGGCTTTCAGCTTTCCTTGAACTGGCAGGCCTTCCTTGTTTATTTTCAAGAATATTTCTGTGCTAACACCCAAATTGAGATAACTATAATTTGTCAGTTGATCATTCTGTCATGTAAAAATGTTTCATGAAAAAACCGAGCTAGCTCAGCTCTCAACTCAGTGCATGACTTCTTTTGTTTGTAACGTTCTTGTACTTTGGTACTCCGTTTAATCACATAGGATATTAGAAAGATGTATACTCAAAGAGTTGAGATTTTATAAAGATTAATCACTTTTACCACTTCATCAAGGACATTTTTAAATAAAATTGGCTTTAAAAATTAAACAACAACAACAACAAAAACCTGAGTGCATGGCAGTGCAAAATCATACAAGGACTACTAGGGCAGTTTAGTGCCCCTGCTTGGATTCTTGCTAAGGTTACAGCAGTTTTACTTAATACTGCTTTTGTACCATCAGTGCAAATATCAACATATAACATCTTTACGTTATTATGAAAATGATTCTTATTTGTGAATTCTCTAAAATGTAATAGTCTCGGAAGCCCCTCCCTGGGCCTTACTTTGAGAACAGCTGCTCTAAGGGGTGAAACTGTAGTTTACAAAAGAGGAATAGTGTAAATATTTCCTCAGTTAACCTCCTCTTAACTAACTTGCCAGTGAACCCAGCTTCCATTCCTTGTGTAACACAGTAGCTGAATGTCAGGACTTGTAGGTTGCCCTTTACTTTACATTTATTTCTTTTCCCCCCAGTAGAGTTACCGGCTGAGCAAGTGTCAGCTGTATTTGTTCTCAAACCAGGTAATACAGTTTCCCTAATACCTGTAATGAGACAGTTTTAATAATACCAATAGATAAAGTGTGAGTTCAAAAAGAAAAAGCTAATATTTCTAGAACCAACCTAAAAGCTTTGGAATAACTTACTGTAAAAAATTGCTGTCATGATATAGTGTGATTGAGATTTGTAGAAGATTAGGGAAAAACTCATAAAAATCTAGAAGGCTTCTGCGTTCCCTCACAGGTATCTTTAATTTCTTCCTATATAATAAAGAAAACAAAGCTGGAAATTGTGGTGATGTGTTATGTGTGTTCTTTGCAGGAAAGAACAATGAAACTCCATCTGTAGACCCATATTCAGAGAATAGGTTTTGGCTCACCTTCAAAAGATTGGTGAATCTGTGTACACATGGATATATTTTAAGTTGAAGCACAATTCATAAATTAATGTCTGTCTGTTTTTTTAAAAAATAATTTCCCACTTCACCACCATTCACAGTGAACTGATTTATTACTGGTCAGGATCACATTGAATAAGATAGTTTCTCAGCTGCCATCCATGAACTAAGAGCAAATTTCCATTGGTTTTTATGACTGTAAAATATAGTCTCTTCCATTATTTCACTTTGTATCTAAGGCTGGGTAAGATCGTGTTGGTGAAAGATTTAGATAACTTTTTAGAAATACAGCTATTACAGGTCAGCTTTTCTAATGATATAGGGACAGACCTGAAGGTGCCATAAACTTTTTTCTTTTGGGGCGCCAGTGTTACATTGAATTGGAAACTGTTTGAAATAAACAAACTGCAGGTTGGGGCTTGGACATTTTCACAGAAATTTGCATAACATTTCATGAAGGATGAGAATTATATCAAATGTTCTGGTTATCTATAAAAATAAGCTTATTGGTTAATCACACATGTGAGGGTTTACTGGCTGGTAGCAATTCATTGACATCAGCTTTATCATGGGTCGGTGTATATAGTGCCATTTATAGATGCATCATGACATGGTACAATGACACAAGTTGGGAAACAAATGACCTGGCTTCCCTGCCTGGCCCACCAGTCACCATGAGTCAGTGAAGATGATATTCCCAACTCCCTGGCAATGAGTGTGCAGTATGAATTGTTTTTCTCCTAGAAGTAGAGAATTCATTCACACTCTCATAGTCTGTTTACAAACAGTACACACACTGGCAAGCTGACTGGCTAGAGCAAGGGAGCTTTGTCTGTTACTAAATTGCTAAGAAACTCATCAATCTTTTTAGCACTAGTCTTTTTAGCACCAAACACCGAATGGTAACCAAATGCTGAAATTATTACTAAATATAAAGGGATCTCTCCAAATTCCTGATTCCATAATGATCACATAATCACTGCCAGCAGTGTGGCTGACAGTGAGTTACAGGTTTGTTCCTTCACTTTTTCCTTCTTTCTGAAAATATTTATTGAGCATCTGCTGTGTGCCACACTGTTCTATGATTGGGGATCCAATTGCGAATACAATAGTGAAGAAAAAAGTCCTGCCCTTGTAGAACTTAAATTCTAGGAGGGGAAACATATACATAGACATATTCATACATATATTTACTAAAGGGAAAAAAGAAAAGGGGAATTAAATATTATTTTGGGAGGATGATGAAATTCTGATAGGGTGACCAGGGAAGGCCTCACCTAGGCCATTTCTTTAGCATAAACTTCTAAAGGAAAAACATAATCTGGAAGAGGTAGTCTCTCAGAACATTTTAAAGTATTTGTAAACTGAGGTCTATGAGGTTTGTTTGAGAGAACTAATACATCTTAACTTTTACTAACTTTAACTGAAATCCAACATTTCTTCCAATCATGAGTAGAGATAACCAATCTTGATGGTATTGGGAGGATCTGTAACAAAGTTACAGGTAGGTATCACAGATATTTTCATTACCACATTACAGTTGTTATAGACATCTCAAAAATTATGCTTATTACCACTTACAAATTATAGTAGTTATTATCCCTGCTATTAAATGTTGGTATTTCATGCCTTAATTTAAAAAAGCCTGTATTATTATTTTTTAAATATGTGTATTGATAATTATATTTCAAAATAATAGATTTCCATGTATCCTTACATATTATGTCTTACGAATTTTAAAACATTTTGAGAAAGAGGTCAAGGCTTCACTAGATTGCCAAAAGAGGTTCATGGCATAGAAATGTTAAGCTTTAGCTTCATCCCTAATTGCTTTCTTCTACCTCCCACAGGTACAGCACACTTTTGATTTGTTTCCCTCACTTGGAGATTACTCAAATACATCCTGAACAGATGGGAAGGGTTTTCTGGTTAATTCCTTAGAATTCTGATTGTGAAAGATCCTTTGTTTGCTTCCTGCTTAATGCAAGCCACACACTAATTTGCAGAATAATATAGCTAGTCAAACAGAAATTTGGCTTCCTGGAAAATGACAATGTAATTCTTTTTTTTATTTTATTTTATTTATTTTTATTTTATTTTATTTTTTTTTTTGAGACGGAGTCTCGCTGTGTCTCCCAGGTTGGAGTGCAGTGGCGCGATCTCGGCTCACTGCAAGCTCCGCCTCCCAGGTTCATGCCATTCTCCTGCCTCAGCCTCCCAAGTAGCTGGGACTACAGGCGCCCGCCAACACGCCCGGCTAATTTTTTGTATTTTTAGTAGAAACGGGGTTTCACCGTGTTAGCCAAGATGGTCTCGATCTCCTGACCTCGTGATCCGCCCGTCTCGGCCTCCCAAAGTGGACAATGTAATTCTTAACAGAAGATCAACTTTTAGACTTCTTAGAAAGATATTTGAAGGACCTTTAAGGCAGTGCAGTTCAGTTTATGGGAAAGAGGGATGTAAAAATTCTGAGTTAGAATCAGCTCCCACTCACGTTTGCCACGCTTCCCACCATGGTGATGACCAAGTGGGTCTGTGCAGATTGAGAGATCATGGATTATGGACCACAGTACCTTCGCATTGACCAGCTATGGGAAATAAGAGGCAATACATATGTTCAACTGTCTTAGCAAGGTGGCCGTAAGAATAGAACTGAGAGCATCTTATTCAAGTGAAAAGGAGGAGTAGGGTGAGCACTGGTTAAATGGGTATTCCAGAGAATTTTGCCCTGCCAACACATGTTCTATGCTTCAGATCTCTTTGAATATATTCTACTACTTCTTGTCATGAGTAAAAAAAGTAAAAATTCTCAACATCTCGATGTTGCCAGAATCCTGAGAGAGAAAACTGTTTACTATATAATTTTTACATTTTAGACAAACTTTACGCTTGTTTCTAATGTGGAGGGAAGTCAGTTGTGTGTCATTAAGCCCTTGGATTATATCTTCAAGTGTGCCCTTTAGTTCTGAGAAATAGACACTTTAGAAGTGTGGTGAAAGCTGTGAGTCTGATGAACTCATTTCCATGATTTATTTTCCTTTACAGGTTGGTGAAAGATGCTCCTTGGGATGAGGTCCCGCTTGCTCACTCCCTGGTTGGTTTTGCCACTGCTTATGACTTCTTGTACAACTACCTGAGCAAGACACAACAGGAGAAGTTTCTTGAAGTGATTGCCAATGCCTCAGGGTATATGTATGAAACTTCATACAGGAGAGGATGGGGATTTCAATACCTGCACAATCATCAGCCCACCAACTGTATGGCTTTGCTCACGGGAAGCCTAGTCCTGATGAATCAAGGTGGGTGTGGACACAGCCAAGGTGATGCCTGAGCTGACGGAAGTCATAGTTGCCATGTTGTGAGCAAAGCATTTTTATAACCATTCTTAGTACATGTTCATACTTGGATCCTAACTAAACCCATGAAATGAAGTAGTCCCTACAGTATCACTTAGTTAATTGAGGGACATCTCCTCCTTATTTTCTGCTAGTATATTAGCCGGCATGTTATCTAATTATGGCTTATGATGATCCCAGAACAAATCCTCACAGCTCAGGGTCAGTGATAAATATTCATTTTTTCCAGAGAATTTTGACAGTGAAGACAGCCATCCTGGAATAAGTGAAATTTTAAAAAGCTAAACACATGGTTGGTTATTTGAAATGAAGATTTCCAGCACACAGATGTGAATCATAACACCACTACTATTTTTTCCTCTTAATATTTAAAACAACCAAACTGGATTATTTACATCCAAATTGGAAGCAATTTTTGTGGATTGTGTAGCTACTTTGCTTTAACATATTGCATAATTGCCAATAATACATTTTCTTTGTTCTTTTAACTCTAAATTACAACTTCTGTAGAAATCTATAAATGACTGATTAAGATTGTGTTTAAGAAAAGCAGCTCTGAGATCACAGGGAATTATCAGAATATTAAATATATAATTGGAGATTGGAAATCTAACAGAATTTAACTCGATTATACTCCCCATAAGAATTATTAAGCATTTTGTTGATTATCCAGCATCGGATTTTACCCAAACCTAGCTTTCTCCCTTGTCACATCAACCAACCGTCACTTTTAATTAGGTCTTAGAGGAAAAGAAACTAACATTAACTGAGTATATGACATGTGCAAGTCTTTTTCCATATTTTATTCAATTCTCACATCAACCATATAAGGCAGCTGGGATTTGGACCCACTTCTGGCCATCCATAAAGTTCAATCTCTTTCTGCTGTATTTTGTTATCTCTGTCAGAAGGGGAATTCCATTTATAATAACTTAAGCAAAATTTAATTATGAGAGTGAATTTTCATGCTAGCTCCCCTTGTCCCCTACTCTCACAAAAACCTAAAGAAAATTAAAACATCAGGTCAGGCGTGGTGGCTCACACCTGTAATCCCAGCACTTTGGAAGGCCAAAGCGGGCGGATCACTTGAGGACAGGAGTTCGAGGCCAGCCTGGCCAACATGGGGAAATCCCGTCTCTACTAAAAATACAAAAATTAGCTGGGCGTTGTGGCGTGTGCCTGTAATCCCAGCTACTCAGGAGGCTGAGGCAGGAGAATCACTTGAACCTGGGAGGCGGAGGTTGCAGTGAGCCAAGATCCCACCACTGCACTCCAGCCTTGGCAACAGAGTGAGACTCAGCCTTAAAGAAATAAATAAATAAAATAGAAAGGAAAAGAAAATTAAAACATCAAAATGCAAACAATGTGAGAATCCACTAACAAACCATTTATAAAGCCCCAGGCCTGTGAAAAGACACCATCATGAAATGGTGAAAGGATCCCTTAGGTGAGCCAAATTTCTGCTTCAGGTCTTAAATTTAAGCTACTATAGTTTTATTTCCTTAAATAAATTTTTATTTATTTAAGGGAAGGAGTAGAGTTTATTTCTTCAGTCTTTGTAAATAACATTATTCCAAATAATAAGCAGTGACCCAAAATACTGGTTTGGATTGAATCAAAATATGTCATTTTGCCCTGGCAGGAATTTTCCTATGCATTTATTTTCTGATTAAAGTTATGGTGGCCCTGGCAGACACTCTTCCAGAGCCCCCACATAAGTACACACATTTATGACAAGACTAGACAGAAGGAGGTAGAAATCAGTTGGAAAGAAGACAGGTGTGAAATGTTTAAATGATTACACCATAGTTACAGTAACCCCAGAGAGTGAAATAAAAGATACCATGAAAAGCGTTATGGTTAAATATAAAATGAGTATATTAACTTGGAATTCAAGAAAGCAGTGTTCTTTCAGTAATTTTCTTCATGTAACTTTGAAGATGGATAGGAGAACTTAAGGGGAAATTAAAAAACATTCCAGGCAAGGTATTCGGGTGGCAGAAAAAAAATACAGGGTATAGCTTCAATTAACAGTATCAGTACCTTGTATTCACAGAGAGTTGCAGTTTACAAAGTATTTTGGTAGACATTGCCTCATGTCTTCTGAAGAGGGTTGTTGTAAGGAACAAATAAGGAAATTTAGGTAATGTGGTATCCTGGGAACAGTGATCTGATTTTAGGCATCAGTCACATTGGTATCTGGTGGGAGATGGAAGACACACAGGAAAAGGATGAAGATAATTAGAATTTTAAACCAGAATGGTAGAGAATGGAAATTGAAAACTATCCAGAATATTGACATATCAGGTATGATGCTGGGTGGCAGAAGAGGCCAGGGTATGATGATCAGTCACCTCTGCATACCCAAGCCTGACAGCTGCATTGCCCCCATTAGTCAGGAGCCAAGTCTTAGCCTGGGACCTATATTTAGGCCCAGAGCTGGTTAGATCTGGGCCTCTGGAAGCCCCACACCTGCCACATAGTAGGCCATGGTAGCGTGGTCAACATGTTTGTGGAAGTAAAGCAATGTGGCTACACCCACACCAGGAGGCATTGGGCTTAATTTTATTCTCAAGGGTTGCGTGTTTTAAAGGAAAACCTTAAATCTAAAGACCTAGGTTGAGATTAAAGTTGTGTTCATTTTTAGTCATGTGCCAGAGGTCTTGAACAAGTCAGCGTTTCTGTTTTGGGGCAATGATACATAATTGGGTTGTTAAAAGGATTAACTAAGATTCTGTTCAGTGCTGTGTAAGTTATAAATGTTATAGAAATATGAGGAGTTGGCCGGGCGCGGTGGCTCACGCTTGTAATCCCAGCACTTTGGGAGGCCGAGGCGGGCGGATCACGAGGTCAGGAGATCGAGACCATCCTGGCTAACACGGTGAAACCCCGTCTCTACTAAAAATACAAAAAAAAAATTAGCCGGGCGTGATGGCGGGCGCCTGCAGTCCCAGCTACTCGGGAGGCTGAGGCAGGAGAATGGCGTGAACCCGGGAGGCGGAGCTTGCAGTGAGCCGAGATTGCGCCACTGCACTCCCGTCTGGGCCACAGAGCGAGACTCCGTCTCAAAAAAAAAAAAAAAAAAAGAAATATGAGGAGTTGTTATTGTCAACTAAGTGCAACAGTTCTAGAAAGCTAGCATTTCTGAGTTAAAAGGTTTTATAACTTGTTATAGACTTAATTTTCAGTGGGGAGATTAAAATGTGACAGATGGAAGAATTGCTTGGACAAAATCATGTAGCTCATTTTTTGGCAGATTCAGGATTCCTAGTTGATTTTTCATTATTAGTTTGCCTTTCCAGTGGTTTCTCAGCCCCACTGTGCTGCCTTTTCAGATCCTGTGGAAAAGCACATAAAGGATAAGAGGTTACCTTCTAATGACAATACAAATTGAAGACTGTCCGTTTAGCGTTTATAATATGTGCAGCCTATTACAAATTCTATAAAATAATGATGCAAGTTTCACAAAGAGATAAACTTTTAAAAATATTTTCAAGTATTATATTTTTAGGAACACTGAATAAAAATCTTAATATACAAATCCTCTCTTGCCAACATAAAGTTATATGCATTTGTGATCTTACATGTGATACAGTTTATTAAAGACTGGAAAGTGACTGATACTCATTTAAGGGTTTCTCTTCATTTATAGAGTCAATAACTTTTTTTTTTTTTGAGACGGAGTCTCGCTTTGTCGCCCTGGCTGGAGTGCAGTGGCGCGATCTCCGCTCACTGCAAGCTCCACCTCCCGGGTTCACACCATTCTCCTTCCTCAGCCCCCCAAGTAGCTGGGACTACAGGCATCTGCCACCACACCCGGCTAATTTTTTGTAATTTTAGTGGAGACAGTGTTTCACCATATTAGCCAGGAAGAACTTCCTAACTTACATCATGGACTGTCACAACCTGGATTACAAGATGTTATTTATACACTGACAAGTTGGAGTTTTACAAAACGCGATTTGTAATATAAACTAGTTAGATAACTCAGAGGGTTTTATTGGCCATATTTTTGTTTATGCTTTGTCACAGGCTTTAGTCATTGCTTCCATGTGTTTTCATCCTTCAGGATATCTTCAAGAAGCCTACTTATGGACCAAACAAGTTCTGACCATCATGGAGAAATCTCTGGTCTTGCTCAGGGAGGTGACGGATGGCTCCCTCTATGAAGGAGTTGCGTATGGCAGCTACACCACTAGATCACTCTTCCAATACATGTTTCTCGTCCAGAGGCACTTCAACATCAACCACTTTGGCCATCCGTGGCTTAAACAACACTTTGCATTTATGTATAGAACCATCCTGCCAGGTATAGTGAGGAGTCAGAAGTGTGAAAACATTAAACTATTGTAATTTTTTCTGATTATGAAAATGAGCTAGACTAGGCAGAGAAATTAGGTCCTTAGAGTTTGTCATATTGAAATTAAATAGATTTTTTTAATCAAAGAAAAATTGAATTCAAGAGTTGCATATAGCCAGAACATTTTGGAGGCTAATGTGAGTATTTATGATTTAGGTATTATAAAGTTTGGAGGGTTATGGATTAAATACAATTTCTAGGCCCCTCAATACTTTTTTTTTATATATCCAAACTTGAGTAATATACGAACTCATCTTCATCATTGCAAGCAAAATATAAACATTTGTGATTACCTGTCAGTTTTCCTTTATATGTGATCCCTGATCAATCCTATTTTAATTTTTGGTTTTCAGTTTTTTCTTTCAAACTATACAGACATGATTCAAAATGAAAGATTACACCTACACATTTAAGTTGGAGCTTTAGTATTGTAATATTTTATTGAAGTAAATAGTATAGAAAAGTAAACAAAAAAAGTGCTGTAAAACTTGTAATTTCTTTATTGCTGTGTCATTTAGCCTTCTAAGAGAACTAGCTCTAAAAAAAATATATACATGATTTAATAATGTATTCATTTCCAGAGAACTTTGTAACCTTTTTTTATTTCTAAAACAGGACTAAGATGTTAGAACAAGTTATAAAGGAAAATTTTATCAGGATAGATTCCCCCCCTTCCCCAAGGAAATGCAATTTTTAGATGGTGATTCTAGACCTACAACAAATAATATAGTATTTAAATCTTTTGGCTCTGGTAGTATACATACAGATTAATAGAATCTCCATTATTGGACTAATTCAAAAATATTGCAGAGCATAAGAACCATTTTAAGATTTAGTTTAGACTTACATTCAAAAAAATACTGCTTTGTTGCTTTTTCTTAGACATGCAGGAGAGGCCTGTTTTGCAATTCATCCTAGTAAACAAAGGCTACCTGAAGCAAGGGACCTTTAAGAGGTTTCAGTGCTTTGTAATTTAAGCTGAGATCTAAAGGCTAACTACATCAGGAATTGTGTTTGCTGTGAGCTGTGTCTGTGGCTACTTCCTAAAGTGGAAAAGACAGTATGAACATGTCTAAGAGCAGCATTTATATGTTTGTGTTAATTAAACAAACTTTTATTGAACATCTGTGTGCCAGGCACTGTAGTAGGCAGAGGATTCAAAGAGGAATAAAACACATCTCCTGCTTTCAAGGAATTCACAGACTAGTAGAAGATTCAGAAAATATCATTTTAAAATAAGGTATACTTACAAGATCATTTACTAAATTATTAGGAACAAAAACATTAGCTGTAAATTACATAAATATAATTGTGGTAACATTTTAGAAGAGGTTCTATGTTAAAGCAATCTGTTTTCAACTTCATTTCTCTCTTTTTTTTTTTTTCTACAGTTGATACTCTAGTAGCAATTTTTTTGTCTGGCTGAGTTTTCTATCTTGCTGCTTCTTTTTTCATGAACACGTGGAGCATATCCAGTCTTACCTGCTTTTATTTTTCTTCCCTATTCCAAAAATGATATATGGCTTTATGATCCTTGCATTTTCTGTCGTTTAACTTCCAGCAGTACATACTGGCAGGAGCTACTCCGGGAATTAAATTTTCTTCCTGTAGAAACTCAGTCTCTCCCCTGAACTTCGTATATAGTATAACTTACACTTTATTGAAGCCAAACTGAAGCATGTTATTTTATTATCTTGGCCTAGAATGCATGTTGAGTTGTGGGAGAGCTAGTGTTCATTCCAGGTTCAGAAACCCAAACTGCACAAGAGGATGTCCCATGTATATATGCAAATATAATCACGTATAGCATGAACATTGGAAAATGAGGAAGGCAGGGAATAGGTGTAGCACTAATGTTACCAAGGACAGGTTACCACATAATAAATACAAGCTTGCACACAACATATGTGGAAGACCTTTTGAGGGATTCTGACTAACTGGTCTGGAATAAAATGTGAGGATTGTGATTTTTCTTTTATTTTATCCCTTCCATTACACAATTCTAATTTGCAACTAGATTTGAAAAGTCATTGTTTAGACCTATATAGGAGTGTGAAGTTTTCAAAGTATCTTAATTCTTTCCAACTTATTTCCCTAGGGTTTCAAAGGACTGTGGCTATTGCGGACTCAAATTACAACTGGTTTTATGGTCCAGAAAGCCAATTAGTGTTCCTTGATAAATTTGTCATGCGTAATGGCAGTGGTAACTGGCTAGCTGACCAAATCAGAAGGAACCGTGTGGTGGAAGGTCCAGGAACACCATCCAAAGGGCAGCGCTGGTGCACTCTGCACACAGAATTTCTCTGGTATGACACATTGGGCTAGCTTTAAAGAGAAATGGTACCCAAGGGTACTATTCATGCTATGCACTTGTTTTTTTGCATTTAAAAAGAAAAACTAAAACACTTTTTAAATCTTTTCTCCATGCCACCTGAGTATATGAAGTTTCAATTCAACTCATATCACTGTTTTTGAAACTCTTAGAAACTTTTCTTTTTTAAAAAAAAATTTCAACTTTTAGATACAGGGGTACATGTGCAGTATACCCAGGTAGTGAGCATAGTACCTAATAGGTAGTGTTAGAAACATTTCTTTATGTTTAACATCTAATTACTGTTTTCAGTTTTTGGTTCTCATATTAGAGCTGTCCTACACTTGCACTATTTCATAAATAAGCATGTTTTGATTTTACATCATTTTTTGAAAGCATATAAAACAAAACACAAAATTTAGACTAGGTTATTCTGATAATCACACCAAAAAAAAGGTAGTAAAATATTTTGTTTTGGTAAATGGAGCATTATAATCTTCTAATAGCAAAGCTGTTACTAAATTTTCAAAAGTGTTTAAAAGTGTTTGACAGTATTTGACAGCTTCACTTTGATAATAAAAGGACCGTATAAATTTTTTTGCCTTAATCTTTTAAGCCCAGAAAGAGAAGCTTGGGTCTCCTTTTTAAAGTATTGCCAAATATGTTGTTGGCATCCAATAAGTTAAAATCAAAATTACAGGGAACTGATTAATCATTAATCCCTGATGTCTTTTCAAGCTGTTGAAATTTGCATTCAACTCCAAAACAAGCTTTCTTGTGGTTTGCTTCTCTTTATCCTTTTTTTTCAAAATACAAAAAAATTAAGGAGGAAAAAATATTAGTAAAATGGTGTCTATAGTTTAACCAACAATTTAAGATTATTTTCATAGATAAACTAAACATATTAAGATGCAACCATCCTTGAGTTCTCTCAGGAGTATGACATAATTACTTAATAGTGTAACCCATAAATAAGTTACTCATAAATATTCAATGAAGAGAGTTCTATAAAGCTAACTACAGGATTAATAGGTCAGATTAATGCTAAGTCTAACTTAAAAATCTGCCTTTATAGCAATATGCAAACTGACCAAAAACTGAGAGTAAGATGGCCAATTCAGCTTACATCTACACTTTTTAAATCACATTAATTAAGCCAACATTATACTAGACCTAAGTAGAGATATAATTTCTGATGTCTTGAAACTGAGACTCTAGAACAACAGATGAAACAGTCAATATCAAACACCAATAAGATTAACTCTAGGTGATTGATTTACTTTAGGGAAAAGTACATAGTGCTAATAATAAACATTTATCATAAATGAAAATAAGAAGTCATTTATTGTCCAAGAAGCATGGCATCATCTGCAGATTAAAACAAAACCAAACCTTTGGACCTGGCTGGTCAGTAGTAGGCACAATTATAAATCCCTCAATATAAGACAGTTTGCTGAAACTTCATCCATTTATATTCTGAGATGTGGTGTTGGTGATACATTTTATCTAATATGTGAAGTTCTCCTCTATTTCAGTTTATTTTTTCAAGGAAAAAAATCTTGAGGGAGAACTCTTTTCAATACCAAACATTCAATAATATCAGTTACTGCAGAACTATACTTTATTACAACTCAAGGCTTGTTAGAGTCCAGATTCTAACATGGCATTTCTAGAAGAGGAGCCCCTCAACCAGAAATTTGGATGAAGTGCTTAAATCCATGAGGCCCAGTAGTTTGAATGGTCACTCTGACATCATCAAGTGAAGATAGTCCATGTAGAGATTAGAGCAGAAATCATTTCGGGCCCAAACCCAAGGATCACAAATGATAAAGAAATATTCCTCTTCCAGTCACCAAGGGTTTCCCTTTGTGCATACTGGTTGTCCTTGGATATTTTTAGAATTGTCCCTAATATACTCTGCACTGCCAGTGCTCTGGGTAGCATTTGTGTGTCGCATCTTCCACATTACCATGTTATGTGTTATTTTCACTGCCATCAGAAAACCATTTAATTTTTCAAAATTAATTTCAGGTATGATGGCAGCTTGAAATCGGTTCCTCCTCCAGACTTTGGCACCCCTACACTGCATTATTTTGAAGACTGGGGTGTCGTGACTTATGGAAGTGCACTACCTGCAGAAATCAATAGATCTTTCCTTTCCTTCAAGTCTGGAAAACTGGGGGGACGTGCAATATATGACATTGTCCACAGAAACAAATACAAAGATTGGATCAAAGGATGGAGAAATTTTAATGCAGGGCATGAACATCCTGATCAAAACTCATTTACTTTTGCTCCCAATGGTGTGCCTTTCATTACTGAGGCTCTGTACGGGCCAAAGTACACCTTCTTCAACAATGTTTTGATGTTTTCCCCAGCTGTGTCAAAGAGCTGCTTTTCTCCCTGGGTGGGTCAGGTCACAGAAGACTGCTCATCAAAATGGTCTAAATACAAGCATGACCTGGCAGCTAGTTGTCAGGGGAGGGTGGTTGCAGCAGAGGAGAAAAATGGGGTGGTTTTCATCCGAGGAGAAGGTGTGGGAGCTTATAACCCCCAGCTCAACCTGAAGAATGTTCAGAGGAATCTCATCCTCCTACATCCACAGCTGCTTCTCCTTGTAGACCAAATACACCTGGGAGAGGAGAGTCCCTTGGAGACAGCAGCGAGCTTCTTCCATAATGTGGATGTTCCTTTTGAGGAGACTGTGGTAGATGGTGTCCATGGGGCTTTCATCAGGCAGAGAGATGGTCTCTATAAAATGTACTGGATGGACGATACTGGCTACAGCGAGAAAGCAACCTTTGCCTCAGTGACATATCCTCGGGGCTATCCCTACAATGGGACAAACTATGTGAATGTCACCATGCACCTCCGAAGTCCCATCACCAGGGCAGCTTACCTCTTCATAGGGCCATCTATAGATGTTCAGAGCTTCACTGTCCACGGAGACTCTCAGCAACTGGATGTGTTCATAGCCACCAGCAAACATGCCTACGCCACATACCTGTGGACAGGTGAGGCCACAGGACAGTCTGCCTTTGCACAGGTCATTGCTGATCGTCACAAAATTCTGTTTGACCGGAATTCAGCCATCAAGAGCAGCATTGTCCCTGAGGTGAAGGACTATGCTGCTATTGTGGAACAGAACTTGCAGCATTTTAAACCAGTGTTTCAGCTGCTGGAGAAGCAGATACTGTCCCGAGTCCGGAACACAGCTAGCTTTAGGAAGACTGCTGAACGCCTGCTGAGATTTTCAGATAAGAGACAGACTGAGGAGGCCATTGACAGGATTTTTGCCATATCACAGCAACAGCAGCAGCAAAGCAAGTCAAAGAAAAACCGAAGGGCAGGCAAACGCTATAAATTTGTGGATGCTGTCCCTGATATTTTTGCACAGATTGAAGTCAATGAGAAAAAGATTAGACAGAAAGCTCAGATTTTGGCACAGAAAGAACTACCCATAGATGAAGATGAAGAAATGAAAGACCTTTTAGATTTTGCAGATGTAACATACGAGAAACATAAAAATGGGGGCTTGATTAAAGGCCGGTTTGGACAGGCACGGATGGTGACAACTACACACAGCAGGGCCCCATCACTGTCTGCTTCCTATACCAGGTTGTTCCTGATTCTGAACATTGCTATTTTCTTTGTCATGTTGGCAATGCAACTGACTTATTTCCAGAGGGCCCAGAGCCTACATGGCCAAAGATGTCTTTATGCAGTTCTTCTCATAGATAGCTGTATTTTATTATGGTTGTACTCTTCTTGTTCCCAATCACAGTGTTAGCACTGAAGCTATAAATTACCTGGTCATTTTGTGATCACAAGAGTCTATGCAAAAAAAAAAATTTCTTTACCCCAGATTATCAGATTTTTTTCCCTCAGATTCATTTTAACAAATTAAGGGAAGATATTTTGACACAAGAAAGCAGGAACGTGGAGAAATTGGAGCAGGAAAAGAAATTATCAAAGCAATAGAAATAGCTTGGTGGTCCTATGGTGTTTTTGGAAGTATTTGGCATTGCTAATTGAGCAGTCCATATAGTACTACTTTTAGAAGAAACAAAAAGTCTATTTTTTAAAGTAATGTTTTTTCTTATGAGAAAAAGGTTTAGATAGAATTGGGTTTTATTAATATTAATTTAATGCTATTAGCAATTTCCATATACTATATTGTGGAAAAGACTGAAGAATACAATTCTGAGAAATATAAAAAAATTTTAATGGTATACTCATGTTGAAAGATAAATGTTGCTAAGTCCTGGTATGATGGTGTGAGCTTCCTTGGGGAAGTACTTCTTGAGTTATGTAACTAACAGGATGTTTTACTACAGATCTGGATGGCTATTCAGATAACATGGCAAAAAATGATAGCAGAAGATCATTAAAAACTTAAAATATATTTTATTAGAAAACATTTATCTATGAATGAATATTTCCTTGATGCTGGTCTCTGCACACATATGCTTGGTTACTTGCATGCATTCATTGGTTGTTCAATAAGTGAGATGATTACAGATAATACTGTATTTTCCTTATATGGAAAACCGTTATAGACCCAATAACAACTAAACCTTTCAAAAGAAAATATTTTCTATTATGAATGTTGATTTTCATACCAAAGAAGATGGAGAGTCTAAAATTTGGATATGATTCTTATGTTTTTTTAATAGAAAACCTTCTTCAAGTTTATTTTCCTAAATAAACATCATAATTGTGAATTTTCTCTAGTATTCTTCTTCTTTGTTCCATTATATTCAAAATGCATTAACATTTTCCAAAATTTTTGAAGAGAGATCTTTATTTGGACGTGTATTCATTAAATATATAAAGTAGTGTTTGAATCAAAAGAAGTATTTTCTCTGCTTATTAACCTTAATTGTTGTTTAAGCATATTTTAAATATTTAAAACAATAGCCAATTCTGATATTTAAGTAGCACCCAACTTTTAAAAGCATAAAATTTTCAATCAACTCCTCAGAAGGTAACAGCAGCATAGAATACTAGAAAAATAATCCATAGTTTCTACTTGAGCATAAGAAAATGATATACTTAAAAGGAACTTAATAAATTATCATACATTCAGCATATTTGAGTCATATATTTCTCCTTTGAAACAAAATATGTTCAGCTCAAATTTTACAGTAAGGACACACTCACTGATTTATAGGTGTAAAGTAACAACAGTAACCTTTCCTCTTACTTGCTCTTTTAGTTCACAGCAATACCAGTATGTAACCAAAAGACAAGCTAGAGAAACTTTTAAGTACCTTTCTGCAGTTCTAATTTGAACCTTCTTGCATAAAGAAAACACAAGTTTGACTTTTAACTGTGCTTCACTTATTATGCTTGGAATCTAGAAAACGACTTCTGAGGAAGTAATTTTTTTCCCCTCTCATGGAAAGTCTCTAGGGAGGATGTCATTACACACTGTTTAAAAGAATAATGTTTTCAAAAGAATAATGCTTCCGTTTGTCCTGCATGGATGCTCTTACTAGGATTTAAACTTGCTTTATGTGACAGATTCTCCATTTACTTAACCTCACTCAACATTCCTCTCTTTTACTCTTTCTCACTCAAAAGGATGAACTGTCTGAAATGATCAAAAGGAAATTTTGAAAGAAAAAAAAAAGGAAAATTATTCTTTGAGGTTACCAAGCAAACCTGATCTCAGATCCAAACTGAGACATACTTTCTAACAGAGATGAAAAGTGCAAGTGAGTGCCAAACTCGCTTTTCTTTTGTTTTCATTAGGTTAAGGCTTGACAATACGTTAGTCGCCACAGCATGATCCAGTGTAACATATTAGTTCATTTTAAAGTAGTCTTTTTAAAATACGCATCTTTAAAACAAAATGAATTAAAATTATGTGTTTTTTTTTTTTCTTCTAATGAACCTGGTATTTATTTCCTTAAAAAGAAACTTCCTCAGGCAGTGACTTAAGTGGTTAAGTGAAAAAAAAAAATGCTGAAACAAATCACCCCTCTTCATAATGAAACATGTTTTTTTTAATCAGGGATAGTGCATATTTGAGTAAAACTAGGGAACTTTTTGTAACTTGAAAACAAAGCAATGTTAAATCTCCCTTGAAACTGAGTAATCAGTTATGGAATCTGTTTCAATGCTGCTCACTATGACAGGAATGTTTCAAGTTCATTTGATAATATGTGAGCTGTTGTTCAGGGGATTGGCAGGACTCTTGGTCCTAGCCTTAAAGAAAATTTGAGAATCACTAGCATACAGAGCTTGTCAGTGCAGTAAAAGTGGTATATTCCTGGGAAGCTGAGGTGGGAGTATTGCCTGAGCTTAGGAGTTCTGTGCTGCAGTGAGCTATGACTGTGCCACTGCACTCCAGCCTTGGAGACAGAGTGAGACCGTGTTTCTCTCTTTTTTTTTTTTTTAAGTATATTCCCTTGTTTATAACTGATTAGCTTATTTCAGTTGATGGTAGATGAGACCTATGGTGGTGGATGAGACCCAGAATTTTCAGAGAGAACATTCTTTTGACAACATTGTTTTAATCGTCAAAGTCAGGTGGAAGACCGTGTTCTGGAACTATTTTAATTGTTAAAATGTATCACCTAAGATAATGAATTCTTCCACAAATATTTTAGTCATAGTTTTTAAGTACCACGTATTCTAAGGTTATCAGAAAATATGTCTTAACAGAATGTTTTGCATACTGAATAATTTGTTTTTGAAAAGGAAAATTTACATTTGACTTACTCAGTTTTTAAAAAATTATTTTTATTTCTAGAGACACGGTCCTTTCTGCATCACCCAGGCTGAAGTGTAGTGGCGTGATCGTAGCTCACTGCAGCCGCAAACTTCCCATCTTAAGCGATTCTTCTGCCTCAGCCTTCCAAAGTACTGGGATTAGAGGCATAGGTCATCATGCCCGGCCAAGTTAAAAAAATTTTTGATAGTTCACAAACCACTCACAAAAGAATCTGAAATTTCTCCAAGTGTTAAGAGAAAGCAAGCTATGAAATGCTATATTTGTAGGCTTAAAAGTAAATTAGTGTGTTTTCTTAAAAATCTAAACCAAGATTAAAATGAATATAGTCATAGGTATGAGGGGCATGTAATTTATCTTCCGACTGGAGATACCTTTGAGAGTTAAAGGAGGAGCAATTAATTGTTATTCCAGGACAACAGATATAAATCGAGATTATACTAGGTGAACTGGGACATATGGTCATCTTTGTCATAGCTTAATTCAGGAAAAAAGGAGTTAGGGAAGTCTGAAGGTCTAACTCAAAGTTTGATGCTTTTTAAGCAAGTTTAGGGAACTTGAGATGACCTGATTGAGACCCCTAAATCTACAGATGAGGAAAGCAAGCCTCAAGCAAGGGGGGCCTGATCCTTTCCCTGTTCGCTGTGTATTCCCTGTCTGTGGCAAAGCCCATTGCCTTGATTCTCTTCTCTTTACTTTCATGTTGAGAAGTAGTTTCTTTCTGCAGTTTATTTAATTTACTGGCAAAATGACGTATTTTTTTTTCAGCAATGTTTCAGCTAGATATTTGCTTTATGCATGTAATGTCAATGAAGTACTCATAAGTTTTCAAGAAATGACTGATATAAATCATGTGTTCCACTACATAGTCTAAATATTTAGTATTTGGTCATCTATTTTAATATGTTCAAATTCTGTTAAACAAGACATAGTCACTATGTGAAGAATAAAAATAGACAAAGTTGCATTATGACTTTTCTTCTTGCATATACAGTTTCCCTCTTGGTTTTGGGATTTTTTTAATTGAAGTTTTATTTGGCATAAATTATGAACATACATGATTGAAAAAGTATAGTACTAGAAGCCTTATTTAAAAAACAAAACAATAAATTATCTGTCCCTTCCCCTCTCATTCTTAGTTTGTACTTCCCAGAAGTAACCAATTTCTAATTCTTTTGGCTGTTACATATATTGTGTACTTGTTTACAATAAGGTCTAAAACTGCCTACTAATGAAGCTTTAGCTCTCTTACCCATTCTTTATACTTATTGGAAGATAATAGGTGCTATGGAAGGAAAAGTCAGGGTAAGGAGACTGGGAAGAGGAGGCCATAATTTTAAATGTGGTGATCAGGTTAGGCTTTATTGATGTCTCCACTTCCATTCTCTGTGTCATTTTGAAAATCTATTTGCTGTTAATTTAATGGGGTTTTAGGAAGGAACTGAAGGAAATTTATATATTGAGTGCAGTATGTTTAAATGGAAGTCCCACAGCACTTTTCAGTTGAGTTAACAAATAACGAATGACAATAACATGTTTACAGAGCATCTACTATATGCCAAGTATTGTTTTAGGAACTGAAGATATGGTAGAGAATAGGAATAATAAAAGCTGGCCCTTGTATAGTTTATGTTCTAGTGGGAGCAAATAATAACAGTAATAGTGCAGGATGTCAAGTAGTGGTAAGTACTGTGGAGAATAAAGCAAGGGGAGGGGATGTAAGGTGATGGTGAATTGGTACTGTCCCATAAACAGTGGTTTCTGATGTGATTACTTATGATCAGACACTTGAAAGAAATAAGGGAATGAATCACAGGGACATCTAAGAGAGAGGAGCATTCCAGATAGAACAGCAGTTCGAAGGCCCTGAGCTCAGTATGTGTTTGGTGTATTTAGGACTAGGAGGCCAGTGTGGCTAGAGCAGAGTGGGGGAGGGGAGGGTGATAGGAATAGGATCAGATCATACATGCTCTCACAGACTGCAGCAAAGACTTGGATTATGAGTTGGGGAGTCAGTTGCAATGAACTGAGATGTGGCTGACTGCAGGAGGAATAAGTAGTAGGAAGCGGGTCCAGGAGGTTGTTTTAGCCATGTTAAGTTTAAGATACTTTCTAAAAATCCAAGTGGAGATGTACCAGCCTGGAATCCAGGGGCAGGCTGTGGCTGAAGATGTAATTGTTGGTGCCTTCTTAAAGGTTAAACAGAAATTTACTAGCTGTGTGAGAGGAGAAGTGCATTCTGGGTAAATGGAATAGAATAAAGAAAAAAGTACGAAAAAGCAAACCTGGTTCAGGAATTCTCCAGACTGGTGGTGTTGGCCCACAGGGTGTGTGATGGAGAATGGGTGAAGATGAAACTGAAAAGGCAAGCAGGGAGGCTATTGTGCAGGACTTTGTAGGACATGCTAAGGAATCTGGACTTTATTCTGCCATGAGGCTGCTCAACCATTTTTATGCCTCAGCATAACTGAGGGCTACAACATAACACCCATCACTCAACAAGCATGGCAGCGATTTTCATGGGATAGGAAATGTGTATGGGAGCAAAAGGGACATGGGTGAGGGGTGTTGATGATGCCACATATACCTGTGTGTATGTGAAACTTTGAAAAATCCCTGAGATGGCTCTGATATGCCCCCCATATTCCATATGTTTACTCCCTGGGGTGAGGTGGGGCAGGGAGGGGGTACCCTCTGCTTAGAAATCGCTGCAAGCAATGGCAAGCCATTAAAGAATTTTCTTTTTAAATAATCAGATTTGCATTTTAGAAAGGCAATTTTAGCTTCAGTGTAGAGAGTGGACCCAATGGGGAAGAGGTTAGGAGACCATTTCCATAGTCTGGGTAGAAGACAATTAGCTCCTTGAATAAGTCTGGAGAGGGAATGTTTAACTCCTAGCCCACAGGCAAAATGTGTGGCCAAAGGAATGAATATTTTGTGGAAGTATTGATCAGAAAGATAATGAGTCAAGGATCCCTAATGGTATATATGTCTGAGTCTTATTTAATATAAGAAGAGCATGGTTGCCTGCCATGGCTCTGCTGCCGTCACCCTGGCTATCCCTTAATAAGCCCAGGAAATTGTTCAAATATTTCTGCCATTTGTGTTTTCAGCTTGCCTTGTTCAGGGACTTCACATAGAATGGTATAACTGGAGTACAGGGTGTGTATGTAGTGGCGGGTGATAGAAAATTAGACTGGAAAAGTAGACCAGGCTCCAGGGCAGGAGGGTCTCTTTTCCTCACTCCATTTAATTTAAAAAAGAAATAGTTTCAATTATATAAGCATTGTGATTAATGCAGGCAGTTGGAGTACTTTCTAAATCAGAAAAGTAAAAGTGCTGCTCCTTCTGCATATCTCTAGAAATTTGTTATGGGGAAGTCTTTATCAAAGAATGTCCCTATGATTTCAGTAGAATTTCTTAAGAAAAGAGCTTCTAAAAACATTCAGTCAGCCCAGCACATTCCAAATTAAATAATGAGAAGTGTGTTTAGTATTTATTTAGGAATTCTTTTCTGAACAAAAAAACGTTTTCAATGGTCTAGGCACTTCCTTTTTCTTCCAAAGAAATGGTAATAACAGGACACTAGAAGTACCTTTCTGTGTAAAGCAAACATCTTGTCAGTTTTCCTTACTTTGTACTTTTCAGTCTCTGCTGTTTACCATTTTTGTCCAGGATCAGAGACCTCCAGTAAAATAAAAGGAATTTCTGTTTATTGTCTCCTTGATAATCTTGATTTCTAAACTCCTTTACTCCTCTCTTGAAGGTATTTGTTTTACTGACAAAAGAATGGATCCAGGTCATTTAGTAGAGTTCTGAAGAGAATTCTTAGAGCACTCTATATATTCAAACCTCCGTATTTTTTGATACAAAAAGGACTGATGAAAGGGAGACGTGATTCTTTTGAAAGATTAATTCACAGAATTTTTTATCACAGTTGAAATATCAATTGCAATAACAACTGAAAACTGATTGCTATTACTGAACACTGCCCTTAGGTGGCTCACTCTTAGAAGACACAAAGTCACTGGACTACAATCCTTTAGGGCAGGGATTGTGTCTCTTGCTCGTTGTATATACATGGTTCTTACACAGTGCCTGGCATTCAAAAAATGCATTCAGAAAAATTTGGTATTCAAAAAATGCTTGATGAATTGACTGACTGCCTGAATGAATAAATAAATTGGTGGATTAATGACTGAATGGAGTACAGAAGACTGTGGTCCCAGAAGACCTTAACATTGAGCTTGCTGCAGACTGAATGTTTGCCTCCTCTCAAAATTAATATGTTGAAACCTAATCCTTAATGTGATAGTATTAGGATGTGGGGCCTTTGGAAAGTGATTAGGTTATGAAGGTGGAGCCCTCGTGAATGGGAGTAGTATCCTTATAAAAGATACCCCAGAGAGGTCCCTTGTCCCTTCCAACATGTGAGGCTACAGTGAAAAGATGGCCATCTGTAAACCAGGAAGTGAGTCCTCACCAGATACCACATCTGTTGTGCTTTGATCTTGGATTTCCCTGTCCCCAGAACTGTGGTAAATAAATTTCTGTTGTTTGTAAGCCACCTAGTCTATGGTGTTTTTGTTATAGCAGCCTGAATGAGATAAGATAGAACATAGTTCTTATAATGAGCTAACATCACTAACCTCTCAGTTAGCTGTGAACTGTGGCCCTGAGAGATGCTCCAGCTAGATCCTAGAGCTGTTTCAACACTGTCACCTCTGAGCTATGTGGAGGCCTAAAATTCAATCTCCAGGACAGGGTACATGTGAAAGACAGATGTTAACAAGGTAAGCAAGCAGCTGCTTATATGATTGCTAAACACAGGGTGGTCCCAAGTGGGATCGAGAGCCCAGATTCCAAAGCACAACTTAAAATAACACACCATTTGTGTGAGATGTTGTAAACCACCAGTAATCAGCAGACTGTTGCTAAACTTCAGCCATTGCCCATAAGAATGCCTTGTGAGTTCATGACACTGTGCAATCGAGAAAGCATAGCCATGCCAGCAAAGCAGACTTCCTAGAGAACATAGGACAATGTGGTGTGGGTGTCAAGGGTGTGGGCAAGCAGTGTGGTTGGGAGGGTTGGTTATTCAGCTGGCTTTTCTGCGACACCTGCACACGTGGAGAGTCAACCATGGCACCTGTTGCCTAGTGCATGTTTTAAGAGTCTTATGGATGATGAGAGGACCTTCGTGAATTCACTACTGAAGATAGGTCATTTTTAATTAAAAAAATTATTTGGATGTCAGAGGAAGAAGTAGGGAATGAAAGAATATAATTCTGTAAAAGAAGTTTTGTTTCTTAAATGGTATGCAATGAGCCCACATGCAGGCTTATTTTATAAAATGTGCTAAAATTCATAAAAACATTGCCTAGTCCAAGTTTACGCCATTATTATGCTAAAGCTTACTAGATAGCAATGATAATAGCAGTCTTACTGAAGCCTAGCAAAGTTTGAAGAAATTTGTACGCATCTGCATACTGTAAGGAAAATAATAGCTACAGCCCCATCTTATAAATTAGGAAGCTAGGTTCAGAGAGGCTAAGAACTGTGACCAGAGACATACAGCCAACAGTAATTATGGATTAGAGCATAAAACTCAAAATAAAACAATGTCTAAACTTGAATTTTAATTATTTAGAGTGCTCAAAATGCTACATTATAATCATTAAAAATACTGAGTTATAAGCATAGTTACATCAAAACTATTAAACTTTCACCATAATTGTTTGCCTTTAATCTCATGAAACTTAAGTGAACAAGCAAAAAAATTGTCAAAGTAGATTATCTTTGTTAAAGATAGACTACTGGGCCAGGTGATGTACCTCACACCTGTAATCCCATACTTTGTGGGGCTGAGGTGGCGGATAGCTTAAGCCCAGGAATTCAAGACCAGCCTGGGCAACATGGTGAAACCCTGTCTCTTCTAAAAATACAAAAATTAGCTGGGTGTGGTGGTGCACGCCTGTAGTGCCAGCTGCTGTGGAGGCTGAGGTGGGAAGATTGCTTGAGTCCCAGGAGGCAGAGGTTGCAGTGAGCCAAGATCAGGCCTCTGCACTCCAGCCTGGGCACAGAGTCAGGTCCTATCTCAAAAAAAAAAAAAAAAAAAAAGACTACTGAACATCCTCACATTTTAGAAATTACTATAACTATTTGTCATAGTTTAGGATCCTGCAGCACAGCCTACAGACATCATAAAATAATCAGTTGCAAAACCAGACTTCTGCTTTTTGTGTCTACTCTCATCTTGCACCCAAACTGTGAGTCACTTTGATTGAGCTTCATAAACATAAAAGCAAATTATTTACTAATATATTTATCTGCAGTCTCCATCTCTTAATTTAGTATTGTTTCCTGGACTTTTAAGACTGTCATAAATGTTTGTGGTTTTTCAGGTGGTTGAAGTGAATGGAGTCATTGTAAAACGCTTTCAATCAGCTGACCAATGCTTTATATAACATAAACCTACTTTATCATCCTCTCCTAAAGAAGAGAAGATTTAGCTAGAATAATTATTAACAGAAGATGTGGAGATACAGAAGAAACTAGAAAATATCTCACAATCAATACATCTTTCAAGCAGTCAATCATTTGTCACTCATATTGCTTTTTTAAACCCAGCTTTACATGGAAGGAATAAATGGAACTCCAGTTTGGTTTTTCTTCTTTTTTTTTTTTTCTGTTAAGGCAGATTTAAAATTTTTTTTGGTTTACTTTTCATTGAATTTTGTCAGTTCTTGGTCGAATGTATGTATGTGTGTGGTTTTTAAAGAGGTCATGCCTGTTTCTTTTTTTTAACGAACTAGAAGTATGTATTATAGCATGTTAGAATTGAAAGGGACCCCAAAGATGATCTAGTTCAGCCTTCCCATTTGACAGTTGAGGAAACACTTTGTTTGGCATTTCTTTACTTTAAGGAAAGTTGGGGCACTGCCAAAATCAACACTGCCTGCTTTGAGTTTTCACTGCTTGTCGGACAAACCTTAGGTTGGGGGATTGGGGGATATATACAAACAGGGACTAAAACAAGCAACATCATGCCGTCAGCCATCAATCTGGTTGTTGTCTTATTCTTCCCCAAAATAATTTCAAGTCAACTATAGACACAAACACTTGAAATGTATTAATTTATTTATTAAATAAAAATGGCTGATATTTTGCTTACTAAAAATCTGATTATTTCTTTGGCTCCTGGTTAGATGAGCAAGTCAAATGTTAACAACCTGAGTACCATCGTCTATAACAAAACAGTGAATCAGCACCCTCTAGCACATTTCTGAGTCACTACTTTTTAAAAAAACCTTTTAAAAAATGTAACTGAAACTAAAATATTCTAAACACTGTGCTGGGTTTTTCATACTATCTCATTTTTAATTCTCATAAAATTGCACAACATAGCTTGAGACAGCTCTGTAAGTAGATAAAGATAATATACAATGTAGTGAGGTCTACTTCGTGTGTGGAAAGAGAGTTGTGGTCAGAGAGCAGCTGACTCTACTGAGGGAAGCAATGATGAATGAGAAGAGGCCCTGGATCCCTGGGAGCTCCCACCATAGTAGGAGAGACAGATCCCTGGAAAGGAATGTTGCAATAGGCATGTCAAGAACTATTGCACAGTTATTTCTTTTTAAATGGTGTGAGAGCAAAAAAAATAGAAATGCTAACTCTGGGGGTTTTGAAGATGACTTGAATGAAGAAGTTACATCAGACTGAGTATTAAAGGAAGAGAGTAGTTTGCCAGGTGAAAAACAGAAATGTCATTTAAGGAAGAAAGAAAAACAAGTGAGAAGGCATGGTATTGAGGAAGACTGTGATGTGTATGCACAGGAAAAGTAAGGGGGTCAGTGGTGCTGGAAACCGGGGTGCATGGGATGAAGTGGGGTGGAGATGTGTGGAGCAAGTCTGGGACAAG
Source organism: Homo sapiens (assembly GCF_000001405.40). NCBI lineage: Eukaryota > Metazoa > Chordata > Mammalia > Primates > Hominidae > Homo > Homo sapiens. The sequence goes on from NC_000006.12 coordinate 116,448,216, forward strand.
CTTCTGTGCCAATGTAGGGATATGGAAGTTGTCCTCTGGAAAACTGGAAGTATTGGAGGTTTTCAGTTGGAAAATAATGTAATTGGATTGCTGTCTTTCTCTTGCCATAAAAATTAAGAAATATAATCCTTAATGAGGAAAAAATACTAAAACATTAAAACAGATATAGTGTATAAAGCATAATTGTAAACACCTCTGTAACATATAACATTGTGAAAACCCTTCATCTCCTCCCCAGTCATATGTCATGGAAGCCCCAAAAATGATAACCACTGTCCTGATTCTTAATCACTTCTTTGTTGTTCCTTAGTTTTTTCACTTATGTATACATACTCAGAAAAGACAGTCTATTTAGACTAGTTCTGAACTTTTTATAAATGGAATAATACTGAACATATTCTTTGTGTTTAAGTTTTATTGCTCAATGTTTTGTTTTAAAGATTCATCCTTGTTGATATTTATTTATTTACTTTGCTATATAGTATTTTCTTGTTTGACTATTTCACAGTTTATCTTGTCTGTTGTATATTTTTCTTTGGTTTTTAAAATCATTCTTATGTTTATTTGATCAGTTTTTATGTTTATTACCAGTTCTTTTATACCAGCTTTTTAAAAATAGCAATTATGAACAATATGAGCTTTTGTACTCTGTATCCCATTCACATGGTGCATAACAGTCTCTAGGGTATACTCAAATTCACTTTTTAAAAGATTTTATTTTCCTATGTGCAGTTTTAGGTTCATAGCAAAATTCAGAGAAGGGTATAGCGATTTCCCACATACCTCCTGCTCCCACACATTCATATCCTCCCCCATTATCAACACATCCCACCAGAGTGATATGTTTGTTGCAACTGATAAACCTACATTGACACATGATAATCACCCAAAGTCCACAGTTTATATTAGGGTTCACTCTTATGTACATTCTACATGTTTGGACAGATGTGTAATGACATTTGTCCACCATTATAGTATCCAGATTAGTTTCACTGCCCTGAAAATCCTCTAGGTTCTGCTTGTTGATTCCTCTTGCCCCACAACTTCAGGCAAACACTGATTATTTTACTGTCTTTAGAGTTTTGCCTTTTCCAGAATAGTTGTAATTATACAGTATGTAGCCTTTTCAGATTGGCTTCTTTCACTTAGTAATATGCATTTGTTTCTTTCATGTCTCTTCATGGCTTGATAGCTCATTTCTCTTTAGCATTGAACAATACTCCATTGTCTGGATGTGCGATAGTTTATTTACCATTTATCCATTCACCTACTGATGGACATCTTGGTTGCTTCTAACTTTTGGCAATTACAAGTAAAGCTGCTATAAACATCCATTTGCAAGTTTTCGTGTGGGCATAAGTTTTCAACTCAATTGAAATATCAATTGGTATCAATTGGATAGATACCAAAGAGCATGATTGCTGGATCATATCGTAAGAGTATTTTAGTATTGTAAGAAACTGCCAAACTGCCTTCCAAAGTGGCTGCACCATTTTTCATCCCCACCAACAACAAATGACATATTCATTTTTCAGGAAGTTAACTCTGACAGGACTGAGTGGCATAAACTGCAGTGAGGTGATGTAATGAGAATGTGGACCACATTCAGTGAGGTTGGAGAGGAGAGGTCCACACTGAGGGGTGGACCTGAAGCAGACTTAAGCTGCACAAGAAATGGAGTGGCATCACCAGTGACCCTGAGTTTTCTAGCTTGAAAGATTAATATCCTTATCTGACATCAAAATTCAGGAAAAATAAGTTGTAACATAAGCTGAGTTCTATATTATGTTTGAAATGATTGCTAAACAAATAAGTGAAGATATCTTCTAGGCAGTTAAAAATGCCCATGTAGAACTTAGGAAAGGGAGATGAATATTTGGAAATGTTAACACAGAGTTGGTTGTTGAAGCCCTAGGAAAAGAGAATAATATCATTACCAACACTTTTGAGCATTTGCTATGTGCCAGGCACTATTAGAAGAATGTTGTATGTTTCAACTCTTAATTTTCACAACAACCCAATGAGGCAGATAATATTATTTTCATATTACAGATAACTGAGGCACAGAGAGATCTACTACCTTGCTTAAGGTCACATGTCTAGTCTGTGGTGGTGCCAAGAGGAGATTATTCAGGGTGTGTATGTGGAAAGTACCCAATTTTAGTGAGTACCAATATTAATGGTTGGGAGGAGGAGGGAGAGCCTATGAAGGAGGCTTGGATGAATAGTCAGGGAGTCTGGAGGAGAGCCAGAGAGTGTTATTAGCAGCCAAACTTAAATTACCTTAATCAGGTAAGTACTGCAGGTGCCTGGCACTACCAGAGGAGGTCAGGTATCATGCCAAAGTAGAGTCACAGATCGTCAAGCTCTGAATCTACCTGTGAATGAAACTTATTCAAGATTGGTTCATTGCTTCCAAGATAGGAGGTGAACTTTTTTTTTTTTAACTTTTAAAATAAATCTAAAAGTAAAATATAAAAAAAAAATTCTTGCCCTTGGGTTGCTTTCTCAGTTAAAGTAAAAAGAAAAATCCCTCCCATAAATAATTCAGTTATGTGTGGGTATGGAAAGATAGTGGACAATGGGGAGTGGGGCTAGTGGGGAAGAGAACTGTGCTGAGTAAACAAGACAAAAGCAGTTGAGCTGAGTGGGAAGGAGAACAGGAAGAAGTCTGGGACAGTCCCTGTTCTGCCCAGGCCTGCACCTCCACCATCCCCCGCTGTGGCTTGGTGACTCTGATTAAAGTGGATGGGAGTAGGTGTCCAGGTGGCCCTTCAGCTGCACCTGGAACCTAACCCATGACCTTGTTTGTTGCTGGTGTTGCCTTGTTCCTCCGTGGATAAGCTACCTACTGTTTTCCACAGGGTTGGCAATTCAAGATTCCTTACGTTATTCTGAGCTGTGTGATGTGCTCAGACCGGCATGGCCTGTGCAGAAGGGCTCACATTCTAAGCTGAATAAAATAGGAATGGTGCTGGCTCTGCAGTAGGAGAAGAGAAAATCTAAGCCTGCTTCTCATTCATTCATTCATCGATTCACTCACTGTTCCCACAAATATGTACTGAACACCTACAAAGTCCTAGGCACTATGCCAAGACCTGTGTAACTGAAAGAGGATTAAGTCAGGTGTTATCCATGCCCTCTTGGAATGTATAATCTAGTGGAGGAGACGAACAAAAATTAACAAGCAACAAATGAAAGATAAAACTCCTACATGTAATAAGGAAAAAATGCAGCTAAGAAAGGTGAAGGGGTGGATGGGGAACTGTTTAGAAAGACTGGTCATAGAAGATGTGGTGGAGACTTCCTGTACTCGTCCATGTCAGGTTCTCTGCCTTTAAGGCATGGGAAAGAACCATACTTCCTCTTTCCATTGCAGTTCGGTGAAACCTTGTGGCTAGTTCTGAACAGATATTGGTATTTGAAGCAGGGTGCTTTATTAATTTAAAAACCCTAAAATATGTGGCATGGGCTTCGCAGTTCAGTGGTGGACAGCATAGAAATTGATAATGGAGGCTAGATAGATGACAATTCTTGTTATGTGGTGGTTGGTAAAGCCAACTTCTGTATTAACTTGGAGGAAGATTATGTAGCTAAAGAAAATAAGACTCTAAGGGAAAGGATTGGAAAATAATGTGTCTACTGTGTGTTAGCAACTACTATTTTTTTAAAGGAATATAAAATTATTTATTAACCACTGTTCACCAGTATTTACAATAAAGTAAACAATATACAGTTGAATAACATTCTGATTACTACAAAGTTGTTCTTCCTGGCTTTTGCTGAACCAGTAAAGCAAAGTGAAGATTGAGCCTACATGTAAGGAATGAGTTGGGGTAAAGAAAAAACATGCAGGTCAATAGGTTAGATTACAAAAGGTTGTTCACACATTTGTAGCAGCAGGTCCTAAACTGCCAACATCTCTAACCATCTGATCAGGTTTCTATGAGCCAAGTCTTACATATTCCATTCATCATTACCTTTTAGTCAATGTAGTAACAGGGATTTCAACATTTTGTTAGGGAATGGCACACTAGGGAAATTTTTTAATGTTCATTTAATTTAGTTTTGTTTAGCTAGTTAAAACACACTAGCATTTGTCTAGTTTCCTCATCTGGATGAGGAAAACTGCTGTGATGGCAGTGATAAAATTTTTCCTTTTAGGAATTTTGCAAATAAACCACTGCAATTATAGATGATTTAAAATTATCCAATTTAAATTGTCCTATTTAGAATTACTTATTTCACTTGAAATGCATGGCTTCAGGAAAATTTTCAATTTAACTTGAAGTGATTATCTCTTATTTTGCTCGGAATAATGGCATCTCAGAAACATGGGCTTACCTGTGATTTTTTTGTTTGTGTGAATGCTCAAAAACAAACAAACAAAAAATTCACATATGCATTTTATGGATACACACACAAAAAAAAAACATGTAAAAAATCTAGAATGGTCCTTAGGCTTATGAGAACACAAGTTTTGATTGAGTAATGACTACGGACATTTCCCCCAACATTTAGAGAAGCTGTTCTTTAATGAAGAGGAAATAATATACCATGGTATCAAATGTTCTTTTCTGATAGAGGAAGCAACTATAGAAAGCTTTTGTTTGTTCAAAGTAACCAGTGCTATGGATTCAAAAAACCCCCCAGCAACTCTTCCAACGCTACTTTCAAAATGAACATATCAAACTTGATTTTCATTAGGATGTAGTTATTTCATCACACTAGTAAATCAAAATCCAAGACCCAAATTTTATATATATTATAAATATATATAAAAAAACAATGTGAACAATTATTGAGCTTCATCTTCTGGACAAGAATGCCAAGTTAGTCTCTCTTCATAAAAAGCAATTACAATTTGAGGACACTTCATACTTGCTTCTTTTGCCAGCACCAAGTCTGCCTCATCTGAATCTTTCCATTTCATGAGAAACATCAATTCTCCACTGCTGTCTGTGGCACCAATTATTCTTTCAGGATCAAGACCTCTGGCAAATCCTCTTGGTTTGTCAGCAGCATCTGTTTTCTTCTTTGATTTGCTGTCATCAGATTCACTGTCAGATAAAGATTTTCTTTTTTACCATCTTTTTGTTTGCCAGCTTTCTGAGAGCTAAGAAATGCTTCAATCAATTCTGGACAATCTAAATTTTCTTCAGGTTCCCAAGTATTGTCAGCATCTGTAAATCCCTTCCACTTCAGGAAATATTCCACTTTCCCATTCACTACACGTCAATCTAGTACTTTTTCCACCACAAATTCTTCAGGCTCTGCCTCTTCAACTTTTTACTTTTCCCATTCTGTTTTTTTTCCCCATTTTTCACAATGTAGTTTTATTGGAGGCCATTTTTTATAGCAGACTTGATGAGATATTATTCACCGCCTCCGAACTGCTCCGGGTCGCAGGTCTGCAGCATCTCTGGCCCTGCGCGCCTACCACTACTAGCTATTTTTTTTTTTTTGACAAGGCTTTTTTAACTCAAGAAAAGAATTGGTTGCTTTGTTAACAAATATGAGAAGGAATGGAACTATTTCAGAAAATTGGGGCCTTGCAAAATTGCAAATTCTAACAGGTTTTAAACTCCAAATACTAAGTCAGAAATTGAGAAAGCCTTGAAAGATGAAGCCCATTAAAATAACCTGTGGATAGGTAAAATTAAAAGTATGTTGTCTCTACCTATGATAATGCCTTTCAATAGATTAAGGAATTTCAGGGCAGATAAAATTAAGGTATTCAATTGGATAAATACACACGGCAAAGATCAAATTAAAGTTGTGGCTTTTCCACAGAAAATCATAGACTCATGTATATGCAGGATACCAGTAATGGCAAGAGAGAGATAAAGATAGAGAGACATGAAGAGCTAGATAGAGAGGGAGGAAGAGACAGAGGAAGGTAGGATAGATAGGAGGACCAGGGAAAGAGGGACAGAGAGACAGAGAGGGAGAGAGAGAGAGACACGGAGGATGGGGCAAGAAAGCAAAATGATAGAGTATATCTGAGAACCATGTCTTGGAAAGAATGGTGGATATTGGCAAATACTGTTTACTGGAATCAAAGAAATAAGAAGCTTACTAAATTACCACTTGGCAAAAGCCATAAAAGTTCCTACCTTGAGTATACAGAAATGTTCCTTGATTTTCAGGATTCCACTCTCTGGAGGGTCTTCTGTTATCTTCCTTTGCCATGTACTAATGGGCATATATTCGTCTTGGGGACTGTGTAATTCTCTTAGTGCGTGTCCTTCTTATGTAATGTCAGAAGACCATAGGTCTACTTGGGCTTGTGATTCCTTTGACTGTAAATCTCTCCCAAATTTTAGTAAGCTTCTTATCTCTTTGATTCCAGCAAGCTGTATTTGTCAATAGCCACAGTTCTGAGCTATATTTGTCAATAGCCACAGTTCTTTTCAATACATGATTCCATTCTTCTGCTTTCTTGAAAAGTAAATTTTCTGTTGTATACAAATGGATTGCATGAAATGTTCTTGCTTATTTTCCAATTAGTATGTCTTCCATGTCTTTTCATCCATACCAGCACATACAGATCTACCTCAATGGTATGGATCTACTTTGTATTCTATGCACCAATACTACATAACTTATTTAAATAGTACTCTACAACTTGACACTGTAGCAAGTTTCAAGTGATGCATTCTTTTTGGGAAGATCTTCCATGACAGTTTATGCTCTCCACAGAGTTCATTTAAATTTCTGAGATTTTATAATAGTGTCATCTATAATTTGAAGAACTCAAAATTTTGTTTTATTGTTATTTTTATTTTCTTCATTCTTATTCTTTAATCTTGTTATTTATTATTGTTTTCTTTGGAAATTCATATCTTTGATCATATATCATAAATTAGTAAAGGAAATTTGAGTTCAGGAGAACTGGGATTGTGACGATAAGTGCCCATTGACAACAAAGCTCCATCACACATTATCACACATTGTGCTCTGCAGCTCTCATAAGAATGCAGACTAATGACATGACCCTGCTTGGAATGTGACTGCTAGATTCTAATACAGCATTAATCTTGGCCCCAAGACCCTCCAAAGAGAGTAAAATCAAGTTAAGATTCAAATATCTTAGGTATCACGTGCAAGATGCAATGCTGGATGCCAAAATTAACAAGTTAATTTACAAAATCTGACACTCCTAATCCCAAAGGGAGTATATTTCTGAATGTTAAAATTTGTGGATATATTCCGGATGTATATTGTGGATATATAAATTTGTAGCTACATATTGTGGCTCTCTCTCTCTTTCTATGTCTGTCTCTCTGTCTCTCTCTCCAACTCTCTCTCTCACCTCTGAAATAACAATTTGATTTGATGGGTGCTATGGTCTAATGTTGGTGTCCCCACAAAAATCCTATGTTGGAACTTAGTATTCAATACAATAGTATTAAGAGGTGAGGCCTGTTGAGAGGTGATTAAATCATGAGGGCTTCACTCTTGTGAATGGGATTAGTGCCCTTATAAAAGAGGTTGAAGGGAGGTGCCTTGTCTCTTCCACCATGTGAAGACACAGGAAAGTTGCCATCTATGAGGAATAGGCTCTTAGCAGACACCAAATCTGCTAGCATCTTGATCTTGGACTTCTCAGCCTTCAGTACTGTGAGAAATAATTTTTTGTTTATAAATTACCTAGTCTAAGGTATTTTGTTATAGCAGACTGAAAGACTAAGACAATGAGAAAACATTGTTTCACCAAAACTGCTAATAGACATAGGTCGTAAAAAGCACAGAAGGAAAACTAACTAGGACCTTTAATAGCCTCAGTGTATCAGATGATATTGATGATGGCGGTGACAACAACAATGGTAGCAACGATGATGTCAACAAAGACTTGGCCATATCTAGTTTCTCTAAGTTGTTAAATCAAATTTATCCTAAAGCAGCCTCCTTACGTATCTTAAGTTCAGCCTAAAGGTTTCTCTGTAATGTAAGCAGACTGTAACCTACTGTTGTGCCAGTCAACAAGTTTTGGCCAATCAAAGGGGGTCAACTGTTCAAACTGTGTTCAAAGAAGGTAAATGCCAAGCTGTAACCAATCAGGCTGTTTCTATACCTCACTTCCATTTTCTGTACGTCACTTTCCTTTTTCTGTCTATAAATCTTCCACGGGATTCTCTCTGAGCCTACTCTGGCTCAAGAGGCTACCAGATTCATGAATCATTCTTTGCTCAATTAAACTCTGTTAGATTTAATTTGGCTATGTTTTTTCTTTTAACAGAGTTAAAATAACTATCTGCTGCAAGAACAAAAATTAGTGTGTTAATCAATAAGTACTTAAACTTTTGTGATAGGCTTAGGAAATTCACACTAAGAGAGGAATAAAAATCTTTAAAAGGCTTTTTTGAAATGTCATGGGATTGCCATTTAACAAATGACATCTCTGTGCCAAGGAAAGGGTCTGATCTTTCCCTCCTTCTGCTTTACACTTCCATTGGAAAAAACTTTTATAAACGTTTAAAATATCTGAAGACAACAGCATGTTCCAGATTTTCAAATATGTTATCTAACATGAGCAATATATCCACAAATTTTAACATTCAGAAAGATATTCCCTTTAAGACTAGGAGTGTCAGATTTTGTAAACTAACTTTTTAATTTGGCATCTGGCATTTCTTCTTGCATATGTTACCTAAGATATTTGAATATTAATTTGATTTTACTCTTTTTGGAGGGTCTTGGGGCCAAGATTAATGTTGTATAAGAATCCAGCAGTCATATTCCAAGCAGGGTCATGCCATTAGTCTGTATTCTTATGAGAGCCGCAGAGAACAATGTTTGAGAACTAGCACACATGAAGACAATTGCAAGACACTTTCAGATTCACAGTGTGTATGTGCATTTCCTTTCAAGAAGTTCCTTTTCCAAGAAATGTTCTGTGGTTTCTGAAACCCATTCCTGACATTGAAAATGATAGTGCTGAAAAAGTACTACAGTTAAAGGAAACCAAAGGGAACCCATAACCATTGGCTTTACACTGTGCTTAATGTGAGACTCTACTACTCATTTCTTTTTATTTTTTATTTTTGACCTCTGAACTTTTTATTGGCCTCCTGCTCCTCGAAGGGTCCCCTACTTCTGCTGGCTTAATGTCTCAGAACTTTGGTGTCATTGGTCTCAGACACCACTTCGCCATCCACTATTGGGCGGGTGGTGTCTTTTGGATGGTTTGCATGGAGTTGCTGTTGTCCAGGGCATCACCAAGATTGAAGTCCTCGCCATCTTCCAGCAGGCATTGGTAGGTGGCAATCTGAGTCTCCAGCTTGACTTTGATGTCCAGCAGGGCCTCGTACTGCTGGGCCTAGTGCTGTCCCTCTGCCTGGGTCTGTGCCAGCTCTGACTCCAGGTGCAGCAGGATCCCATTGAGCTGTTCCATCTGCAGGGCATAGCAGGCCTCCACCTCCCTCAGGCTGCTTTCCAAGCGGCCTTCAGATTTCTCATGGAGTCCAGGTCGATCTCCAAGGAATGGATTGTACATCTCAGCTCTGTGAGCGTCATCTCAGCAGCTCCAACCTCGGTGGACTGAGTGGTGGCCACTGTGGTGCTCACCTCAATCTGCTGAGACCAGTACTTGTCCAGCTCCTCTTAGTTCTTCCGAGCCAGCTCGTCATATTGGGCCCAGATGTCTTCCATGATCTTGGCAAGGTCCTGAGATTTGGGGGCATCTACCTCCACGGTCAGCCCAGAGCTGGCAGTCTGGGCTTGTAGGCCTTTACTTCCTCTTCATGGTTCTTCATGAAGAGCAGCTGCTTTTTGAGAGCCTCGATCTCTGTCTCCAGCTGCAGCCGAGTGACATTGGTGTCATCAATGACCTTGTGGACCCCATGGATGTCGCTCTCCACAGACTGGCACATGGGCAGCTCTGTCTCATACTTGACACTGAAGTCATCAGCAGCAAAACAGGCATTGATTTGCAGAACGATGCGGGCATTGTCCACAGTATTTGTGAAGATCTGAGCCCTCAGGTCCTGATGGTCATGAAGTAATGGCTCCAGTCTCTGGCCTGGGGTCCCTTCTTCCCCAGGTGCTCCCGGATTTTGCTCTCCAGCTTCCAGTTCTCGGTCTCCAGGCTCCTCACTCTGTCCAGGTAGGAGGCCAGACAGTCGTTCAGGCTTTGCATGGTCTCCTTCTCATTCTGGATGCCTGCTATCCCTGCCAGACCCCTGGCCATCCCTGCAGCCAGGCCCCCGGATCCCATGCCGCCCCAGAAGCTGGTGGAGCGGGACACAGAGATCCGGGAACCAGAGTCCTGGGTGCCTGCATAGACACTGGCTGCACTGCTGACCAGCTGGGCGATGAAGCTGGGTGTCTGGACAGAGCCCAGGGAATGGTAGTTGGTGGAGAAGGTGGAGCAAGTGGTGAAGCTCATACTGTCCAGGGAGGAGAGCAAGAGGACAGGACTCAGGCTTTACCGATGACATTCTACTACTCATTTCTTAACAGCTGAAGCAAATCACAGGCTTTCAAAAGTGTAAAGACATTTAAAATATTATTTAGTCTACCTCTCCACACCATTAGGGTGTTAGTCAATTTCCACTAAGGGCTGAACTTCTGAGCAATATCCTCTCAGAACAGACCTGGGTATGGAGGGCTGGGAATCTTCAATAGACCCAGAGCTAGAACCAGTCAATCCAGTGGTGGTGGGAGTGGATGGCAGGGTACTAGACTCAAGACCAAGTGCTGGGGAAACATTCAGGCTGGCAGGCAAAACCTGGACTCTCAATTATAGAAACCTGTACTAAGTTCTGAATGATCATTGCATCTGGGAGAGTTGGGTTTGGGAGAGCACAGAAGTAGCAAACCCAGGAGGTGGTGTTTAGAGACACAAGCTGACAAGACAATATGTCAGGATGCAGCTCAGTCTGTGAAAGTTTCAGAGGCAGAATTGCAGACTACATATTCTGGTCTGTGAAGCACCTAAACCTGACCTTCCACTTGCAGCTTTGGCCTCATGATGTGCCAACTTGCCTGTCATTCTCAATGCTCCCATCACTCTAGCCTTCTTTCTAACCAAGCTCCTTTGTACTCCAGACTCATTCAGATTAAATGTCAGTTTCTCACAGAGGCTCTTTCAGGACACTCTCTAACTCCAATTTATCCTGTGCGTAATCTTTAGGACCCCTCCTCTCCATTTCCTATATCATCTCTACTGTAAGTTCAAAGACGGCAGGATACCTGTGTCTTCTTCCTTGTTGTATCCAGCAATACCAGGCACTTTTGATAGGTACTTGACATATTCTGAGTACTTATTAAACATTTAAATGAATGACTGAATGAACAAATGAACTAATTAATAACTGGTTAACAAATGAATTAATCTAGTTGGGGAAGGGGGCTGATAGATAAAAGTTTCTGTAAGTAAACATATTTCAAACAAATCCTTGACTAAATAACAGAAGCCAGGGAAGAGAAGGTGATGGACTTCATTAGAGTCTTAAAAAATGAAGGGAATGAAAACAGACCATAGGAATGAGGTGAAGGAGGAGATGGTGCTGATTAGATTGAGCCTCAGTGGATGATAAACTATTATAGCACAGTGGTAAAACCCTGGTATGGCTATCAGCAGGTAACCAGGAAAATGCCAGCCATCCCTCTTGGTTTGAGAGATGTGGGAGAATAAATTAATCTCACTCAAGAAGACAGAAGGATGCATTTTTATTAGGTTTCGGTTAGGGGAGATTTGGATAAAGCCATCTGCACAAAGGTTGTGGATATAGTGATGTTTCTGCATGATGGAATATGGGAAAGGGTGGACGAGAGAGGACACATCTTAGAGTATTATGGTAGAGGTGAAGAAGAGTCCAGCAGTAAGAGGAGAGTTACTCAAGGCACAGGGGAAGAAATTTATCTTGGGAGATGACAAATTACAAAGATAACAGTCAGAGCAGAAGTGATTCGCTTCAAACACGCAACTTTGCTGCAAGTTGACAGGAAGCCTAGCAGTATCTGGTCTAATCTCAGAGAAGAGGGCCCCAACTTTCCTGCATGACCATGAAGACCCTCATCTGGGGCTGGCCCCTAAACACATAGAAAAAAGATGTCTATTTACCACATCACTATGGAATGACAGCTTTTGGCACTACGCTAGGCACCCTGCTGGTGGTGTTGGAGAGGGAGTAGTTAAGAAGGCAAGTTGGACTAAGAAAAGAATAATACATTTCTTGTCCATTCTCTAAAAATTCACTTGGTTCCATGGGCTACCTATTCTTTCCAGATAAAATAAGGCAAGCCTGGTGGATGGGCACCAATAAGAACCATTTCATTGTGAACTGCCCACCCAAGCTCCATATCCAGATACTCTCCTTGTGGTGAAGCAGACAGCTAAGGTGTACACCAATTCTCTTAAGGTAGCAGAGTCATTGAGTCACTTAATACTATCCACTGAATTGATCCTCGTTTAAAATTCAAAATTCAGTATTCATCAAGATTCTTAGGTTATGTACAATGTAATTATTTGTTGTCTATTCCCCAAATTGCATTTTAAGGGGAAAACTCTCACACTGATCATTCATTTAACAGACATATCCTATATGTAAAGGCACTTTACATATGCTACTCAATCTACTCATGTCAGTAATCTTGAAAAGTGGGCACTATTATCCTTCTTTTACAAATAAGGATGCTGTGTCTCAGAGGGGCATACTTGTTAAACACACCACAGACAAGATGCACTTGACTTCAAAGCCCATGTTCTTTCAAGCACACCTCAGCTCAGTCTGGAGTCACACAGAGTAAGGCTCAATATCACAAAAGTGGTTACAGTGTTTGTGTCAGAACAACGCTGCTTGAGAAAACTGAAGGTGGAGGAAACAACATTAGATAGATGTAGCTGCAGTTTGAAATTTTGGGTTCAACTAGCATTCTTTGAATAATCATGTATCCCCTTCTGTGCAGATCAGCTTGGTGGTCAGAGTCAGAATTTTACTCTCCTCCAGGCATTGACAGTGTTATGACATATCTGAAAGAAAAGAACATTGTATTGACGAGTAAATCAATACAGTATATTTGGTCTAATGTCCTGAAGGAGATCAGGCAGAGGAGAGAAGAGTCAGTGTGAACTAGGCTGGTGGCTCTGTCCGGTAGGGAGATGGAAAGGGTGCCGCCCATCATAGAAGTACCAGAACTTGAGCTGGACTTTGCTGATTTAGCTTATGGAAGAGGAACCAGAAATTTGTCCTTGAATAATGTTTCCCGTAAGTAATCAGTTTTTTGATAATTATTTGGTTTTACTGTGATCTGGCTTAGTAACTAGGGTGGCTGCAATAGAGGAAAATCTGGTATTTCCCAGTTTTTCCAACTGGCGGCCGTGGGTCAAGAAGGTTAGTTTCCTGGTTCGTTGTCAGATTGGTGGTAATAAAGGAACAAGGTCAACCTTCTGTCAGAGTTCCTGAATTGGGGGAGGAAGATAACTGGTGCCTCTGCCTTTGGAATGGGGTGGGTGCCAGAGAAGTCAAGGTCCTGGGGGTGTTTGCTTGCCTGGTTCTGTTAACCAGAGGTGGTGTGGCTGAAATGAGAAAGTGAAACTTTAGGAAGGTCTGAGAAGCCCTCTTCCCTTTAAAAAAAAAAAAAAAAAGGCTGCTTCTCGCAGAGTGGAAAGCCCCGGTCCCCATCCCACCAAAACCATTTGACAAGCAGGACAACGAAGAGGCAGAAGGATCTGGGCCTGTGCGCGACGCCCCGGGGGACGAGGCTCATGGAGAAGTTTCGGGCGGTGCTGGACCTGCACGTCAAGCACCACAGCGCCTTGGGCTACGGCCTGGTGACCCTGCTGACGGCGGGCGGGGAGCGCATCTTCTCCGCCGTGGCATTCCAGTGCCCGTGCAGCGCCGCCTGGAACCTGCCCTACGGCCTGGTCTTCTTGCTGGTGCCGGCGCTCGCGCTCTTCCTCCTGGGCTACGTGCTGAGCGCACGCACGTGGCGCCTGCTCACCGGATGCTGCTCCAGCGCCCGCGCGAGTTGCGGATCGGCGCTGCGCGGCTCCCTGGTGTGCACGCAAATCAGCGCGGCCGCCGCGCTCGCGCCCCTCACCTGGGTGGCCGTGGCGCTGCTCGGGGGCGCCTTTTACGAGTGCGCGGCCACCGGGAGCGCGGCCTTCGCGCAGCGCCTGTGCCTCGGCCGCAACCGCAGCTGCGCCGCGGAGCTGCCGCTGGTGCCGTGCAACCAGGCCAAGGCGTCGGACGTGCAGGACCTCCTGAAGGATCTGAAGGCTCAGTCGCAGGTCTGCCGCTGGCGCTGGGGGCGTTTGGGAGGAGCCGAGAGGCCGAGCTTTCTCAGGGCCGCTGGGGTGAGGGAAAAATCGGTGACTTTTCTCCAGATATACAGTACCCTAAGAAAATCTAGAATGGCTCCTTGCATCTAATTTGCCGTCAAGAGAATATCTGAATAAAACGAATGAAAAGGAGAAAAACGCATTCCCGTAGTATCTGGCACTGTACATGAATCGTGGAAAGTGGGAGTGAGAGTGGGCACGCCTACTCAGTGCCAGATACTGCGCTAGGCCCTTGACCTCCTGCATTATTTTTACGTCTCACAACAGCTCTGTTGGGTGCAAAATTGCGGTTTTGCCATTACAAGTAATAGTTTCGTATCTCCCCTATATAGTGACTTCACTGAGTCTAAGTAAAGTTGTTTGCCCAGCCAATAGAAAGCAGAATTGTTAGAATTAAAGGGGTCTATAGAATAAAATGGGTTTGTCTGGCTCTAAAGCCACCACTGGACTTAGAAAGCTCAGAGGTTCTTTAAAATGAACACTTCTTTCCCAGGATTTGCAGAAATTCCACATTTTGAGTTCTAAGGGAATGGTATGGGCTCCTCCCTGGGCAGAATCATAGTGCATAACTTGGACTACAGTTGACTTTCCAAACGAGAAGTTGTACTGGGGGGCTAGGGAGGTTACTGCGACACCTTACTCTTAAGGAATTAAGACCTAAAACTGTTGCTTGTTCATCATCATAACTGGCGAGTAGTTGAAACTTTATCTGAGGATTTTTAAATTTCTTGTAAAAAACCAAGTAACTAAATTACTATTTTGTTGTGTTTTCTTAAGGTGTTGGGCTGGATCTTGATAGCAGTTGTTATCATCATTCTTCTGATTTTTACATCTGTCACCCGATGCCTATCTCCAGTTAGTTTTCTGCAGCTGAAATTCTGGAAAATCTATTTGGAACAGGAGCAGCAGATCCTTAAAAGTAAAGCCACAGAGCATGCAACTGAATTGGCAAAAGAGAATATTAAATGTTTCTTTGAGGGCTCGCATCCAAAAGAATATAACACTCCAAGCATGAAAGAGTGGCAGCAAATTTCATCACTGTATACTTTCAATCCGAAGGGCCAGTACTACAGCATGTTGCACAAATATGTCAACAGAAAAGAGAAGACTCACAGTATCAGGTCTACTGAAGGAGATACGGTGATTCCTGTTCTTGGCTTTGTAGATTCATCTGGTATAAACAGCACTCCTGAGTTATGACCTTTTGAATGAGTAGAAAAAAAAATTGTTTTGAATTATTGCTTTATTAAAAAATAAACATTGGTATTTTTTGAGTGCTTTTTTTCTTCCAAATTGTGGAATTTTATATCTGAAATTAAAATATAGAGCTTAACCTCTTTATAATATTATTTAAAACAAACAAAAAAAGAAAGTGATTCATCCAAAGTAAAAGCTAGAACTAAAAGAAGTCTTATATCCTTGTTCTAGAGTCCTTTTCAAATAAAAGACTTTTGGAGCAAAAACAGTGGCAGAACAATTGAACTTCAGACATTTCTGTTAGGTTATCTGATGTTAATTTCAAGTTCATTTTCTTGCCCACAACATCTTGTTAGGAACTTTAAAATTACGGCATTCTAGCTGGTTCTATAGCACAATTGATGGCACATTGGGCTTCTAGTCGAGCCTGCTGTGGTCATTCAAAAATTAGAGCATTTTATGACTCTAATAGGGTTACAATAATAAATTAATCATGAAAAGGAAAATAAACTTTGTAAAATACGAAATTTGAAAAAGTAGTTAAGAGAATTGCAGGCAACAAGTGTTGTTTTTAGTTTATAGGATCAGAGGAAAAGTGTTAAAGCTTATATGTTATGGTAAATATAAACTAAACACAAAAGTAGAGAGGATAGTTTTATGAGCCTCCAAGTAGTTGTTACACAGCTTCAACAGAGTTGGGAAGTCAGATAAAACCAATACCAAACAAATAAATGCAAATTGTGACCTGATTTAGATTAGGGGAGAAGGGATTTGGGGAAGCTTTTTAAAAACTGAATCCTGTAGGGTAGCAAGAAGGAGCATTTCAGTCATACAGATAAAACCAATACCATACAAAGAAATGCAAATTGTGACCTGATTTAGATTAGGGGAGAAGGGATTTGAGGAAACTTTTTGAAAACTGAATCCTGTAGGGTAGCAAGAAGGAGCATTTCAGTCCTACTGAAGGAACAGTATGTGCAAAGACTAGGGAGAAAAAGATGTTAGCAGAGTTGGAAACCTGAAAGGCGACTGAAAAAAATGAGCAAGGGACTGAGTGTGCAGTGCCTGGAAACCATGAGAAGGATTTTGGTTTTCATCATATGAGCATTTTAGGAAGATGGTTTGCTTTCCTTGAGAGAAAAGGAATGACATGGGAAGCAGGAGAGCCAGGGTAGAAGGAGAGAGACTAATCAGGAGGCCACTACAGTGGAAATAGGTGGGAGTGAACTTGAACTGAGTGGATGGGGACCAAAATGGAAAAAGTAGATAGATTCAAGGTAGACTTTGTACATAGATGTGGCAGGATTTGTTGATAGAAAGTCTCTAAAGACGGTGAGAGCAATTATATCTACGGATAAAATTCTGTAACTTTATAATGCCGGGACTTTTCAGCGATCCTTGCCTTCCATTAGCTTGTCATTCCTGCCCATTCCCCAAATTTGTGGCTGTTTTCTGAATTTTAAAATATGAGATAAAAAAACTTTAAACTATAAAATAATTGAGCACTGGTCATATTTAGCCCTTCTTCCTCTTTTGGCAGAAGCTTATGCTGATTTCTGTTTACCTTTTTCTGCATAAGGCCGTTAAAAAGAACTAACCTACAGGGCAGAATATCCTGTTGTTGAGAGTCATGCGTAACAAGAAAGTTGGCAGCAGAAACAGCGTGATCAGCTTTTTTTCATTCCCTAAAAGAATGCTTTTGAAAATCATATCATACCTAGTTTCATTTTTACTTCCTTTATTTCATTTTCCAATTGCTGCTTCCTTTTTCGTCTGAGACAGGATCTCACTCTGTCACCCAGGCTGGAGTGTAGTGGCAAGATCTTGGCTCACCGCAAACTCTGCCTCCCTGACTCAAGTGATCCTCCCACCCCAGCCTCCTGAGTAACTGGGACCACAGGCATGTGCCACCATGCCCAGCTAATTTTTGTACTTTTTGTAGAAATGGGGTTTCACCATGTTGCCCAGGCTGGTCTCGAACTCCTGGGCTCAAGCAATCTGCTTGCCTCAGCCTCAAAGTGCTGGGATTACAGATGTGAGCCACTGCGCCCAGCCTCCAATATCTTTTTGTATATTCTTTCCTTTCAAAACTTTTTTTATGTTCTATCACTTATACTTGCATCTTCAGTAGTATCATATTGTCTCCATTGTTTTGATTTATGCTCCACCTCCTCTTGCACAGTCCTTAATAATTATTGTGAAAATATATATGCTTAAGAAAATAATTGTAATGGTAGAGAATGGTGAGAAGTAAAATAAAATTACCTCATTCCTTTGCAATATATTCTTCTCAGAAGTAGCCATGTATAAACTCTGTGTCTGCATAAACTCTATCATAAGTGTTGTTCTGTAACTTTTACACATAAAGTACAATTATTCCATGTCAGTATCTGACAATTTACCTCATTTAAAAAATTGCTACTTAGTATTTTACTGGTTAGTAGGATATTATCCCTTTTTTGTTAACCCCACCGACCAGCCCCCACACACATGCACACACATTCATAAAGTGTAGAAAGGTAAGCACTAAATTATCAAATGTGGTCCCTTCTGAGGACTAAGATTGGTGCAGGAATTTTTTTTAATTTCATGCACTTTTGATCTTTGGAGTTGTTGTAATGAATAATAAATATTAAATGTATAATTGGAAATTTTTAAAAAGTAACCTTACCCTGGTGTAGAGTTTTACAGTCAAAAAAGCAGTTTTGCATCTTTTATTTCATTTCATTTTAACAAGTTTCCAGGTTACCCGTGAAACACCTCACTCACATTTACAAATGGGAATCGAAAGTTAAAGAGGTTACATCATTAATCCAAAGTTACATGTCAATAAAGGCAAAACCAAAGGTAGGGTACGGATCCTCCCTAGATGATGTAGTTTAATGTGGCCACTGGCTGTTTTTATTACTGGGTCAGATTTTTCCCTTCCTAGCCCATGTGACTTTGTGGGCAGAAGAGATACAGATCTCCTTAGTGACCCTCAATATTTGACGTTTTATCTTGAAACTCAGCAACTACTAACAGGAAAGACCACTTTGAATAAACATGGTGAGACTGAGACACAGTAAGTTATTTCTTGGTGGGAACAAGGTCACTGCTATTTGGCAGAAGTCACCACTCCTCTGGGCCTGGCCCAAACAGGCTGCATCATTGGCTGAAGAAGCATTTCTACACTCAGTATGTATTTATTTGCTGGTTTACCAAATGATTCTTCATCATCACCCCCAGCTTTATGCTATCCTGAACACCTAACCTTTAAAGAGATTCAGATGCAGAATCTGCTATTAATATTTGCTGAAAAACAACCACATTGTTATAAGAGATGATTCTACGTTGTATCGAGTACTGGCAAGATAATAACAAGGCATAAGATTAAGAATGGTCTCCTTGCTTTATCCAAAGCCATGGCTAGAAATATCAATGCTCAATGAACTGACTAAAGAAGCAAGTCCTAAGGGGAGTATCTGAAAATAGAATTAGCCAAATACTCAAATGTCTCTGGCTGAAAAACATCTTGGAACTCTAAATTTCACAACATCCTGCATCTTATCTACCAGGTGGCCTACAATAAATTATTCTCCCCAAGATAAAAGATGGAGAAACCCTCCCTCTCTGAGTCAGCCCCAGCAGCAGCAGCCAGGGCCTATTTTGACAGCAGCGCACTCCCACTGAGTGTTTAGCACACCTCACACTAAGCCTACCCCAAAAGCAAAGCCTTTAGTTGACTTAATTTTGTCCCTTCCTCTTCATTACATACTTATGAAATATCTCTTGTAAATTGCAATGTAAGGACTGTGGAATTGATCATATTATATTCTTATCCAGTGAAAAAGACTGAAATCAGGGCTGGCACAGTGGCTCATGCCTGTAATCCCAGCACTCTGGGAAGCTAAGGCAGGAGAATTGCTTGAGACCAGAAGTTCTGAGACCAGCCTGAGAAACATAGCAAGATCTTATCTCTACCAAAAAAAAAAAAAAAAAAATTATCTGGGTGTGGTGCTGTGCACCTGTAGTACCAGCTACCCTGGAGGCTGTGGTGGGTGGATCACTTGAGCCCAGGAGTTTGAGGTAGCAGTGAGCTATTATTGTGCCACTGTACTCCAGCCTGGGTGGTAGAGCAAGACATGTCTCTAAATAAATAAATACATACATACATAAAATGATTTTTTAAAAGATCCAAATCAAAAAAGGGTATATTCTTTCAAGATGATTTGCCACAAGGACTAGAACATTAAGAAGTTCCAAATGAAAGGAATATCCTACAAGATCCGGCAATTTATTGCCATTTTAAAAATTATGAGAAATAAATCACAGAGAAGAGTATATGAAACATTTATGTACAATTTAATAATTATTACAAAGCAAACATCTATGTAACCACCGAAGAGTGGAAGGAAATGTACATTTCCAGCACCCCAGAAACCCCTGCCTCATACATCCTTTCACACTTCCAACTCTTTCCACCTAGAAGTGAGAAGTGATCATTTCTTTCTTTTTGCTGTTTTACCACTTAAGTGTGCATTCCTAAACTATCCATGCTTAGTTTTGCTGGTTTTTGAACTTTAAATGAATACAATCGTGCTGTAATAATTGTTTTGTGATATTCTTTTTGTTTTTAAGAGATTAATCCACATTATGTCTAGGACAATTTATTTATTTTGATTGCTGTGTGGTATTTTATTGTTCAAATATACTATAATGTAGTCCATTGAACTGCTGATGGACATTTGGGTTGTTCCCAGTTCTGGCTCTTATCAGCACTGCTGGTATGAACATTCATGCACTTGTACTCTGATAAACACGAGCAAGTGTTTCTTCAGAGTGCATTTCTGGGAATAAGTGGTAGCATGAGAGTATGCACATATTCCAGTTTGTTATATCATGTCAAATATAAAGGATTGTATCCATTTATACTACTATAAGAATTCTCATTGCTTCTCACTTCTGCAATATTTGGTATTTCTAGTTATTTACTTTTTGTCAGGGGAATATGTAATGGTATCTCTCATTGTGGTTTCAACTGACATTTCCCTAATCATTGCAGACTTTAGGCATCTATACATCTCTTTTCTAGCCATTTGGATATCCTTTTTTATGAAATGCCTATTCAAACCTTTTGCCCATTTTCTATATTTAGTTTGTCTGTCTTTTCCTTATTGATTCATAGGATTTCATTATTATTTCATTCACTTAAACCAACAAATATTTATTGAGTGTCTGATACATTCTGGGCATGTTCTAGCATGTGTCAATGAAGCAAAACCAAAGCTCTGTCCTCATGGAGCTTACATTCTAGGGGGAAGCGGAGGAAAAAAGAGCAGCCACAATAAATAATAATAATAATAAAAAATAAATAATTGGGTATGTAAGGAGAAGATTAATACTATGAAAAAAAGAAAACGGAGAGCACCCCAAGAAGCATTAGAAAGGCTGGAGATTGGAGAGCTGTTGCCCTCATGAGAAACGACCTTTGAGCAAAGATTGAAGGGATGAAGGGTTAATCAAGGTGGTCTGAGAATGGCGAATTAGGGGACAGAAATAGGCCATGAAGTCAGAGAGATAAAGGGGTTGGGGACAGATTATGTAAGCCTTTGGACCACTGTAAGCACTCTGGCTTTTATTCTGAATGAGCTGAACAACTACCTCACACATTCCCTACAACAGCAGTCCCCAACCTTTTTGGCACTAGAGACTGGTTTCTTGGAAGACGATTTTTCCACAGACAGGGGTGGGGGTGGGTGGTTTCAGGACGATTCAAGTGCATTACATTTTTTGTGCACTTTATTTCTATTATTATTACATTGTAATAATGAAATAATTATACAACTCACCATAATGTAGAATCAGTGGGAACCCTGAGCTTGTTTTCCTGCAACTAGATAGTCCCATCTGGGGGTAAGGGGAGACAATGACAGATCATCAGGCATTAGATTCGCATAAGGAGCATGCAACTTAGATCCCTCACTAGATGCTGCCGATCTAACAGGAGGTGGAGCTCAGGCGGTAATCCAAGTAATGGGCAGCAGCTGTAAATACAGATGAAGCTTCACTTGCTCGCTTGTCACTCACCTCCTGCTGTGTGGCCCAGTTCCTAACAGGCCATGGACCGATACCAGCCCATGGCCCAGGGGTTAGGGACCCCTGCCCTACAACACCTAAATGATCTGATGACTGAAGCTGACCATTGGACTTTCTGGGATAATCAACAGAAGATAAGAACATACTGACTTAAAAGACAAGAAGTGATGCTCCCTTTTAGAATGTAGGTAACCATAACCCTTGAGCTAAGGAAAGATACCTAAGACCAAATAGCATGTGTTACTGTGGAATTAAAGTCAGATGGTAAGTGTATGGGCATGCATGCGTGTTGTGCATGAGTTTCCTTATGGTACTTTAAGTACTTTTTTTTATAGTTTGTTTTGCTAGGAGAATAGTACGTGAGAAACTTGGTTTGATAAAATTATTGATAACAGTGAGAAATGAACTTGTATATTCAGTAGTCACAGTTTGCTTTTAAAACTCTGCAACTCACTTTTCAGTGACCCTCCTTGTCAAGTTTTGGGCCCTATTTAACTAATGCCCTCAGGGTCACCATCTACTCCTTAATATATTTACTTTCAACCATTCAAGAAATATCCCTCAGTATCTGTGGGGGATTTGTTCCTGGACCCTCTATGGATACCAAATCCATGGATACTCAAGTCCCTTCTATAAAATAGTGTAGCATTTTTATATAACCTATGCACATCCTCCTATGTATTTTAAATCATCTTTAGATTATTCTTAATACCTACTACAGTGAAAATGCTATGTAATAGTTGTTATACTCTATTGTTTAGGGAATAATGACAAGAAAAAAGTTTGTACATGTTCAGTACAGTTGCAACTATCGAAATTTTTTTCCAAATACTTTTGACCTATAGTTAGTTGGTTGAATCCATGGATATGGAGAGCTGATTGTATTGAGAGAGGATACTGTTTGTGGGAATCTTTATAATCCCATCATTCAGAGCTCAGACACTAGAGGCAGTTAACACTGGGTTTATGGCTTGGCCTCTACTAAGGATGTGACTTCAAATGCCTCTCCAAATCTCAGTTTCAGCTTTTGTAAAATGTGGAATAATCATATTATTTACCCAGATGATTTTGTGAGGATTAAATGAGATAATGCCTAGAAAATGCTCAATAAACAAAATTTATTATTATTATAAGGCAGTAGGCTAAAGGGATCAGAGAAAAGGAGAGAAATAAGATGTTACTTCTACTCTCAAAGAATCAGTAGGCAAATACGTAAACAATTAGCCATAATTGGAATAAAAAACTAAACTATAATAAAAGAATAAGCAAAGTGTTTTCAGAATACAGATCTGCCTAGGAATATTCACATAAATTTCATTAAAGAGGAAATATTTTAGCTAAGGCTTGAGAATGAGTTAGATTCCAATAATCTGGGCTGAAAAGTCAAATCTACTGAAAGTCTAACCTCATAAACTTGCTGGCTACCCAGAGCCCCCAGTGAAGGTCCCTTCCATTACATTCCTACTGAACAGTGCTTTCTAAAACATACTAATCTCTCATTACCCCAGTGTCAGGTCTGGGATTTTATTTTACCCTATTTACAAGCTAATAGTCTATTACTGTATCATGAAAATTGGCAGAAGAGATGAAATGTCTAGCCCAGTGACAAAAATTGTATTAATCACAACAGCACAAACAGCATGAGTATCATGTTTGCATTGATTCCCCTTGTCCCTAAGCCCTACAGGGGCAACAGAGATGGCTAAGATGGATATTTGCACACACAGCAGGTTGCATTACTGGAGAGAACAGTGAGCTTGGGGAACTGCCATTTTATAGGAACTAATAATCAAACCTGCTCTTTTTCCAAAAAGGAGACTTTACTTCATCTCTTTAAGTTGCTTGCTGCAAACAGAACTCTAAGACATGGCCTAGGTAAAAAGCAGTCAGAGTTTTGCAGTCTTGGCATATGGCAAGACATGTGAGAGTGTGAGAGACTGAGAAGGACAATCTTCCAGCTGTCACTATTTTCCAAGTCCTATTTCAAATCATACTTCCTCATCAGTGTGCGCCCCAACTGTATCAGTCCACAGTAACTTTCTCCTCTGAATCCTGTGACTTCACCTCTCAAACTTACTATAACACTTGACCATAAACCTTGTATTATGATAAAACTGTATGTTTCCTCTTTCCAGCATGATTTTATAACTTCTGAAGATTTTTTAAAATCTGTTTGTAACTCCCACAAAATAGCGACAAAACTGATAAAAACATGTGAGAAAATTAAATATGTTTTTATTTTAAGAAGAAAAACATTTTTAAGTATTGCAAATATTTCTTGAAATTTTGAGACACACGATATATAACCATAGACAATAAATCTGAAACCAGACGTGGCATTTTGGTAAATACATTATCATTCCTAGACCTCAAAACCATGTTAGAGTGTTCATAAATCCATGTGTTCATAAATCAGGTGATTGCTAATGTTATTTTTTGGTCTTTTTTGTATGGCATTCCATTTCATAAAGGCAGATTATATATAGCACTATAAAATTATATAAATATATTTCATATTTTTCTTATATATAGTAAAGCAAGAAAATTTAAAAAACAAAAACAGGGTTTTTTTCCATATAGTATTCACCAACTTAAGGGTTATTGATGTTTCCCAGAACACACAGTTTGGAAAATTGTACCTCAGATAATCAGAGGCAGATGGCCACCAACAGTTGTTTAATTTACTTCACGATATTCTTAAATCACATAGTCTAATTCAAAAAAGGCAACTTAAATAAACTCGTATCTGAGATATGGTCAAGTTGTAGGGCAACTTATTTCAATGGCCAAGCAAGTAGATGGATGCATAGGGGATTCCTTAAGACATGGTTTATTTCATGGAGACTAGATCTTCTTGCATCTAGGCGTCTTTAAAGATACTTAAAAGCACTTGAAGAGAGGGCAGTGCACAAAATCAAAAACAGATGTTTTTCCTCTTAAAAATCAATTTCCTACTTAAAAATCAAAGTCCTAACTTCTTTCTCTACTTCCAGCTCTGCTCAATATTTCTTGATGAAATAACTGTTCCTATTCAATTCATATATAATCTAAGAGGACTAACTTTAACAAGTCCACATTCTTTAACTTTTAAGTCTGCTTGCCACTGTTCATACCAACAGAATTCCACAGTCTTTCCAGGCTGCCAAGCACATTTATCCCAGCTAGAAGCTGCCTAACTTTCCCTGCAGATGTATGGTAAAGCTCACTCTTTAAAATTGTCAGTTTTATTTTCTTAAAATCTACACCAGGCCGGGTGCCGTGATTCACACCTGCGATCCCAGCACTTTGGGAGGCCAAGGTGGGTGGATCACAAGGTCAGGAGTTCAAGACCAGCCTGGCCAACATGGTGAAAACCTGTCTCTACTAAAAATACAAAAATCAGCCGGGCATGGTGGCAGGCCCCTATAGTCCCAGCTACATGGGAGGCTGAGGTAGGAGAATCGCTTGAACCCGGGAGGCAGAGGTTGCAGTGAGCCAAGATCAGGCCACTGCACTCCAGCCTGGGTGACAGAGCGAGACTATGTCTCCAAAAAAAAAAAAAAAAAAAAAAAAAAAGGGAAAAAATCTACACCTTTATTCCATATCCTCTATATTTCCCCTCCGATTTGAGATTTAACAATTTAGACTTATTAAAAATAGCGCTTGGTAAATATTATCATTGGCAATGACTAATATTTGGAAAAGGTACTTCTGTTCAAAATTGTTGATTTGAAAGTATACATTTTACCACAATAAAAAAAAAAGTAAAGGGATCTTTTTCAGTGGCATAAAGCAAGCAGAGAACAAGAAGGGGAACAAAAACAAACACAATTTTGGAGAGCTAGAAAGTAGATGGTGGCCGGGCCCCGTGGCTCAGACAAATCCCAGCACTTTGGGAAGCCAAGGTGGGTGGATCGCTTGAACCCAGAAGTTCGAGATTAGCCCAGCCAACATGGTGAAACCCTGCCTTACTAAAACTACAAAAATTAGCCAGGCATGATGGGGCACACCTCTAGTCCCAGCTACGGGGGGGGGGTCCAGGTTGGGAGAATCACCTGAGCCTGAGAAGTTGAGACTGCGGTAGGTTGTGATCTCCCCACTGCACTCCAGCCTGGGCGACGGGAGTGAGACCTGTCTCAAAACAAAAACAAAAACAAAAACAAAAAACAAGCAAACAAAAAACATAGATGGTACCTGATAATTGGTCTAATAGACCCGAGGAAAAAAAATCTGAAACCTAAGCCAGAAGTGGAAAAAAATAAGCAATATGATTTACACCATGGAATCTGTAAAATTCTCAGGAATTAGCAGCACCATTCACCTCTAGATATGGGGCTGGAGGTGGAGTTAAAAGCAGAATTGGTTGAAAACCTTTTTAAGGAAAATTGTCCCTCAGATATCTGTCCCGTTCCATGCAGCCAAGCAACTGCTTCTCCCTACCCTAGCAGAAGATGGGAGCTTTAAGCTCTAGATATAGTTTTTCAAAAATATTTCTGGACTGAGAGATAATAGGTATAACTGAAGGCAGGGACACTATATTGAACAAAAGGAAATTAAGTTAAAATGTACATATTGAAATTTTATTTCCCCAATTCTCTTTCCCACCTGGCTTGCAGAATGCTGAAATTAAGCCTATATTCTCCAGGAAAGGGATCAGAAGACTCATTTCTGATGAGTCTTCATCAGAAATTTGACTGCCCCCAAAAAAGTGACTTCAAAAAAATGACACATTTTGAAATTCACATTTAAATTGCCCAATTTATCCTATGTGGAAGCCCATAATCTACAAGCTCCATCAAAGTTTACATTTTATGCAATATAAGTGGATAGCCAAGGAGCTCCAGAGATTTCAGAAAAGTGTGAAAGGCAGAGACCAAAACAAACAGAAAGACAATTACTTGGAGGAAACAGAAACTATGCATTTTAAAGAAAAAATTTTTTAAACTACCATTAGTGATTTTAGAGTTATAAGAACAGACATTATATGTAAAAAGTAAGAATAGAATGTTATTTTAAAACGCTTAGAAAATGCAGTAATTCTTGGAAATTAACAACATGATAGAAATTACAAATGTAATAGAAGGTCTGGAAGATATAATTGAGGAAATCTCTCAGGAAGCAAAGGATTAAGATGAACAGATAGAAAAGAAACAAAAGTAAAGAAAATTAGAAGCCCAGTCTAGGAGATCTAACATTCTACTAGTAAGATTCCAGGAGAAAGCAGGGAAAATGGAGAGAATAGGATAAGAAATTATCAAAGAAATAATTCAAATGGAGGAGCATGGATTTCTAGATTGAAGAATTCCATTAGTTAATCAGTACAGAGGAAGCATACAGGCACATTGAGATGCATCATGGTGCAATTTTGGAACACTGAGGATATGGAGAAAATCCTAAAGTTTTCCAGAGAGAAAGAACAGAGCAAGGATAAAGAATCAAATGGCATGGAAATTCTGAAAAACAGTTGGAAGCTGAATGATCATATGCTTACAAACTTTATTTCCTATTCACTCTTTATCAGGAAGTTAGTAAAGTATGCACTCTTTCAGAAAAGTGAGTACACCAAGAAGGGGAAGTAATGGGATCAAGGAAACAAGGGGCCCCGTGCAAGATACAGGAAAAGGAAATCCTTAAGCTGATGGTGAAAGGAAAGCACACTACCTGATGGCAAAATCAGCTCCTCTGTAATACAATTAGCCCTATATCTCAAGAGTTAGAGAGGAAAAAATTAAAATTTTAATAAAACTATGAGTCCTTAATGTTTTACTGGAAAAATCACTGAGACGTCTTTTAGATAGAATGTGGTCATTTTTAAACATGCCCACAAATTCTGTGAAACTCCTTCCTATAAAGATAGAGATTAATTCCCTCCCTTGATGTGTGCTGGACTGAGTAATTCGTAATGAATAGAAAAAACTGAAAGTGATGAGATATGTTTTCAGAGCCTGCTATAGTAGCAGGATTGATAATCAGGAAATTTCCGTATGTGTGTGGTTGAGGTGGAGGTTGTGTGTGAGAAAGCCTCATCTTTCTTATGCGGAAGTATTATAAAAACTAATGGCTCAGCCAGGCGCAGTGGCTCACGCCTTTAATCCCATCACTTTGGGAGGCCGAGGCGGGCGGATCACAAGGTCAGGAGATTGAGACCATCCTGGCCAACACGGTGAAACCCCATCTCTACTAAAAATACAAAAATTAGCTGGGCATGGTGGCGCGTGCCTGTAATCCCAGCTACTCAGGAGGCTGAGGCAGGAGAATCGCTTGAACCAGGGAGTCAGAGGTTGCAGGGAGCCAAGATCGTGCCACTGCACTCTAGCCTGGGTGACAGAGCGAGACTCCATCTCAAAAAACAAAAAAAAACTAATGACTCAAACTGAAAAATCAAGAGAGGGCTATAAGCATGCTATGTACAACAATGCAATAAATACCAAAAGAATTGGTTACAAGTGTAGAAAGAGTTGCTGTTATGAAACAGGAAGTGGCAGCAGATGTGGAAGTGGTGGAGGTCAGGGAGGGGAGCAGAGGTATAGGCAAATGATTAACTCTTTTCTGGATCTTTAAACTGTTTGCATGAATACATTTTTAAAAGTAAGTTAAAAAAGAAAAGAGAAGCAAGATAATTGCTTAAATAGTCACCAAAATGTATGGAAAGAATCGGTAAATGTTACCAGTGTTACTGGTTTTACATCTTTTGCAGTGCCTAATTCTCTTCAAGGGGTCCCCCAAATATGGTCATTGCATACACAGAAAGACACATATCTACATGACATTAATCTCCATTTAAGATCTTCCAATGTTTTCTTAACTGATTCAAAATAATCCTATGACTGGAGTCATAATAATATGATCTTCGACAAGAATCTGTTAGTGTTTGAGGTGAAACTAAACCTCTAGTGACCACTTTAAGCAGCTGTGGTGGTGATTATTTTTCTTCTACTGATTGATAGTATGAAAAAAATTCTAGTTATTAAGATTTTCTTTGTTTTAACCGTTGCTTCTATTCACAATGCCACTTAAAACATTTTAAAGCAGGAGCCAATTTGATTGAATAAATATTTATCAAATATTGACTACATAATTATAGTTTAGTGGGGGCAGGAAAAGCCTGTAATGAAATAATTATAACGCTTTGAGATTTGTGCAAAGATTAATATAATGTACATGTCAGAGAAATAGTAGAGTGGTAATTTGCCTGGAAGCTGCCTCAGATATGTATGGAATGAAGCAAGATACACATTAACAAGTTAGTTAAGGAGTAGAAGGGTGATATGGGAAGGTTTTAGAGAACTTGAACGCTGAAGAGGTTTTTGCAAGATGGGTTGTTTACCAGGCGTAAAGAAGGGGAAGAGCATTTCAGGAAGAAGGAACAGCATATGAAAAGGGACAGAGGCATGAACAGTATTGTGTATTTAGGAACCAAACTAGTTCAACATTGACCCAGTACCAGATGCAAGAGATGGAGTGAAAGGCAGAGGGCAGGTGACAGAAGGCTTTATCTGTCATCATAGGATAATTAGCTGGAGAGACCATGGAGAGGCAGTAAAGAAACTGGTGATACCATCAGGTACAGATGGATCATTCCGATGAAGGACTTTTTTTTACTTTATATAATGACTACTATATAAACACAGAGAAAAATAGAGTAGTATAATGAACCACCATAAACAAAGATTTGACAATTACTAACATTTTAAAAATAGTATTTATTGAGGAAAATTTCAAGAATAAACAAAAGTGAGAAAATAAGACAATAAAGCTCTATGTACCCATGAACCAGTTTCAACAATTATCAACCCATTGCCAATTTTATCTATGTTCCCACACTTCCCTCCATTACCGGATTTTTGAGGCACATTCCAAATACATCATTTCATCTGTACACATACAAATATATATCTCTAAAGAAAGGACCCATATAAAAACTGCAATATCACCATCATATCTAAGAAATAACAAGGATTTCTTTTTTTTCTTTTCTTTTTTTTAGGAAAGTGACTTTTTTTTTATTATTTCAATAGGTTTTTGGGGAACAGATGCTCTTTGGTTATATGAATAAGTTCTTTAGTGGTGATTTCTGAGATTTTGGTGCACCCATCACCCAAGCAGTGTACACTGTACCGAACGTGTAGTCTTTTATCCCTCACCCCTCTCCTACCTTTTCCCCCGAGAGCCCAAAGTCCATTGTATCATTCTTATGCCTTTGCGTCCTCATAGCTTAGCTCTCACTTTTTTTTTTTTTTTTTAGATGAAATCACGCTTTTGTTGCCCAGCCTGGAGTGCAATGGCACCATCTTGGCTCACCACAACCTCTGCCTCCTGGGTTCAAGCGATTCTCCTGCCTCAGCCTCCTGAATAGCTGGGATTACAGGCGCCCGCCACCACGCCTGGTTAATTTTTGTATTTTTAGTAGAGATGGGGTTTCACCATGTTGGTCAGGCTGGTCTCAAACTCCTGACCTCAGGTGATCTTCCCGCCTTGGCCTCCCAAAGTGCTGGGATTACAGGTGTGAGCCACCGCGCCCAGCCAGCCTCCATTTATGAGTGAGAACATACAATGTTTGGTTTTCCATTCCTGAGTTACTTAACAACATCAAATATCCTGCCAGAATTTAAGTTCCGCTTACCTCATAAAGGTATTTGTTTGAATTGGGATTTAAATAAAGTTTATATATTGCACAATTGAAATGCTCCTTAAATGTCTTTTTTGTTTGTTTAATCAATCCTTTATTTGTAGACATTTGATTCATTAAAAAATTTTAATTGTGGTAAAATACACATAACATGAAACGTATCATCTTAACCATTTTTAAGTGTACATTTCAGTAGTATTAAGTACATTCACATTATTGTGGAACCGTCACCAACGTCTATCTCCAGAACTCTTTTCATCTTGCAAACTGAAATTGTGTACTCATTAAATTATAGCTCCCCACTCCACACTCTACTCAACCTCTGGAAAGTGCCATTCTTTCTGTCTCTGTAGATTTGACTACTTCTAGGTACTGCATTTAAGTAGAATCATACAGTATTTGTCTTTTTGTGACTGCCTTGTGTTACGTAGCATAATATCCTCAAGATTCATCCATGTTGTAGCACATGTCAGTTTCCTTTTTAAGGCACAGTAATATTTCATTGTATGTGTACATCTTGTTTATCCATTCGTCCATTGAAGGACACTTGTGTTGCTTCCACATTTTGATGATTGTAAACAATGCCGCTATGAACGTGGGTATACAAATATCTCTTTGAGACTCTGCTTTCAATTTTGTGAGACATGTTAGCAGAGCAAAATTTCAGGATCTTATGGAGATTCTTTTTAAGTTTTTGAGGAACCAGTATAATGTTTTTCATTGCAGCTGAACCACTTTCTATTTCCACCAACAGTCTCAAGAATTTAATTTCTCCACATCCTCACTAACACTTGTTATTTTTTGGTGTTTTGATAGTAGCCACCCTAATGTGTGTAAATTGTTTTCTCATTGTGGTTTTGATGTGCATTCCCCTAATCATTAGTGATGTTGAGCATCTTTTCATGTGCTTATTGGCCATTTGTAGATCGTTGGAAAAATGTCTGTTCAAGTCCATTGCCTATTTTTTAATCATTTTGGTTTTTGATGTTGAGTTGTCTCAGTTCCTTAATATTTTGGATGTAAACTCCTTGTCAGATATATGATTTGCAAATATTTTCTCCCATTCTGTGGATTGTATTTTATTTTGTTGGTTGTGCCCTTTGATGCACAGAAGTTTTAAATCCTAATATAGTTCAATTTATCTATTTTTTTATTTGTTGTCTGTGCTTTGGTTGTCATACGTAGAATTTTTTTTTTTTTTTTTGAGACGGAGTCTTCTCACTCTGTCGCCCCCCCAGACTGGAGTGCAGTGGCTCGATGTCGGCTCACTGCAAGATCCGCCTCCCGGGTTCATGCCATTCTCCTGCCTCATCCTCCTGAGCAGCTGGGACTACAGGCGCCCGCCACCATGCCCAACTAATTTTTTGTATTTTTAGTAAAGACTGGGTTTCACCGTGTTAGCCAGGATGGTCTCAATCTCCTGACCTCGTGATCCGCCTGCCTCGGCCTCCCAAAGTGCTGGGATTACAGGCGTGAGCCACCGCACCTGGCCTGTCATACGTAGAATTTTTAAAGGATAAAACTGTTAAGAGTTCATACTGACAGTTTCGAATTCAAATTCTGCACTACAAGTTTTTTCTTTTTAGCTTAACTTCAGCAAACTTTTTAAAATTTCATTTTTTATTAACAAATAATAATTGTACATAGTCATGGGGTACATAGTGAAGTTTTGATACATATTATGTATAGTGATCAGATTAGGGTAATTAGCATTTCCATCATCTCAAACATTTATCATTTCTTTATATTGGGAATGTTCAATATTCCTCCTTCTAGCTATTTGAAACTATACATTATTGTTAGCTATAGTCATCCCACAGTGGTACAGAACACAAACTCACCTTTTTAATCCTTTTCTCATGCCAAAATCCCAGGTCCTAATAGCATCAACGTAATAACTACTTTTCTCTGTACCACAATATACATCCAAATAAGTGTGCAAATCACTTTACACAATAAACAAGGTGTATTTTGAGAAGTCTGGCCTTTATCCTTATTGCATTTGCATCCACCCTGTTTTCTCCCTTAAATGGCACCTTTTAAAAAATGTTTTGAGTTAGCCTTCCATTTAAAATATATATAAAATCCCTCCTTCTTAGATAAATGTTAGTTTATGATGTACATTTTTATCTACCTCCTTTTTTAACTTAATATATTCTAGTGGTCATCATGCCATGCAGCAAATAAGATTTTGCTCATTAATTTTTTTTTTTTTTGAGACAGGGTCTCATTCTGCCACCCAGACTGAAGTGCAGTGGTGTGATCACAGCTCACTGTAGGCTCAACCTCCTGGCCACAAGCAATTCCCCCATCTCAGACTCCCAATTAGCTGTGACCATAGGTGTGTGCCACCATGCCCAGCTAATTTTTCAGTTTTGTAGAGATGGGGGTCTCCCTGTTTCCGAAAGTAGTCTTGAACTCCTGAGCTCAAGTCATCCTCCTGCCTCAGCCTCCTAATGTGCTGGGATTGCAGGCATGCACTACCATGCCTGGCTACTCATTACTTTTTAAAATAGCAATATAGCACTCTATTCTGTGTGGATATATTATAGTTCATTCAATCAGTCTTCTATTGATAGATGTTTGGTTGTTTTCATTTTTAGTTTAGTTAATACAAATACATCTACCACATTTTGTCACATTTGATTAATCTTTTCTGTTAATTATTTTAAAGAAAAATACAGACATGGTATTTTTTCCAACTTAATGTATATCTCTAAAAATAATATGCTAACTAATCATACTACCATTATCATACCTAACATAATTAACAAAGTGGCAGTTGGTTTTCAGAAAGAGCAAGAAGAGAGAGCCACTACTGTGGTGAGAAAAACCAAAACTAAAGCAGTGGCAGTGTATATTGACAATAGGAAATTTACTCAATGGACATTTAGGGGTGGGGTGTCAGGGGGAGTTATTCAGCAAGCCTTTGTGATATAATAAGCATTTTTATTGTGGTTATTTTAAGATGACTTCAGTTTACCTACTATGAGGGTAAAAAAAACTCCTTTGATTATGTACACACTTCCATTCTATTATAGTCCATATGGCTTTTAATCTTAAAGCATGATTCTTGAGGAAAATGAATCCTTGAGGGAACAAAAAGATAGGTAGAATAAAGAACATTTACCCCATTTGTCACAAAGACACTAGTCATACCAGAAAATAAAGGGGACAGCACATAACTCAGGAAATATGCAGTAAAATTATGGTCTTCAGCCTAATCCCCACTTTCTTGAGCAAAACAAGGCATGTGGTTTTGTCCATGACCAGTCAAGATATTCTAGATGTCCTCATGACCAAATGAGTCTGTAATTTCAAAGGTGTATTTCATACATTTTATATTGGTAAGTTAGAGAACCTTTTATGAAAAGTTTGACATTAACAGTGGAAAACCTAATGTATAATATGAAATGGAGAATAATCTTCCACAATAGTGCAACTACACATGTAGATTATCATCTCATTTATTCAATCATTCTGCAATTTTGTAGCATAATAAAAATACCATAGAGTATTTGACTGAGTGTCAGGGATTGTGCCAGGTGCTGGGAGTACAAAGACAAATAATATATGCTCTTTGCCAAAGAACTCACAGACTAACTGGGGATAAAGACTTGCAGGAAAATACTCAGCATATAGGGTAGAGATATGTGAGAGTTACTAAGGGAGTTGGGGATTAGAGGGAAACTCACTCAGTCCAGAAGTGGGGTGGGGAAATGAGCCAGTAAGGACAGTTTTCATTGAGTAGGTGACATATGCAGGAGGTTGATCAGTTGGACTTCATGCGATGGATAAGGAGCATAGCATGAACTGGAAATGGACAGGAACACTTCTGAGAGGTTTCTGGTGTGGATGTACCACTATCTCACTGGTGTTTTATGGAAATCACTTGATTTTAGTGTGGAGAGTGAAATGGAGGTGGGAGTAACTGGCAGTTACTTCCATTACCGCCAGTGGTTTCTAGCCACTTAGAAGTAACTTCAAGAATACAGATGAGGCCCTCAACTAAGGGGCGAAGGAAAATCAAGATGAATTTAGGATGTAGGATTAAAAGAATTTGGTGACAGATTGGATGTAAATAGTAAGAGAGAAAGGGGTCAGAAATAAATAGAATGTTTTAGTTTTGACAATGGGGTCGTTAACTAGGAAATGAAATTTTGGAGAAAACAGAGATTTAGCAGGGAGAAAAGGAAATAATGAGTTTAGTTTAGAGCACACCAAATACATGCTTATGGGACATGTAGTTGCAGTGACTATTAGGGAATAGCAGCAGATGGGTGAAGAAGGTAGAGAAGAGAAGTTTTCTGTGTAAAGTCTATCCAGGGAAAACATCTACCTTGAGAAAATGCCAGCCATAGAGCCACGTGCATACCACCATTTGTGGAAGGTTAAAGAATTATAGGAGACTGAAAGAGATTTAGAATTAGTAGCCAGCAGAAATACAGGAGAAAAATCAAGGTGGAGACATTTCTCTGAAGCCTATCAAGAAGAAAGAACCAACGAAGGAGAAGTCAGGAGTGTCAGGCACTGTAAAAAGATAAAAACAGACTAGGAACAAAATGCTGACTTTACTGTAATTAGTGACAGTAAGTCAAGTTTCAGTAGAATATGGGATTAGAAACCAGATTGCAGTCAACTGGGATGTGTCAGCAAATGAAGAATCAACAAGCCTGAGAACAATGGGTACCAGTCATTAAATACCTAATCTTTCAAAGAAGTATTATAGTATTGTGCCATTTTACTTGAGGGAAGGAGACTTGCTTAAGGCCACTGGGCTAGTCAGTGGCAAGGTAAGCATTTTAACATAGGATTGTCCAGTTTCCAAACTGGTAATGCTTCTTCCACAATATGTTTTCTTAAAGTTTGCCAGTGAAAGGATGAGGGAGACACTGGTGAACTGTTAGGAAAGAATTGTCAAGGGAATATTCTTTCTAGAATGGTAGAAACTTGAGCATGCTTTCAGGCATATGAGAAGGAGCCAGTGGAAAGGGAAGAGAGATAGATGATGAAGGTCACTGAAGACCTAGCAGGAACTAGAGCACTCATGTCTCTCTAAGAATAAGCAATTCCATATACTAGTAATTATTCAATTTGCTCTTCCCTAAGATTTTCCTCATGACATCAAATCAACCTTTCAGGCCTCATAATTTTATTAATTGAAAAATATTAAATACTCTATATCATCTCGAACCATCTTTGGTCATAAAATTTTATCTTTATAGCTTTTCCTATAAAGTCTGCCATCCCAGAACTAGAAAGAACTGACCAAGATTACATGGTTTCTGTTTCGGTCTCCAACCTAAATTTGCCACAAATATTCCTGCCTATAAAAGGTAGCTACTAGGAATATTATCAACACTTAGCTTAATTATGTTTAACTTTAGATAATAGAGAGCAAATCTTTGCCAAAAGACTCCTGGCTGAATTCATGCATAGAAGTACCGTCATAATCAATTGCCAGGTCTGGAAACATGATATTCTTGATAAAGAATTGTCCTTTGAGCTGTCTAAACTTGGGCAACCAGTATTGGGACTTTTTCTTCCATTCATTCATTTTGATTTGACATCTTCATGGGGGACTCCACCCAGCAGGTGTTCAGAAAGGTTTAAAATGGCATTTTTTCTCCTGTCTAGGGTGTGAAAAAATGTACTGTTTTGACATGAAGTTCTTCCAGACTGTCTAAACATTTTAGGCAGCCACAAGACAATCACAGGTTGTCTGGGGGGAACACTGACAGTCGGAGAATACTGCCAGTGGGAGTAGAAATTTTCTTCTTTATCTCATTTTTTAAGCACCCCTAAAGCAGTAAAAATCATCTCTGGTCTATTTACTTATTGGCTCCAACTCTTGTGATGCTTTATCTGGGGGTATTTTTTTTCAATAGTGGCATTTGTCAGCTTTTCACATTTCTTTGACATCTTTGGGACAATCATTATACAAGTCTTGGTAGTCCTAATATGTGGCTTTCTATGGCTTTCTTCAGTGGTCATTTGTATGTATTATGAGCATTTTTAGAATGCTCAAAACAGTATACATTTCCACATTCTAGATACGGGAGCACTTGGGGAAATTTTGTAGCCACAAATCTGCTCCTTGTTTGGAAAAGTTCCCTAAGATGGCCTACAATCAAATCACCCATCTCCTTGGAACACAAGAAATTGTACTTATGATCTATGTGGAATCTCAGGTAAGTATGTCTGGGCAGGCTATTATCCCCATGTTAGTGCCATTGTGAAGAATCATTCATTAGAGCACAGGGAAGTAAAGGTCGTGTGTATTTTCTTCCCAGGCATTTGCATGATCATGCACTCTGAAGGCTGGGTTATTTTTTACTCTGAAGGGTTAAGTGCTGAGAGTATGGACAGCACAAAGTGTCCTCGTCCAGCCTCTGTCCGCCTCCATCTCTACAAAGACCTTGAATCATGTTTCATAGGGAAGATTAAGGCCAACGGTCATGAGCTTGATCAGCGTCTTCCCCAAACATCTCTAATCCAATTCCCTTATCTGCCCACTTTCAACTTCATCATGCCTTTCTCAGGAGAAAGGGTAATCTTTATGCAGTTCAGAGTCAAATCTTTCTACTGTCATCTTTATCCTGCCTTCTCCCACTTCCTCACAAGTTATTCCCTCTCTTTCATGTTTCAAATGTCTGAATTCTTAAGGAAAACAACAACAACAAAAAAAAAAACTAAAATTAAAAGAGCAAACAGCCCAACCTTGCACTCAGTGTCCATTTACAGTCAAGTACCTTAACAGAATTATCTACACATAGGGTCTCACCACCCATTGACTCCTCTATCTTCAACGAGGCCTCTGCCTCTGCCACTGCCCTGAAATTGCTAAGAGGCAAAGACCTCCTCTACACCAGTTCCAACATCCCTTTTCTGGCCTAACTTGATTGCTTTTCTGGGCCATCTAACACCTCTGACCCCTTTATTTTCCTTGAAATTTGGCTTTGGTGTCACCAGTTTCTCCCCTCTACATCTCTGGCTGAAAGTTCAGCCTGACTTGTACTTTTCTTTTCTTATTGCCCCTTGAATGGTAGTATTTCTCAAGATTCTATCTTTGCCCCTTGTATTTTCTCAGGTCCATATTCTGTTCAGATCTTACCATCCACCTCCACTGCTGTTACTATTGTTTATACACTGATGACTCTGAAGTCTATCTTCAGTTCAGACCTCTCTTCTGAGCTCCTGGTATTGTTTGGATGTTTCAAAGGCACCTCAAACTCAAAGTATTCCAAGCTTATTAGCTTCTTCTTTTTAGCTGACTTCTTCTCCTGTGGTTCCTCCACTCACTCAGCCCCCTAAGCAAGATCCTCAGGAGCCGTTGCCAACTCCCTGTACTCACCAGCTGCACATCTTAATGCACTTAAAGCACTGGCAAGTTTGTTTTCTTTGTAATTTCACAGCTACCCCCACTACAAACTTAATGCCTCACAGATTGTTGAAAATTAAATGATGTACCACATATGCCTGGCATCTGATAAAAACGTTAATTGAATGCAAATCTTAAAAATCAGCATTTCCAGGTGTTTGAATTGCTTGGTATCCATTGGGAATTAACATTTCCTTTTCCACGTCATCAAAATCTATGTGATTCACACGCTACACACAGGAACAGCAAGTCACTAAATACAGTCTTCTGGCTTTAAAGATTTGTATCACTGAATGGTTCCAGAAATGAGAGGATTGTTCTGAATTTAGAATCCTTAGTGACTCCTGATGTGATTTAGGATTCCAGTGGAAATAGGTGTAGCGAGGGCCTGAAATGTATAAATTTTTTGACTGTTTTATTTTGAGAGGTACCACCAATTCAAAACTGTGTCTTCTCCCTGTGGAATCTCCCTTTTCTAGGTCTTGTGGGCTGAGTAGCTGCACAACATAATACAACCTTCTATTCTCTTACTCCTGTGAACATTTCCTTTTTGTGAAGAGGAGAACCATGTAAATACAAGTTTTATTTCATTGAACATTCAACCATGTGAAAATGTAATAATAAGTAATTAATTTTTTTTGGTATTCTCAAATACATTACAGATTATCTGACCTATCACATATTTGTCATACAATGAACTTTGTTGCATTGCTATTAATAGAGATGAGAGAATCAGAAAATTAATTAGTTTGGATCCTGTTAATTGCAGGTAACAGAAACCTGACTCTATTCTCTTAATAACACAGTAAATTTACTGATGCGAGTAACTGAAATTCCAGAGGCAGGGCAGGCTTTTCTTCTCTTCAATTCATTCATCCTCCTCATCCTCCCTATGTCAGCAGGAACCAGAGCCAACTATTTCCACAGATAGACAGAATAAGAGAGGAGCGGGGTGGCGGGGCAGTGGGGTGGAGAGAGAGACAGAGAGAGAGAGACAGAGAGAGAGAGATCCTCTTTCCATAACCATAGAGTAAAAATTGCGGTAATTGGACCATGCCAGAACTATTGATTGTTGTCTGGGCAATACTATGTGTGGACTGGCTTAGATCTGGATGGCAAGGAAGCGGTTTTAAACTGAGAATGAGCCACCTGAAGTAGATGTGCTGTTTAATTAAATGGTGGCTCCTATGGAGAAATGTCATTGAATTAGGAGAGGGGAAGACATAGGAAGCTAACAAATGTCTATTACATGAAGCATAATTAAAAGAAAATGGAAGAGGAAATAAAAGAGAAAGTAAGGAATTCCAGGAAGATTCCATGGAAGAAAAAAGAAGATTCAGTAGTGGCCACAGGGCTGCTAAAAAATGGATGACAAAAGAAACAGAAGGAAGAAAAATAAAGATTTTTTAAGATTTTACTTTAAGTTCTGGGATACATGTGCAGAATGTGCAGGTTTGTTACATAGTTATACATGTGCTATGGGGGTTTGCTGCACCTATCAATCTGTCATCTAGGTTTTAAGCCCCACATGCCTTAGGTATTTGTCCTAATGCTCTCCCTCCCCTTGCCTCCAACCCCCGCAACAGGCCCTGGAGTGTGATGTTCCCCTCCCTGTATCCATGTGTTCACACTGTTCAACTCCCACTTATGAGTGATAACATGCAGTGTCTAGTTTTCCGTTCTTGTGTTAGTGTCCCTGCAAAGGACATGAACTCATTCTTTTTATGGCTGCATAACATTCCATGGTATATATGTGCCACTTTTTTTTATCCAGTCAATCATTGGTGGGCATTTGGGTTGGTTCCAAGTCTTTGCTATAGTAAACAGTGCTGCAATAAACATACGTGTGCATGTGTCTTTATAGTAGAATGATTTACAATCCTTTGGATACATACCCAGTAATGGGATTGCTGGGTCAAATGGTATTTCTGGTTCTAGATTCTTGAGGAACTGACACACTGTCTTCCACAATGGTTGAACTAATTTAAAATCCGTCTGACAGTGTAAAAGCGTTCCTATTTCTCCACATCCTCTCCAGCATCTGTTGTTTCCTGACTTTTTAATGATCGCCGTTCTAACTGGTGTGAGATGGTATCTTACTGTGGTTTTGATTTGGATTTCTCTAATGACCAATGATGATGAGCTTTTTTTCATATGTTTGTTGGCCACATAATTGTCTTCTTTTGAGAAGTGTCTGCACATATCATTTGCCCACTTTTTGATGAGATTGGTTTTTTTCATGTAAATTTAAGTTCTTTGTAGATTCTGGATATTAGCCATTTGTCAAATGCATAGTTTGCAAAAATTTTCTCCCATTCTGTAGGTTGCCTGTTCACTCTGATGATAGTTTCTTTTGCTGTGCAGAAACTCTTTAGTTTGATTAGATACCACTTGTCAATTTTGACTTTTGTTGCAATTGCTTTTGGTGTTTTAGTTATGAAGTCTTTGCCCATGCCTATGTCCTGAATGGTACTGCCTAGGTTTTCTTCTAGGGTTTTTATGGTTTTAGGTCTTACATTTATGTATTTCATCCATCTTGAGTTAATTTTTGTATAAGGTTTAAGGAAGGGGTCGAGTTTCAGTTTTCTGCATATGGCTAGCCAGTTTTCCCAGCACCATTTATTAAATAGGGAATCCTTTCCCTATTGCTTGTTTTTGTCAGGTTTGTCAAAGATCAGATGGTTGTAGAGGTGTGGTGTTATTTCTGAGGCCTCTGTTCTGTTCCATTGGTCTATATATCTGTTTTGGTACCAGTACCATGCTGTTTTGGTTACTGTAATCTTGTAGTATAGTTTGAAGTCAGGTAGCATGATGCCTCCAGCTTTGTTCTTTTTGCTTAGGATTGTCTTGGCTATATGGGCTCTTTTTTGGTTCCATATGAAATTTAAAGTAGTTTTTTCTAATTCTGCAAAGAAAGTCAATAGTAGTTTGATGGGAATAGTATTGAATATATAAATTATTTTGGGCAATATGGCCATTCACAATATTGATTCTTCCTCTCCATGAGCATGGAATTTTTTTCCATTTTTTGTGTGTGTCGTCTATTATTTCCTTGAGCAGTGGTTTGTAGTTCTCCTTGAAGAGGTCATACATGTCCCTTGTAAGTTGTATTCCTAGGTATTTTATTCTCTTTGTAGCAATTATGGATGAGAGTTCACTCATGACTCGGCTCTCTGCTTATTTATTATTAGTGTATAGGAATGCTTGTGATTTTTGCACATTGATTTTGTATCCTGAGACTTTGCTGTAGTTGCTTATTAGCTTAAGGAGTTTTCGGGCTGAGACAATGGGATTTTCTAAATATACATTCATGTCATCTGTAAACAGAAACAATTTGACTTCATGTCTTCCTATTTGAATAGCCTTAATTTCTTTCTCTTGCCTGATTGCTCTTGCCAGAACTTCCAATACTATGTTGAATAGGAGTGGTGAGAGAGGGCATCCTTGTCTTGTGCCAGTTTTCAAAGGGAATGCTTCCAGCTTTTGCCCATTCAGTATGATATTGGCTATGGGTTTCTCATAAATAGCTCTTATTATTTTGAGATGTGTTCCATCAATACCCAGTTTATTGATTGTTTTTAGCATGAAGGGATGTTGAATTATATCGAAGGCCTTTTCTGCATCTATTGAGATAATCATGTGGTTTTTGTCACTAGTTCTATTTATGTAATGGATTACTTTATTGATTTGCATATGTTGAACCAGCCTTGTGAAGGAGAAATAAAATCCTTTCCAGAGAAGCAAATGCTGAGGGATTTTGTCACCACCAGGCCTGCCTTACAAGAGCTCCTGAAGGAAGCACTAAATATGGAAAGGAAAAACCGGTACCAGCCACTGGAAAAACACACCAAAATATAAAGACCAATGATACTATGAAGAAACCGCATCAACTAATGTGCAAAATAACTAGCTAGCATCATGGTGACAGGATCAAATTCACACATAACACATACATTTAATTGACCTTAAATGTAAATGGGCTAAATGCCCCAAGTAAAAGACACAGACAGGCAAATTGGATAAAGAGTCAAGACCCATCAGTGTGTTGTATTCAGGAGACCTATCTCATGTGTGAAGACATACATAGGATCAAAATAAAGGGATGGAAGGAGATTTACCAAGCAAATGGAAAGCAAAAAAAAAAGCA
The DNA here is from genome assembly GCF_000001405.40 of Homo sapiens. Taxonomy (NCBI): domain Eukaryota; kingdom Metazoa; phylum Chordata; class Mammalia; order Primates; family Hominidae; genus Homo; species Homo sapiens. The sequence goes on from NC_000006.12 coordinate 116,489,917, forward strand.
GGGGTTGCAATCCTAGTCTCTGATAAAACAGACTTTAAGCCAACAAAGATAGAAAAAGACAAAAAAGAGCAATACATAATGGTAAAGGGACCAATGCAACAACAAGAGCTAACTATCCTAAATATATATGCACCCAGTACAGGAACACCCAGATTCATAAAAGAAGTTCTTAGAGACCTACAAAGAGACTTAGACTCCCACACAATAATAATGGGAGACTTTAATACACCACTGTCAATATTAGACAGATCAAAAGGAAAATTAACAAGGATATCCAGGACTTGACCTCAGCTCTGGACCAAGCGGACCTAATAGACATCTACAGAACTCTCCACCCCAAATCAACAGAATATACATTCTTCTCAGGACCACATCACACTTATTCTAAAATTGACCACATAATTGGAAGTAAAACCCTCCTCAGCAAATGCAAAAGAACAGAAATCATAACAAACTGTCTCTCAGACCACAGTGCAATCAAATTAAAACTCAGGAATAAGAAACTCACTCAAAACCAGACAACTACATGGAAATTGAACAACCTGCTCCTCAATGACTACTGGGTAAATAACGAAATTAAGGCAGAAATAAATAAGTTATTTGAAACCAATGAGAACAAAGAGACAACATACCAGAATCTCTGGGATACAGCTAAAGCAGTGTCACGAGGGAAATTTATAGAACTAAATGCCCACATCAGAAAGCAGGAAAGATCTGAAATTGACACCCAAACATCACAATTAAAATAATTAGAGAAGCAAGAGCAAATAAATTCAAAAGATAGCAGAAGACAAGAAATAACTAAGATCAGAGAAGAACTGACAGAGACAGAGACATGAAAGACTCTTCAAAAAAATCAGTGAATCCAGGAGCTGGTTTTTGAAAAGATTAACAAAATAGATAGATCACTAGTTAAACTAATAAAAAAGAAAAGAGAGAAGAATCAAATAGACACAATAAAAAATGATAAGGGGGATATCACCACTGATCCCATAGAAATACAAACTATGATCAGAGAATACTATAAACACCTCTATTAGATCAATAAGAAAGAAAATTTACAAGGATATTCATGACTTGAACTCAGCTCTGGACCAAGTGGACCTAATAGACATCTACAGAACTCTCCAGCCCAAATCAACTGGAAAAAGATTTCAACAAATAAACTGGAAAATCTAGAAGAAATGGATAAATTCCTGGACATATACACCCTCCCAAGACTAAACAGGAAGAAGTTGAATTCCTGAATAGACCAATAACAAGTTTTGAAATTGAGGCAGTAATTAATAGCCTACCAACCAAAAAAAGTCCAGGACCAGATGGATTCACAGCCAAATTCTACCTGAGATGAAAAGAGGAGCCGGTACCATTCCTTCTGAAACTATTCCAAACAATAGAAAAAGAGAGAATCCTCCCTAACTTATTTTGTAAGGCCAGCATCATCCTGATACCAAAACCTGGCAGAGATGCAACAAAAAAGAAAATTCCAGGCCAATATCCCTGATAGACATCGATAGAAAAATCCTCAATAAAATACTGGCAAACTAAATCCAGCAACACATCAAAATGCTTATCCACCACAATCAAGTTGGCTTCATCCCTGGGACACAAATAAAGATTTAATTGGGAAAGACAGAGCCTGGGTTCAAGGGAGAACAAGAATTACCCCCAGAAGGTCTATTTCTTGACTTTTTTTTTTTTTGTGAAGGGGCTCCAACTTTTGATTTGTTTTGTTTAGCTCTTCCTTTCTAATGAAAATAAAATTTTGCTAATGATTATTGTGGCTGTGCCTTGTTTTCAATGTTAGGGTGACACTTGCTAACTGAATAAGAATTGACCATTTCCTTCTGAGATCACACACTGGTACATTATACCTGCTATATCCCTTCCTGTCTGTTGGTGGTTTGTCATAGACCCTACTGGTCAACCACTGGTTATGTCCAGCTAAAGTTCTGGAAGGTTTATTAGGATGAAGAAATGCAGACACTGGTCAGATTTTTCAAGGAATATGCAACTAAGTGGAGTAAATAAAATTTGGCTTTCTCTCTTAATAAGAAGCATACAGAGTCTTTTGTCACATGAAGTTTCCAGAGCTGGGAGGATGCATCCATCACAGACTCTTCCAGTGTTACTGAAGAGATATTAACTTCCAAAGCTGGTGAAGTAAACTGAAGTGTTACAACCACCCAGAGTCTACAGCCCAGTGGGAGACACTTAACAATGACACTTAGCATTTACTGTGTTAGTTAACATTTAGCAGATCTTTGTTAAAGTAGTAGCAGATTTTTCTTAAAGTAGTCTCTGGTTACAAAAGTTTTAATATCGTCCTCTTACTTCAAGCATTTGATTTTCCAAATTTCTCCTTTTGTCTCTCATAAACAGGGAGAAGAGGAAACTTTCCACTTATTCACCATCATTCATTCCAACTGCTAAACAGATCCAGGCTCCTAACAGCTAATAAATGAAACTGAGAGGTTTGAGAAGACAATAAGTAAGTCTGCAGGACGCTGAGGGAGGTATTTCTGATTCCTAGCAACTGCAAACAGTGAATAGATAACCAAAGGAGACCTCCTCAGTTAATAGCTTGGGCAATATCTGGTGTAGTCACTTAAGAGCATTGCGCTACGTCTCTGCCCCAAACATTTCCTCCCCTTTTGCTTTGCTGAGGTGACAAAAAAACCTCTGCTTTAATCAAGGTTTTGGGTTCAGAGTAAAGGCTTTTATAAAATAAAAATATAAAATAATATAAAATAAAAATATTATATAACCCTGTAGTTATGCTGTGTAGTTATGCTGTGTAACTTCCTCAAGCCCTTTATCAGAGAAACCCAGCTTTACACAATGGTGATGAAAACACACTTGGAGCCCAGGGGAGGATGTGTAATCTCTATTGTTTCTATGCGTCACCGCTCAGTTGGTGGAGAGAGACCATTTCATGGGTCTCTGACAGTCTTATTGCCCTGGTTTTCTTTGATTTTTTTCTTTTCTACCCATCTCCTCTCTTTCTCTCCATGGTACTGGATCCTCTCCATTCATTCTTTGTGTCAAAGGTCAAGGAGACAAAACAAAACTTTGACTGGGAATTCTAGACCAGTGCCGTCCATTAGAGTAGCCACTAGACACACATAGCTATCAAACATGTAAAATGTGACTAGTGTGACTGAATTTTAAATTCAGTTTAATTTTAATTAATTTAGATTTAAAAATTGAGGCTATTAAACACCACTAAACACAACTTTGTTATTTTGGTAGAACTACATTTCACTCCAGCCTTTGAAAATTTACCATGAGTTGAGATGTGCTAAGAATGTCAAATACACATGGGAGTTCAAATAGTTAGTATAAAAAATATATAAAATGTCTCGTTAATAATTTTTATATTGGCTGGGTATGGGTACCTCATTCCTATAATCCCAATACTTTGGGAGGCCAAGGTGGGAGGATCACTTGAGGCCAGGATTTAAGACCAGCCTGAGCAACAAAGCAAGACCTCCATCTCTACCAAAAATAGTAATAATTATATTTATTATGATAGATAATAATAACATTTATTATATTACTATGTTGAAATAAAAATTTTTGGATAATTAAAATAAATGATATATTATTAAAACTAATGTCACCTATTTCTTTTTATTATTTAATATGGCTATAAGAAAATATAAAATTCTATAGGTGGTTCTCATAATTCTAATATATTCAATGCCAAGAGGCTCCCCTCCTTCCACGGTGAGAAAAACAAGGGATGGGGAACAAGCCTCATCCTGAAGCCATCATCAGTTCCTATACCCAGCATCACTGAGCATACCAGATTAAGCTGTCTTCAGCAGGGTGGGGAACAAAGACTTTGGGCCAAGGGACTTTTGATGGTTGGGTTAGGAGAGAAAGAAGAGGAAGGTGTAGACAGGTAGGAGAATACCCCAAGGCCTGGAATATTTTCAGGATAGCTAGTTGGGTGCTAATTTAAGAGGGAGGGCCTTAGGCATGAATATCTTGGGTTCCTGGGAGGAATGCATATATTATAAATGAGAAAGAGGCAACTGAGCAGAAGATGGAAAAAATCCTAAAAAGAAGCTTTAGGATAGAGTGTAGGCAAGAATTCTTATGGAGGCATCAGTTTAAAATACATGACATTGTGATACTCCTTCTAATGTCAGATATCTTCTTCCAGATTCTATTCCTGGTCTTCTGTGGAGCAGGTTTGAAGGTTCTTCCATCGATGCCTCAGCTGTGTGCCAATGACCCTATTTCCTTTATGCCTATTGCAATGTCCTTTTTAAGAGACAGTTGACTAAGTGGAGAACAAACAATTTCCCTGCAGTGTTCTAAAGTCCAAAAATGTAGAATTTCAGTGGTCATTTATATCGTTTAAACTGTACCCATTGGTACAGTTTTAGACATTTATTGCATCCTGATTTTAAAGGGGTGGGGAAAGAGAGAGAGAGAGAGAGACAGAGAGAGAGAGAGAGATTATGTGCCTTGCCCAGGATCAGTCACTACTCAGGATCAGCTGAAGCCCCTAGAAACAGAACTGGACAGGGACTCAGAACAGGCTCCTGAATCCTAATTGACGTCTATCACGAACATATCACTTATACCAGTTTTATTTATTTTGATTATTTTTTAATTTTTATTTTTTTGTGGGTACATAGTAGCTATATTTATTTATGGGGTACATGAGATATTTTCATACAGGCATACAATACATAACAATCACATCGGGTAAATGGGGTATCCATTACCTCAAGCATTTATCTTTTCTGTCACAAACAATCCATTTTTATCTTAATTACTATTAAATGTACAAAAAATTATTATCAACTGTACTTACCCTGTTGCACTGTCAAATACTTGATCTTATTCATTCTTGTACATTTTTTTTTTAAGACAGGGTCTCACTCTGTTGCCCGGATTGGAGGGCAGTGGCACAATCATGGCTCACTGCAGCCTCAACCTCCTGGCCTTAATCAATCCTCCCACTTCAGCCTCCTGAGTAGCTGGGACCACAGGTATGCACTATACATACATATATATATATATATATATTTTTTTTTTTTTTTTTTTTTTTTTGTAGAGACAGGGGTCTATGTTACCCAAGCTGGTCTCAAACTCCTGAGCTCAAGCAATCCTCCCACTTTGGCATCCCAAAGTGCAGAGATTACAGGCTTGTGCCACCATGCCCGACCCAGATCTTATTCATTCTATCTAACTATATTTTTGTACCCATTAACCATCTCCACTCCTCTTGAAACTACCCTTCCCAGCCTCTGATATCCATCATTTTACTCCATATCTCCATGAGTCCACTGTTTTAATTTTTAGCTCCTACAAATAAATGAGAACATGCAAAGTCTGTCTTTCTGTCCTGACATATTTCATTGAACATAATGACCTCTAGTTCCATCCATGTTTTGCAAATGACAGGATCTCATTCTTCTTTATGGCTGAATAGTACTCCATTGTGTATATGTACCATATTTTCTTTATTTCATTAATCTATTGAAGGACACTTAGATTTCTTCCAAATCTTAGCTATCGTCAGTAGTTCTGCAGTAAACATGGGAGTGCAGATATCTCTTTGATATACTGATTTCCTTTATTTTGGGTATATATCCAGCAGTGGGATTGCTGGATCATATGATCATTCTATTTTTTGTTTTTTGAGGAACCTCCAAACCGTTCTCCATAGTGGTTATACTAATTTACATTCCCACCAACAGTGTACCAGAGTTCCCTCTTCTCCACATCTTTGCAAGCATTCACTATTGCCTGTTTTGGATAAAAGCCATTTTTAACTAGGGTGAGATAATATCTCATTATAGTTTTGATTTGCATTTCTCTGATGACCAATGATGTTGAGCACCTTTTCATATACCTGTTTGCCATTTGTATGTGTATGTCTTCTTTTGAGAAATGTCTATTCAGATCTTTTGCCCATCTTTAATTGGATTATTAATTTTAATTTTTTCCTATGGAGTTGGTTGAACTCCTTATATATTCTGGTTATTAATAGCACAAGGGTGTCAGATACATAGTTTACAAATATTTTCTCCAATTCCGTAGGGTGGTATCACACTAATTATAACTTGTACTTGCAATTTGGGCTCTCTGCAGAGCCCAGTAGATTCTGGGCTGCCTTGTAGGCCGCCCTTGTGTGCCAGTGGTCTGGTGAAGATTACTGTGTATTTAATTCGGTACACTTGAATTTTAAATGTGTTCTGGTCACAAAGAAAACATCCTTTGGAAGATTTTTTAGAGGATGAAAATGATAGTAGAAATTCTGAATTAATAAGCTTTGGGGTAAGAAAGTAATTTCAAAGAATATTATTTATCCTTTATTTTAGAAGTTTCCTGGCCTGACCATCAAGCAATATTTCATGAGAAAAGGAAGGAATTTGGTTGATGCCAGCTATATTAAAACTAAATAAATTAAAATTAAATGTTATTTATAAATGTTTCAAAATTATCATTGAATAAATAGCTTGACTTGGTGATTACAAATCAAGGGTAGCGTCAGAAGGCTAAAGCTATAAGCCAAGCTAATACATGAGAAAAATCAAATCATATTTTTTTAGAAATATGGAATTATTTATTTAAGGAATGCAATATACAGTATCTAGAAACTACTGTCTATATATAGGAAACTCTATGCTATATCATTTCATTCTTTTTTTTTCAGCAAAGAGACAAATACACAACTGTTTGTATTTGTGCTGCTTTTTTTTCCCATTACCATACGTGAATGGAATGAACAGCTTCTCTGAGGATGGATAGTGTAAGATGTGGAATTCCTGCCTGCTATCTTGTAAGGAGCTATTTGCATATGAAATTTTGTGGACATGAGATTGAAAATGCGTGATTTATAAGCAAAAGGAAAAAAAAACCTTTAAGCCTTCATGCCCTGCATTTCAAATTTCTGGCTGATTTATAAACCTTTCAAAGCTCATGCTATGAAGCAATTCAAAATTTCTATGTCTATACATGTTTAGCTAACATTAACTCAGCTAGCCGCCCCGTGGCATTTTCCGTGCTAGTCTTCATTTTTTCCCTCTATATTTTTTCTCGTCTCGCTTTTTTAGAAATGTTATTCCTATTTCTGTCACACTGTCACCTTTTAGTCTGTCTTGCAAGAATGTAACATCAGCCGCCAAATGAACCTAGGAAAGAAGAAAAAAACAGGCCTGTGTCATTCAATTAAAAAACAAAAAACTAAATTTTCTCAGTCTTTTTTCAGCTTTCTTTACTTTCCTTAAGAAATGATTTTTAAAAAAGCTTGTTCGTGGATAAAGGGCCCTTTACTGAGTGTCCTCCGGAGATGGTCCAGCTGTGTGTCAGCTCTGTGGTGTGAATCTGCAAAGAGGAGGGTGGTCCAGGCCAACTAGGATGACTGGGACACCCAGCCTCTGCCAAGCTTAGCTCAATGTGCAAGGCTGAACTCTGGATCCATCTTCAGAAGAACACAAATTCCCAGCTCGGGGATAGCCTTGACCCACTGTGCTTAGCCAGCAGAATTTCCAAGAATAAATGGATTCTTAAATGATTGCTCTCAAACAGATTTGCCATAAATCATTCTGTCATTAGCTGAATAACATAATCACTTATCCTAACAACATTTAGCAGTCACTTATGGCTTTGAGAGCTTTGAGAATAATATCAATTAAATGAATTATAGATATAAAATTAAAGATTGAATTTACAGACATGAATATTTGATACTCAGGCCTTCTTTTTCTCTGTAAGGTATTTCCCATTTCCCAGGCACTGAAGTAAGCAGGGCTTACTTCTTTATTCATTAAAATGTGTCCACATAAGAGCAGCATGATATTGCTGACCTACCCCCAATAGTGTATTTGTTCAGAGTTATTTTGATTTATTGGGAAAAATAAGATAAATAAGTAAAAGCACCTAGTAAAAGCAAATAATATGTGAAAAATGCCCACATGTAGCAGGCAATTAATTGATGTTTATTGAATCTTACCTAACTCAGTCCCCTCTCTCACTAAGAATTCCTTAGCTAGCCAGCCTCAATTTGTTAAACCATTAGTGTACCAAATTATCTGGCTCATACTGGGCCCGGCCTTGCAATGCCTACCATTTAACAGAGGATGTAGATTGCACTTGGAAATACAGAAGCAACATTCATCCTCAACTTTTTCTTCCATAAGACTTTTTAAGTCTTTGTCAAAATTTAACAGAACATAAATTAAATTAACAGGGAGACAATGTTGAAGCTATTTGGATATTTGGGGACACATGAGGTCTGATACCAGCTGTCATTCAGCAAATATAATCAACTGCTATTTATGAGAGTGGAAGACATTCTTATCCTATTATTGGCTTGGTTTTATGGTTTTTCCCTTTGCCCATAAACACTTATAATGCTTTCCCACCTCTTCCTTGATCTCATGGCCACCGACTACAGGACAAGTCTAAAAAGATGCTAGGGTAGACGCATGGAGAATCTGTGTGAACAATACATTATTTCTATTGTTTTATGCTTTTGGATTACTTGTTATTCTATTTTCCCCTAATTATCACAAATAATTTAAAATTACATGCATGCCTCATTATTAGGTAGCTCAATACATGGCAAGACTTTGGTTGCTATCTGGTTCCACCATTCTTAATAGCTAAGCTTCTGGGAAAATGAGACTTTGTTGACTGTTACCTCTTCTTAAGCTGTTGTTGGCTCACCAATCTATGACAGATTGTCTTCTTTTCCTCCACTTTCCCAAAGGAGCTTTTACCAAGGCCCTTCTGGGTCTTTTGGTTCCTAAATGTTGTGAATATTTTTCAGGTCCGGTTTAACTTAGACTCTTTGCTGTACTTGTTCTTATTAATCAGTCTGTCCTCTTGAAATGATCTCCTCTCTTGTTTCTATGACTCCTTCTTTTCCTACCTCTGATTTCTTTTTCTTGGTATCCTTTTCAGCCTTTGTGCCCTCTGTTTAACCTACTTATTATATTTTATTGCTTCCTATGGTTCTGTTACTCCCTTTTATTCTTGCTCTACAGACTCTGCCTAGGCATTCTTTTCCTATTCTAATGCTTCTTCAATCCATGTCTCTCTGTGATCTCCAGACAGGGATAAACAACTGCTTGCTGGATAGCCTCACTTGCATGTGTTAAACACCTCAACTCCAGCAGGCTCAAAATCGAACTCCTCACTTTGTCTCTACCAAGCCCAGATGTACTCCTCTTGGTTTTGTTCCTCTTGGTTTAATAGTACAACCATCTCTACAGGTTTCTCAGAAACTTACAAATCATTCTTGAATCTTTTTCTCAATTTCATTCCTTTCAGCCAGTTCATAACCTAGTCCATAACCTGTTCCATCTTTTTGATGTTGTTCAAATGGTCTTCCTCTCCCCATTCCTGCAGTCAGGGTTTTGTTCTCGTTTTACCTGAGGTTACCATCATAACTTCCAAAGTGCCCTAATCCTTTCCTTCAGCATTGTTCCCTCTGATATACTTTCATTTGGTTGATAAAGAAATGAAATTCCTAAAACACAAATTTCAAAATATTATTCTACTGTTTATAAACCTATATTGATTTCTGTTGCTTTCAATATAAAAATCTGAATTTCCAAGCTTGTCATATGAATCCCTTTTCTTAAAATCAGGCTTCTGTAAAGAATTTAAGCCTCCTTTCTCATGACAATCTGTCTCCCAATTTATATGTCAGTCATACTGAACTAATTCAAGTTCTTTGTTCCTTGAGTGAAACACTCTTTTTGTACCTTTGGACATGCTGATTCTTCTACCTGTTAGATTATTTTTCTCCTGCTCCTCTTACCCAAGGCTTTTATCTAACTCCTATTTTTCCTTCAAAAGCCAGTTTAGAGTTTCCTTAGGAAGTCTACAAGTTTTTCCTGCCACACGTCCTCTCATAGCCTTAATTATACTTCTTTGTACATCTGACTTTTCCATTAGACAGAAGATTCTTTAAAGACAGCAACTATGTCTTGTTCATCTGTGTATACTCAGTGCCTGACACTTAGCAGATACTAATAACTGTTTCAGTTAAACCAATGAATAATTCAGGTGTAAAATCCAGCCTCCACAATGGTCAATGATCCCTGCCTCCTGTTATTCACACCCTCAGGTAGCACCCTCCTACATGGCACCAGGGTTGGCAGCATAAGTGGCCATGTTGTGATTAGATCTACAAAGAGGTCCATGTGGCCAGGAACTTCATGAAGCTTCCTGCCAACTGCCAGCAAGGCACTGGGGCTGTGTGAGTGAGCTTGGAAGTAGATTCTCCAGCCTCAGTCAAGTCGCCAGAGGTTGCAGCCCTGGCCAGCAGCTTGACTGCATGTGTATTAAGCCATGAAAGACTCTGAATGACAACCACTTAGCTAAGCTGCTCCCAGATTTCTGATCCTCAGAAACTGTGTGAGATAATAAACGTTTGTTTTTTTAAGCTGCTACATTTTGGGGGTAATTTGTAACACACCATTAGATAACCAATATACCCAGCAAAATGAATTATGTATATTGGTTATCTTATTTTAGCCTTAGAAGGACTAAGAGATTCTTCATTCATTCTTCACTTATTCAACTTTACCATTTCCAAGGCACCTCTGATAATCCCACAGAGCAAGTTGCAGTAGCACAGAGAAGATCGCCCAGCAGGGAGCTCTTCCACAAACTCCACCAGGGGATTCTTCTCTAGAATCAGGGAAAATTCATTTTTGCTTGAATTGTTACAGGTCACACTTGGTGTAATTCCCAGGTACATCTTGAAAGCAACCTGATAAGAAAAAAACAAAATTACTAAAACTTGGTCTAGAACAAATAACTATGAGCAGACTAAACAAATACCCAGTTCTAGGCATTGCAGCACAATGGTTAAGCACATGGAGTCTATAGTCAGGAAGTCCGGCTTCACCCTTAGCTTTGCAATTTATTGATCCTATGATGTGAAATTTTTAAATATTTTTACTTGTGAGTCACTTCCAAGATTGTCAAATAGGAACAGCTCTAGTCTATAGCTCCCAGTGAGATCAATGGAGAAGATGGGTAATTTCTGCATTTCCAACTGAGGTACCTGGTTCATCTCACTGGGACTGGTTGGACAGTGGGTGTGGCCCATGGAGAGTGAGCCGAAGCAGGGCAGGGCATCGCCTCATGTGGGAAGTGCAAGGGATCAGGGAATTTCCCTTTCCTAGCCAAGGGAAGCCATGAGTAACTGTACTTGGAGGAACTGTACACTTCTGCCCAAATACTGAGCTTTTCTCACAGTCTTCGCATCTGCAGGAACAGGAGATTCCCTCCCGAGCCTGTGACTGGCTCAGCAGGTCCCACGCCCATGGAGCCTTGCTCACTGCTAGCACAGAAGCCTGAGATCGACCTGAGATGCTGAAGCTTGGCGGGGGGAGGGGTGTCTGCCATTGCTGAGGTTTGAGTAGGCGGTTCTATGCTCACAGTGTAAACAAAAAGGCAGGGAAGATTGAACTGGGTGGAGCCCACCGCAGCACAGCAAGGCCTACTGCCTCCTTAGATTCCACCTCTGGGGGCAGGGCATATCTGAACAAAAGTCAGCAGAAAACTTCTGCACACTTAAACGTTCCTGCCTGACAGCTCTGAAGAGAGCAGTGGTTCTTCCAGCATGGTGTTTGAGCTCCGATAACAGACAGACTGCTTCCTCAAGTGGGTCCATGACCCCCATGTAGCCTGACTGGGAGACATCTCCCCGTGGGAGCTGACAGACACCTCATACAGGCAGGTGCCCCTCTGGGACAAAGCTTCCAGAGGAAGGATCAGGCAGCAATTATCTGCTGTTCTGCAGCCTCCGCTGGTGATACCCAGGCAAACAGAGTCTGGAGTGGACCTCCAGAAAACTCCAACAGACCTGCAGCTGAGGTGCCTGTCTGTTAGAAGGAAAACTAACGAACAGAAAGGAATAGCATCAACATCAACAAAAAGGACATCCACACCAAACCCCATCCATAGGTCACCAACATCAAAGACCAAAGGTAGATAAAACCACAAACATGGGGAGAAACCAGAGCAGAAAAGCTGAAAATTCCAAAAACCAGAACACCTCTTCTCCTCCAAAAGAACACAACTCTTTGCCAGCAAGGGAACAAAACTGGATAGAGAATGAATTTGACAAGTTGACAGAAGTAGGCTTCAGAGGTCAGTAATAACAAACTTCTCCGAGCTAAAGAAGCACATTCTAATCCATTGCAAGGAAGGTAAAAACCTTGAAAAAAGGTTAGACGAATGGCTAACTAGAATAACCAGTGTAGAGAAGAGCTTAAATGACCTGATGGAGCTGAAAACCACAGTACAAGAACTTCATGAAGCATACACAAGCTTCAATAGCTGATTCGATCAAGTGGAAAAAAGGATATCAGTGACTGAAGATCAAATTGATGAAATAAAGTGAGAAGGCAAGATTAGAGAAAAAAGGGTGAAAAGAAATGAACAAAGCCTCCAAGAAATATGGGACTATGTGAAAAGACCAAATCTACATTTGATCAGTGTACCTGAAAGTGACGGGGAGAATGGAACCAAGTTAGAAAACACTCTTCAGGATATTATCCAGGAGAACTTCCCCAACCTAGCAAGGCAGGTCAGCATTCAAATTCAGGAAATACAGAGAACACCACAAAGATACTCCTCAAGAAGATCAACCCCAAGACACATAATTGTCAGATTCACCAAGGTTGAAATGAAGGAAAAAATGTTAAGAGCAGCCAGAGAGAAAGGTTGGGTTACCCATAAAGGGAAGCCCATCAGACTAACAGCAGATTTCTTGGCAGAAACACTACAAGCCAGAAGAGAGTGGGGGCCAATATTCAACATTCCTAAAGAAAAGTATTTTCAACACAGAATTGCATATCCAGCCAAATGAAGCTTCATAAGTGAAGGAGAAATAAAATCCTTTTCAGACAAGCAAATGCTGAGAGATTTTGTTACCACCAGGCCTGCCTTACAAGAGCTCCTGAAGGAAGCACTAAACATGGAAAGGAACAACCGATACCAGCCACTGCAAAAACATGCCAAATTTAAAGACCATTGACACTATGAAGAAACTGCATCAACTACTGGGCAAAATAACCAGCTAGCATCATAATGACAGGATCAAATTCACACATAACAATATTAACCTTAAATATAGTGGGCTAAATGCCCCAATTAAAAGACACAGACTGGCAAATTGGATGAAGAGTCAAGACCCATCAGTGTGCTGTATTCAGGAGACCCATCTCATGTGCAAAGACACACAGAGGCTCAAAATAAAGAGATGGAGGAAGATCTACCAAGCAAATGGAAAGAAAAAAAAAAGTAGGGGTTGCCATCCTGATCTCTGATAAAACAGACTTTAAACCAACAAAGATCAAAAGAGACAAAGAAGGCCATTACATAATGGTAAAGGGATCAATTCAACAAGAAGAGCTAACTATCCTAAATATATGTGCACCCAATACAGGAGCATCCAGATTCATAAAGCAAGTTCTTAGAGACCTACAAAGAGACTTAGACTCCCACACAATAATAATGGAAGACTTTGACACCTCACTGTCAATATTAGACAGATCAACGAGACAGAAAATTAACAAGGATATCAAGGACTTGAACTCAGCTTTGGACCAAGTAGACCTAATAGACATCTATAGAACTCTCCACCTCAAATCAACAGAAATACATTCTTCTCAGCACCACATCGCACTTATTCTAACATTGACCACATAATTGGAAGTAAAACCCTCTTCAGCAAATGTAAAAGAACAGAAATTATAACAAACTGTCTCTCAGACCACAGTGCAATCAAATTAGAACTCAGGAGTAAAAAACTCACTCAAAACCGCACAACTACATGGAAGCTGAAAAATCTGCTCCAATGACTACTGTGTAAATAACGAAATGAAGGCAGAAATAAAGATGTTCTTAGAAACCAATGAGAAAAAAGGCACAATGTACGAGAACCTCCGGGACACATTTAAAGCAGTGTGTAGAGGGAAATTTATAGCACTAAATGCCCGCAAGACAAAGCAGGAAAGATCTAAAATTAACACCCTAACATCACAATTCAAAGAACTAGAGAAGCAAGAGCAAAGAAACTCGAAAGCTAGTAGAAGACAAGAAGTAACTAAGATCAGAGCGGAACTGAAGGAGATAGAGACACACACACAAAAAAACCCTTCAAAAAATCAATGAATCCAGGAGCTGTTTTTTTGAAAAGATCAACAAAATAGATCTACCGCTAGCACGACTAATAAAGAAGAAAAGACAGAATCATCAAGTAGACACAATAAAAAATGATAAAGGGGGATATCACCACCAATCCCACAGAAATACAAACTAACATCAGAGAATACTATAAACACCTCTACGCAAATAAACTAGAAACTCTAGAAGAAATGGATAAATTCCTGGACACATACACCCTCCCAAGACTAAGCCAGGAAGCAGTTGAATCTCTGAATAGACTAATAACAGGTTCTGAAATTGAGGCAATAATTAATAGCCTACCAACCGAAAAAAGTCCAGGACCAGACGGATTCACAGCCAAATTCTACCAAGAGGTACAAAAAGAAGCTGGTATTATTCCTTCTGAAACTATTCCAATCAACAGAAAAAGAGGGAATCCTCCCTAACTCATTTTATGAAGCCAGCCTCATCCTGATACCAAAGCCTGGCAGAGACACAACAAAAAAGAGAATTTTAGGCCAATATCCCTGATGAACATTAATGCAAAAATCCTCAGTAAGATACTGGCAAACCGAACCCAGCAGCACATCAAAAAGCTTATCCACCACCATCAAGTCAGCTTCATCCCTGGGATGCAAGGCTGGTTAAACATATGCAATCCATCACATAAACAGAACCAAAGACAAAAGCCACATGATTATCTCAATAGATGCAGAAAAGGCCTTCAACAAAATTCAACAGCCCTTCATGCTAAAAACTCTCTATAAACTAGGTATTGATGGAATGTATCTCAAAATAATAAGAGCTATTTAGGACAAACCCACAGCCAATATCATATTGAATGGGCAAAAACTGGAAGCATTCCCTTTGAAAACCGGCACAAGACAAGGATGCCCTCTCTCACCACTCCTATTCAACATAGTATTGGAAGTTCTGGCCAGGGCAATCAGGCAAGAGAAAGAAATAAAGAGTATTCAATTAGGAAAAGAGGAAGTCAAATTGTCTCTGTTTGCAGATGACATGATTGTATATTTAGAAAACCCCATTGTCTCAGCCCAAAATCTCCTTAAGCTGATAAGCAACTTCAACAAAGTCTCAGCATACAAAATCAATGTGCAAAAATCACAAGCATTCTTACACACCAATAACAGACAAACAGAGAGCCAAATCATGAGTGAACTCCCATTCACAAATCCTACAAAGTGAATAAAATACCTAGGAATCCATCTTACAAGGGATGTGAAGGACCTCTTCAAGGAGAATTACAAACCACTTCTCAAGTAAATAAGAGAGGACACAAACAAAAGGAAAAACATTCCATGCTCATGGATAGAAAGAATCAATATCGTGAAAATGGCCATACTGCCCAAGGTAATTTATAGATTCAACGCCATCCCCATCAAGCTACCAATGACTTTCTTCACAGAATTGGAAAAAACTCCTCTAAAGTTCATATGGAACCAAAAAAGAGCCCGCATTGCCAAGACAATCCTAAGCAAAAAGAACAAAGCTGGAGGCATCACGCTACCTGACTTCAAACTATACTACAAGGTTACAGTAACCAAAACAGCATGGTACTGGTACCAAAACAGATATATAGACCAATGGAACAGAACAGAGGCCTCAGAAATAACACCACACCTCTACAACCATCTGATCTTTGACAAACCTGACAAAAACAAGAAATAGGGAAAGGATTCCCTGTTTAATAAATGTGTTGGGAAAACTGGCTAGCCATATGTAGAAAGCTGAAACTGGATCCCTTCCTTACACCTTATACAAAAACTAACTCAAGATGGATTAAAGACTTAAATGTAAAACCTAAAACCATGAAAATCCTAGAAGAAAACCTAGGCAATACCATTCAGGACATAGGCATGGGCAAAGACTTCATGACTAAAACACCAAAAGCAACGGCAACAAAAGCCAAAATAAACAAACGGGATCTAATTAAACTAAAGAGCTTCTAACACAGCAAAAGCAACTATCATCAGACTGAGCAGGCAACCTACAGAATGGGAGAAAATTTTTGCAATCTACCCATCTGGCAAAGGGTTAATATCCAGAGTCTACAAAGAACTTAAACAAATGTACAAGGAAAAAACAACCCCATCAAAAAGTGGGCAAAGGATATGAACAGACACTTGTCAAAAAAAGACATTTATGCAGCCAACAGACATGAAAAAATGCCCATCATCACTGTTCATCAGAGAAATGCAAATCAAAACCACAATGAAATACCATCTCTTGCCAGTTAGAATGGCGATCATCAAAAAGTCAGGAAACAACAGATGCTGGAGAGGATGTGGAGAAGTAGGAACACTTTTACACTGTTGGTGGGAGTGTAAATTAGTTCAACAATTTTGGAAGACAGTGTGGCAATTCCTCAATGATCTAGAACTAGAAATACCATTTGACCCAGCGATCCCATTACTGGGTATATATGCAAAGGATTATAAATCATGCTACTATAAAGACACATGCACATGTATGTTTATTATGGCACTATTCACAATAGCAAAGACTTGGAACCAACCCAAACGTCCATCAATGATAGACTGGATAAAGAAAATGTGGCACATATACACCAGGGAATACCATGCAGCCATAAAAAAGGAAGAGTTCATGTCATTTGCAGGGACATGGATGAAGCTGGAAACCGTCATTCTCAACAAGATATCATAAGGACAGAGAACCAAACACTGTACGTTCTCACTCCTAAGTGGGAGTTGAACAATGAGAACACATGGACACAGGTAGGGGAGCATCACACACCGGGACCTGTCAGGCTGGGGGGCTGGGGGAGGGATAGCTTTAGGAGAAATACCTAATGTAAATGTCGAGGTGATTGGTGCACCAAACCATCATGGCACATGTATACCTATGTAACAAACCTGCACGTTGTGCACATGTACCCTAGAACTTAAAGTATAAAAATAAATAAATAAGTAAATAAAAATAAATACTATTTTTAATGTATAGAATATTGTAAGAGGATAATTTTCTGTGGAGATAATATGGTTTGTAAAAAATTAAATCATTATTTTCAAAATCTTTTTAAAAGATATATATCCTTTAGGGGAGTAAGAAATTAAAATATTATTAATCATCAACATATCAGCTGATATTTGTCACACTGATACTAGCAAAGTATAAAACCCTGGACTAGAAGGGACCCAGGACACATTTGCCACAACAGTGTGGTGACAGTCAAAGCAGAGGATGCTAGGGGCAGATTAGACCCAAGAATACATTTTGGGAAGTGAAGGGAAAAATTTTGGAGTAGCTGGCCATTATCTGTGGTCTCAGTTACCTGTGGTCAAGATAATTTGAAAATGTTAGATAGAAAATTCTAGAAGTATATAATTCATAAGTTTAAAATTGTGCTTCTGAGCAGTGTGATGAAACCTCTCACTGTCCGTACTCCATACTGCCCAGAACGTGAATCATCCCTTTGTTCAGTGTATTACACACTGTTTATGCTATGACCTGCCCATGGGTCACTTGTTAACTGCCTCAGTTGGCAGATTTAAAAAAAACATAATATATACGGGTTTGGTACTGTCTGCAGTTTGGGGGTCTTGGTTGCAGGTATCCCCTGTGGGTCTTGGTTGCAGGTATCCCCTGTGGGTAACAGGGGACTACACTACTATCAAAGACAAGTCTCTAAGGAACAAGTGGTAGTGGTGGGAGGCGCATAAATGAATTATAAAGTAACTTCGCAAAAACATCTGCTGTTTTACAGTGCTTGAAGAATTTTACAATGTGGAAATGGAAGAAATCTTGCAGACTGTGTCTTTTAAGGCCTTAGTTTCAAAAATAAGTAAACTGGTGTTCAGAGAAGTCAAATGACACTGCCAAGACCATGCTATAACTTAATTCCTTGGCTCCTAGTCCAAGGCAATTTCTTTTCACAAAATACACAGGCCTGGACTTTGAAGTTTATTAATGAAATTTTGTCAGCTTGATATGTTGCCATCTTTCAAGTGCAGAAATTAATTAATTTTTAAAATTAAGAGCTGTGTAGGAGAGAAATGGAAGCAATTTTCTTAAATTACTTATAATCAGAAGGACTAGGAGATTCCTTATTCATTCTTCATTTATTCAACAGAAATTTCTTGAGCACTGCCAGTCTGGCACAGTACCTGGCACACAGTGGGAGTTCAATAGCCATTTGCAAGACAAATTATAGAATGGGCATCTATTGACTGAATGTTTGCCAGGTAGACAAGACTAGGGGTCTGGAGGTAAGTGACAAAGACATTCTAGGTAGTGGGAACATGTCATGAGCATAAAATACCATGATGGGGTTCAGGGAATCTCTACATCTATCAACTTGTGAGCAGTTGTGAGCCCCAAAGGTGTGAACTGGCTAATGCAGAATTCAATTTCAGTTTTAGAAGGATCCTTTTCTTGTCAGCATAGAGAATGGATTTAGGGTTATGGATGGGAGTGAGCATGAGGTCAAGGGCTGAGATACTAATCAAAAGGTTACTATTATAGTAAGCCTAGGAAAGAAATGATGAGGACTCTTCTCATTTTGACTTTCCTTCAAAACTCAAACTCTCCCTAAACTTTCCCATGTAAAATGCACATATCCCAAATCCTAAAATTTGATCTCTAACACTAGCCAGTTTAGGAAGATAAAAAATGAAAGGGGGAAAGTTGAAGGCATTTCCCCTAAGAAGTGGAACAAGACAGGGATGCCTACTTTCACCACTTCTATTCAACACAGTGCTATTAATAGAAATCCCATCCATAGCAATCAGGCAAGAGAAAGAAATAAAGGGCATCCAAATTAGAAAAGAGGAAGTCAAACTATCTCCATTTGTCAGGATAATCATATATCTAGAAAAACCTAAAGACTCCTCCAAAAGACTACTAGATTTGATAAATGAATTTAGTAAAGTCTTAGTTTACAAAACTAATGTACCCAAATCAGTAGCCCTGCTATACACCAACAACAACCAAGCTGAGAGCCAAATCAAGAACTCAATCCCTTTTATAAGAGTTGTAAAAAAAAAAAAAAAAAAAAACCCACCGATGAATATACTTAATCGAAGAGGTGGAAGATCTCTATAAGGAGAACTATAAAATGCAGCTGAAAGAAGTCATAGATGACACAAACACAGGGAAATATATGCCATGCTCCTGGATTGGAAGAATCAATATTGTGAAAATAACCATACTTCCCAAAGCAATCTACAGATTCAGTGCAATTCCTATCAAAATACCAACATAATTTTTCACAGAATTAGAAAAAACAATCCTAAAATTTATATGGAACCAAAAAAAGAGCCCCAACAGCCAAAGCAATACTAAGTAAAAAGAATAAATCTGGAGGCATCACATTACCTGACTTCAAATTATACTACAAAGGTATAGTTATCAAAACAGCATAGCACTGGTACAAAAGTAGATACATAGACCAATGGAACAGAATAGAGAACTCAGAACCAATTGATCTTTGACAAAGCATACAAAAACATAAACTGGGGAAAGGACACTGTATCCATTAAAAGGTGCTTGGAAAACAGGATAGCAACATGTACAGGAATGAAACTGGATCCCTGTCACTCACCATATACAAAAATAAACTCAAGATGGATCAAACGCTTATATCTAAGATGTGAAACCATAAAATTTCTAGAAGAAAACGTAATAAAAACTCTTCTGGACATTGGCCTAGGCAAGGAATTTATGACTAAGACCCAAAAAGCAAATGCAACAAAACCAAAAATAAATAAATGGGACCTAATTAAACTAAAAAGCTTCTGCACAGCAAAAGAAATAAACATCAGAGTAAACAGGCAACCCACAAAATGGGAGAAGATATTTGTAAACTATGCATCTGACAAAGGACTAATATCCAGTATCTATAAGGAACTCAAACAAATCAGCAAGAAGAAAACAAATAATCCCATCAAAAAGTGAGCAAATGACATCAATAGACATTTCTCAAAAGAAGATATACAAATGGACAACAAACATATGAAAAAATGCTCAACATACTAATCATTAGGGAAATGTAAACTAAAACCACAATGAGATACCACCTTATTCCAGTAATAATGGCTATTACTAAAAAGGCAATAACAATAGATATTGGTATGAATTTTGTGAAAACAGAATGCTTGTAGAATGCTGGTAGGAATGTAAATTAGTACAACCTCTATAAAAAACAGTATGGAGATTTCTTTCTTTCCTTCTATGTATTTATTTATGAGACAGGGTCTTGCTCTGTCACCCAGACTGGAATGCAGTGGCATGATTTGGCTCACCACAACCTCAGCCTCCTGGGCTCAAGCGATCCTCCCATCTCTGCCTCCTGAGTAGCTGGGACTACAGGTGCATGCCACCGAGCCTGGCTAATTTTTTTTTGGTATTTTTTTGTAGAGAGGGAGATTCACCATGTTGCCTAGGCTGGTCTCGTACTCCTTGGCTCAAGCAATCCACCTGCCTCGACCTCCCAAAATGCTAGGATTACAGACATGAACCACGGCACCTTTCTTTCATTCTTAAAGAAAGAACTTTAAGTACTAAAAGTAGATCTACTATTCAGTCCAGCAATCCCACTACTGGGTATCTATCCAAAGAAAAAGAAGTCATTATATATTAAAAAAAAACACCTGCACATGTATATTTATTGCAACACAATTCACAATTGCAAAGATATGAAACCAATCTAAGTACCCATCAACTGATGAATAGATAAAGAAACTGTGGTGTATATATACCATGGAATACTACTCAGTCATAAAAAAGAATGAAATAATGTCTTTTGCAGCAACTTGATGGAGCTAGAGGCGTTATTCCAAGCGAAGTAACTCGGAAATAGAAAACCAAAAACTGTAGTTCTCACTTATAAGTGGAAATTAAGCTATGGGTACGTAAAGGCATATGGAGTGGTATAATGGACTTTGGAGACTCAGAAAGAGGGAGAGTGGGAAGGGGGTGAGGGATAAAAAAATACATATTGGGTACACATACATATCCGGTGATGGGTGCACTAAAATCTCATATATATATGTATATATATATATATGTATATTTATATGTATATTTCATCCATGTAACCAAAACCCACTTGTGCTCCAAAAGCTATTGATATATATATATATATATAATTTTCATATGTTTTTATATATATGAAAAAAGACAGCAAATCCCTGTCTTCCAAATCTCAAGTCATAGGAAGAGAAAAACATTCATAAAATTCTAGGTTTGGAGATTTGATTTGTCGGCTGAAACCTCTTTCTGTTAATGTTGATTCCTTACACTGGAAAATTCCTAGACTATTATTTGTATGAGTGAGAATTTCTTTTCTGATTTTCAATCCAAACCACATGGAAAGAAGGTTAAAATGGAGCCCGTGCACTTTGAATTTATTCTCAGCATTTAGGCTGCAGTATCACAGCCCAATTTCCACCAGTAGGAGGCATTATCTAAACATGTTGAGAAATATTCATTCCTAAGGAATGACATTGTTTCCTTATCTGGCTCAATTCAGTCTGAGAAGGACTGTTGTTTCTGATGAAGAAAGAGCTCCACCCTCGGCCACTGCCACAGCTGCTCTGCCAATAACAAAGGCACAGCATTTTCCCTCTGTGCATCTCCAACATGGATGCTTTTCAGGGCATTTTAAAATTCTTCCTTAATCAGAAAACTGTTATTGGCTACAGCTTCATGGCTCTGCTGACCGTGGGAAGTGAGCGTCTCTTTTCTGTTGTGGCTTTTAAGTGCCCCTGCAGCACTGAGAATATGACCTATGGGCTGGTTTTCCTCTTTGCTCCTGCCTGGGTGTTACTGATCCTGGGATTCTTTCTGAACAATAGGTCGTGGAGACTCTTCACAGGCTGCTGTGTGAATCCCAGGAAAATCTTTCCCAGAGGCCACAGCTGCCGTTTCTTCTACGTCCTCGGCCAGATCACTCTGAGCTCATTGGTGGCTCCAGTGATGTGGCTTTCTGTGGCTCTGCTCAATGGAACTTTCTATGAATGTGCCATGAGCGGGACGAGAAGTTCAGGACTCCTGGAACTGATTTGCAAGGGTAAGCCCAAAGAGTGCTGGGAAGAACTTCACAAAGTATCTTGTGGCAAAACTAGCATGCTACCTACCGTCAATGAAGAACTGAAACTCTCCCTTCAGGCCCAGTCTCAGGTAAGAAAAGACAAACTCGCCTTTTTCTCTCAGCATGAGCTCGAAGTATTCTCTCTGTGCTCCTTTCAGCCAGGGCTGTCTGTGTCCTGTCAGAATATTTTGAAACTAAATGGAAACTGAAACATGATGCAGCATTGAGACTATCTCAGGAAAAGCTTTTGAAAGGCTGGGTGGCTCAATAAAGTTGCTGACTGGATTATCTCTTTTCCGGTTCTGAAAAGAAAATATCCACTGGATTGTCCACATATAAATACTTAAGTACTTTAAAACAGTCTCTCTGGGTCTGTAAATAAATAATGCCTAACACTAAATCATAAATTGAGTGTTAATGGCAGAGCTGTAATTAGAAATTACTGCCTTCTATCAATTATTTACATTCAAGTTGTTTTCTCAAACACACACATGTATTATTCATCTATTAAAATGTAGCTGAATGAAATGAGTTATTACTTTTCAAAGTTGCATGTAATATAATTAGTGTGGAGATTCTCTTGAATGATTTCTGGCAACTGCTATCTCTGTGTATAAATATTGTCAAGATTGAGAAGAATTTTCCTTGTATGGTAGGAATCAGCAGTTTTTAAATAGCCTTCTGTGAAAAAGTGACTGTACTCTCTAGGGAGATTATGTTTTATACTCTTTGTGCTGTACAGCTAAAGGGGTTCTTAATTACTTCAGAAGCTCAAGATTTGGGCATTGTTTTATTTAACAGAAGGAAATCATATCTTTACCTAATTGATGCAGGGAAGTAGCCTGTCATTCCTCCAGGCACATGAACACAAATCCAGATGTACAGCCTTAGGAAGGACTAACTTCCCATTTATAGGTAGTAAGAATTGCATTCCCAAAAGCAAAACAAGTGGTAAGAGTTGATAAGCAGATCCACAAATTGTCAGGAATGCTATCTGTTTCAGAATAAAGGCACAGAAATAGCATTATTTTACTTTTTCGACAAGGATTTGCCTTGGTAACAACAAATCAAGGCAAAATCTGTTTTTAAAATCATACACTCCAAAGCTGGTTGGCAGTAAAGTCATACTCTTCATAAATTGATAAGTCAAAAAATACTCCAAAACAAAATCTTTTCTTTAATGCATAAAGCACATCTTAGATAAAACATATCAGGCTCCCAAATGTCTTGTGTCTTTTATTGAAGAAGGGTATAACTTACAACTCTTATGACAGAATGATTGATTTATGGTGTATGTCCTCAGTCACCAGGCTCCATTCAGTCAGTGGCAGGCCCAAACACTTATCATTGTGTGAGCTTCTCCTCTCTAAACACAGGTACAAGGAAATCTTGCACATCATGTCATAGCTTAGGCTGAGCACACTGACCTGCTGATTCTTCATCAGAATGAGAAGGACCTGGGGCTGATTCCTGTGGGAAGATGCATAAGGAATGTGGGCAAGAGAACTTGTATCAATAGCAGGTGCTGACTACAGAGGTTCAGATAGGCAGGAGGCAGCATATAGTCCAGACCAACAATAGGTGTACATGTGCCTGGAGGCGGAAAAGAACATTCATCCATGGGTGGGGCAGATAAAAAATCTAGCTGGATGACTCTCTATTCTTAAGGAAGATAGAATGGAGTAGTGGAAAGAGCTCAGTCTTGGAATTGTCTGGCGTTGGGTTTGTATGCTGATGCTACCAATCACCAGCTATGTGACCTAGAACTAGTGGTTCGACCTCTTTGAGTCCCAGTTTTCTCATAGTTAGTGGTAATATCACTTACTTTGGAGAGTTGTCGGAAGATTTAGAGATGATAGATACAAATGGGCATAAAGCTTCTGGTACACAGTATTTGTTCCAAGTCAATGAGGAAAACTGCCATGGTTTGGGGGAGGACATATGCAAAATAAGACACTTTTGAGGGCTGGTATGGAAGCATCCACCAAGCTCTAGTTTGACTCTGGGTACTGTGAATTGAGGGAAAGCATCGGTCAATGCAAACGTCATGTGAAAGGGGGAAGGGGACCTGAAGCTGATGGAATAGTTTATAATTCAGCTGGAACTGGCTCAGGTACTGAGATGAGATGGCGTACAGAAGCCTCAGCTGTGGAAAAAGAGGAAGACAGACGATGAAGGAAGGAGGAACATATAAGGTAGCCAACCACAATCCATTCAGGGACTTTCACTTGATGGTAGTTGTGCCTCACTCATTAATTATAAGTACAGAAAGATATTATGAGTTCAGTAACACATTTACATAAGTGTATATATATTTGAAGAATAGCAGCATATAATATTAGCTAAAACTTAATGAATACATGTGTCCAGTATCATTTCATTAGGTCCATCAAATTACCCTTCAAGGTGAGTAACCCTCGTTTCACAAGTGAAGAAACTGAGATAAAAAGAATACGCATAGTAAGGGGAAAGTTTAGATTTAAACCTGAGTAGTGCCAGTCCAGAGTTGGCATTGGTGCAGAGGTTGAGACCCTTCACAAACACTCTATATCTGAGTCAAAGGTTGGGAACCACTGATTTAAAGCTTATTTGTGGTTTTGTTATGGTCTGAATGGGTTCATTTGTAGATTATTATTTCTATTTTCAAATAGGCTCATCTGCTAAAGAATATTAAGGATCATTTAAACTAAATGTCAAGAGACACTTTGAAAAAGATGTTAGTTTTCCAAACATAAAATTAATTTCAATTGTGAAAACAGAGTTAGAGCCAAAAAAGTTAGAAGATAATTTAAGCTATTTAAACTTCTGCTTTTAAGATCCAGGGGAGAAAAGCTGAACCATTTCATATTCAGGAAAGAGTTTGTTTTTTCTAATTACCAAAAATCAAGACAAATCATTTTCAAGGTTTTAATGATCCTAATTTTTTCTCAGCCTTTAAATTCTTATAGCTTCAGCTTCCTGATTGTATCGTCTGTCTCCCTTTTCCATGGACAGTAAGTAATGACAGAAAAAAATTAGTCTCTAGCCATGTATATACATTTATCAATGCCTAAAAATGCCTGGCTGAAGAGCTGGTCATTTACTCAAATGACCACATTTACTTATGCACAGAATATTTTCCTATCAGAGCTAATACTATTTGAGCTTGATTTCTGTAAGTCTTATGTAATCTATACTTTGTACTCTTTTCTATCTGCCTGCCTTCTGGTTATTTCTTTGCACCAGCAATGTTGGGGAGGAGAATAGAGATTAGGTAAACCCTAACTTTATTTTGAGTTTACCTAATAAATTCAAAAAGTGAGTTTAAAGTGTTTAAAAATTAAGATGAATGATTTCAAATGAGGTATGTCAAAGACTGTGGTAATAATTTAGCTATACACTTCTCAATAATACCCCAGCTCCCTAAATGGCTTTGCTTTCACGTGTGTACTCAATATTTCTTTCTTCTTAAGATTCTAGGATGGTGCCTGATTTGTTCAGCGTCTTTCTTCTCTCTGCTCACCACATGTTATGCTCGCTGCCGATCTAAAGTTAGCTACCTTCAGCTGAGTTTTTGGAAGACATATGCACAAAAGGAGAAGGAGCAGTTGGAAAATACATTTCTGGACTATGCCAACAAGCTGAGCGAGAGGAACCTGAAATGTTTTTTTGAAAACAAGAGGCCAGATCCTTTTCCCATGCCTACGTTTGCTGCCTGGGAGGCTGCTTCAGAGCTGCATTCTTTCCACCAAAGCCAGCAACACTATAGCACCCTCCACAGAGTGGTGGACAATGGTCTGCAACTTAGCCCTGAGGATGATGAGACGACAATGGTCCTTGTGGGTACTGCCCACAATATGTAGCTCATCCACCATCAATGACTCATGGTGTTGAGTGGCATGCTCATTCTGTGATCCTCCTAACGTATCACCAGCAACCTGTGTGTCTCTGTATTTTCTTACATTTGGAGTATGTTTACAAGACAATAACACAAAGGAAACTGCTTTGAAGCTCTCAAGTGGAACATCAGGATGTGCTCAAATTGATGCTGAGGGGTGACAAAGGTGCTCTTGCATTGGTGGAGAGGGGCTCAGTAGGCCTAAATGTTGCTCCAAGATCTAAGATTTTATCATTCAACAGACAGACTCATGTGAGAGGGCTCATCAGTCTCTGTAAATATTGGTTGCAGAATTTAGGGGCAGAAGCAATGGCTTGTGAGTGAGCAAGTTACTCTTAACATAGGTTGCCCTACACAGTGGCTCCTGCAGTGTGATCAGCAGGAGTCTCTGTCCTACAAATCTACACTTTTAAGGATGTATGAAATTGTGGAATTCATTCCCTCAGGATCTGAAGATCTCAGTTCTCAAAAATCACAAGTTGCAAGAATATGATACCTAAAATTGAAAGTTTTTCACATGTTTTCACTGTATACTGAAAATACTCCCCTGGAAGCAGGGCTGCATCATAATTTTTGTGGGCTTTATGTACTTTTGCCTTTGCGAACCATTTCCTACATTCAAAATAGTAGTAACAAATATATATATATATATATATATATATATATATATATATATATATATATACACACACACAGAAATATATATTTATAACTGCATTGATAAAAGGTGAATATATTAGCATTTTCTTCAACCTAAAAGTTTATGTATTTTCTTCTGATTTTAAAAGAAATTAAAAACATTTTAGTGGGCCCTTACAAGTATTATGGTCCTTAGGCACAGTGCTTACTAGGCCGTGGGTATGTCTTAGTGCGTTTGGGCTACTATAACAAAATATCATAGATAGGTGGCTTATACAAAATAGAAATTTATTTCTCACAGTTCTGGAGGCTGGGAAGTCCGAGGTCAGGCTGCCAGCATGCTCAGGTTCTGGTGAGAGCAATTTTCCAGGTTGCAAACTGCTTGCTGACTTCTCAGTGTCCTTCCATGGTGGAAAGTGCAAATAAGCTCCCTTGAGCATTTTTATAAGGCACTAATCCCATTCCTGGAGGCTCCACCTTCATGACCCAATTACTTCTCAAGGCTCTGCTTCTTAGTACTATCAGCTTGGGGGTTAAGATTTCAACATATGAAATTGGGGGAGACACAAACATTCAGACTATAGTAGGGTAAATTGACCTTGGCTAAAGGTCTGGGGACACTGTCCAAAGCAGTACTGGCATAAAACTGCATTGCAGTCTTACATTTATCAGAAATAATGCAAATCTTGCATTCTACAATGTACTATATCCATGTTAGTATGTACATATATATGTGTATGTATATATGTACATAAATTCTCCTTAAATCTCTGAGAAGAATTGTGCTTTAAAAAAGAACTATGTTTTGTGCTGTGGCTCATACCTTACAGTGGTAGTCTATGTCTCTTAGTTTGAGAAAGCTGAATATTAACTTCTTATTAACATGAAACATGATGGCAAACTGAATCCTACAAGTATAGGACCCAGAACATATCTATGTTATTGTCATTTACAAGAAGAAATATGTATTTGGTCTTTCTTCCTATTCCTGGTGCAGAGCTCCTAAAACCTTTGGGACCTCCCAAGTGATGTGTCTGGTAGTACGCGAATGAGATGACTGATAGTTAGGGGCTTCTGAATGGCCTCAGAATAGGGTCTGGTTGCCACGGGAACCAACCATGTGTTTAGAGGGTTGGAACTTTCAGCCCCACTCCCAGACCTTGGGGAAGGAAGAGGGGCTGAAGGTTGAGTCGATCACAAATGGATAATGATTTAATCAATCATGCCTAAGAATAAAGCTTCCCATAAAAATCTAAAGGACAAGGTTCAGAGAGCTTCTGCATTGCTCAATACATGAGGAGTGGTGAGCCCAAAGGGGCCGTGGAAGCTCCGTGCCCCTTCCCCCAAACCTGTTCCTGTGCCTCCATCTGGCTGTTTCTGAGTTATATTATTTTATAATAGACTGATGATAGTAAATAAAGCCCTTTCCTGAGTTCTGTGAGCTACTCTAGCAAATGGTGAAATCTGAGAAGGAAATCATGGGAACCTCTGCTTTGTAGCCACGTCAGATAGAAGATGTGAGTAACTTTGGAACCTACTGCTTGTGACTGGTGTCTGAAGTTGGGGGAGATCTTATGGGACTGAGCTCTTAACCTGCTGGGGATCTGCACTTAATGCCGATTAATGCCAGAATTGAATTGTATGATATCCAGTTGGTATTGGAGAATTGGCCAGTGTGGGAGAAAACCCACACAGTTGGTGGCAAGGAGTGTTCAGTGTTGAGTGTGAATGTCAATAAAAAAAGGTTTGTTTTTTCTACGTACAATATCTTTGGGAACTTGGAGGTGCAGGGTCAGACGTCTGTGTGTGTATGTGGCAGGGACAGAACAGGGATTAGGGATGTGAGGGGGTAGAGTTTTCAGAATAAAGGGAGAGAAAATTCAGCAAAGAGTTCTCCTTCTTAATCTTTCTTGACTTAAAGTTTGTCTGCCCTTAAGTGTCTTCTGAGCTGGAAAAAGACATATAGGAACTGGCCGATGCCGATGCCTCTTTTGCAGTGTGTGAGAGGCTGAAACAGAAGTTCTACAGAAGTAGGTTAGCTGTAAGGAGCTGAGGATTGAGGAGTCATATCTGGGGGATATTCCTGCCACCCTCAAGTCCAGGGACTTTCTGCACTCAAAAAACTTACGCTCATGACAATGACTGCCTCATTCAAGAAAACCCAAGCTGACTGGCAAGAAGCCAGCAGCCTGGGTACTTGTTGCTGCAGCTTAGTAAGTAGCAGAAGAGCTCATCCTCCTCCTCTGGAAGAAGCCACTTAACAGGTTCTCATCCTGACTCCTAAATTCCTTAACAGTCCTTTACTCAGGAATAAAACAAGTCCAAGAAAACTTATCTGTCCCACAAATAGTCCTGGAGGCAGTGGAGTAAGATAGGGAGAGCAAATTGGTGTCTGCTCTTGAGTATCTTGAGGGAATGGGTATCTAGAGGCAGCAGGATGAACTGGCTTTGATAGCAGAGACTTTAAAATGTGTGGACCATTAGTTGTCTTTGGATGTGCTCCCTAGAGGCTGCGCCTGACACAGGGAGCTGTGTATACATGATTTATTAAAAGGAAATCCTCTTAGGAGAAACATATTAGCAGGATAAACACAAGAAAGAATGCAGTTACAAGTGGAGTCTCAATCAATCCCAGAGGAAATTCTGGGACTTCAGCCTCAGCTTGACCTATGGGGGGGCTCTGGAATGTCAGATTTCTCCTGATCCCAAGTGTGCTCTGGGGCTTCCATTGCAGCCAAGAGAGAGCATTCCCCAGAAAACTCCAGGTGAGGAGTCTCCAGTGGCCCAAGGGTGATCCTCCAGAGGAGGTTACACTGCCGAACTGGGACATTGGCACCCTGGATTTGAATATCTAGAGAGGGCACCCAATGGTCATACTAATGTTTGCCATAACAGTCTCTTCTAGGTCTAGACTTGAAGCATATGGAAGGGTCCTTGGGCTAGAGCCAACCCAAGCCCAGGCTGACTCCCTTTTAATACTTCTAATTTTCCCTGAAGATCTGGTCTTCTCCCTACCACCACTACCCTATTACATAAGAGAAAAGGATTGGAGAATGCTCTTGAAAAGAATGTGATGCTTTCCCATACAAGGAATATACTCAAGGAAAAATTTCATGGCACAAAATGCTGATTCTGTCCAATTTATCCCATGAATAAATTGTGTACACATATATATATGATTCTTTTGTTTTTCCTGTGCAGTTCCTTCCTTTTTTCAGGCTCAACCACTTAATTCAGCTTTAGGATACATTCAGCTTATTCATATCAAATATAAAGTGGGAGAAAAAAAGGTATGTAACAAAGATTACAAAAATAAGGCATGGCAGACAAATCACTACATAATTCTATGCATTATACCTTAAAGTAATGTATTGTAAAATATATGTGTCCAAAGCAACTTTTAAAATTTTTGTATGGTTTTCTACTTGAGACCTTTAAAGCATCACTAAAAATGTATACATTTAATGAGAAAACGATGACATTATTGATTCAAATTAGTTGTTTCAAAGCCTGATGATCCACTGATTTACTCTAAAAACTGGTTAAAGCAATCCAGAAGTCACTGGGTAGCAGAAAACTGCTACCGCTTCTCACATGATATATTTCAAGTACTTCAACTATTAACTATATTATTCTATTTAGACTTTGGTGGTTCCGAATTCTCTAAGGTAATTATCTTAATTTTCTAATATTTCCCTCTCATTTTTCTCTCTTATTTTAAATATCCCCTGTTGTACAAGCCAGAGGATATTAATTTCCTTTGTGGGTAGTGCTTGGACTTCTCTGATTTTAGATCCCAAAATCATTAAGAAAAAGCTAAGAGGTTGGCATGAGAGGTTGGATGGAAAGCATCTATCTGTGTTTGTCAGTAGCTCTCGATGTTGGCTGCAAATTGGAATCACCTGGGGGCCTTTGACAATCACAATGTCTGGACCCATTTCCTGAGAACCTGATGTAACTTTTCTGGGTTAGGGCCTGAACATTGAGATTTCTTTTAAAAGCTTTCTAAGTGATTATAATGTGCAGTCATGGTGAAGAACTACTGATTTTATATGGGGAGTCAGTGAAGGTGGTGAGGGGCTGTGAGGTTGAAATATTGGAAATGTTATCTGGATTTCAAACAGTAGAGTATGATAAAAATTTAAAAACTGGCTCTCCAGGAAAAAAGAGACATCCTAATATGATGTATTTGCCAATATACCATGGGTTTTCTTGGGCTGGGATGAACTTTCAGAAGTTTTACAGTGAGCATTTTTTTTTTTATGAATTTAAATTGGTTCTAGCTAAGCAATTTTGGAGTATCTTTGATGTACCTGGGTCTCTCATTTTAATAAACATAACAGTGGTATGTTAGTCAGGGTTCTCCAGAGAAACAGAACCAACAGTACAACAGTATATATACATACATACATATATATGTGTGTGCATGTGTGTGTGTGTATGCGTGTATATATATATATGCTACATATATGAAAGGGGATTTCTTGTGGGAATATATATTATATATAACAAAACATGACAAATATATAACAAAATATATGTGCTATATATATTGTGTGTGTATATATATATGAAAGAGGATTTATTGTGGAAATTGGCTCATGTGATTATGAAGGCTGAGAAGGCCCATGACGTGCCACCTGTAAGCTGGAGAATCAGGGAAATGTGTAGGGTGGCTCAAGTCCCAGTCTGAGGGCCTGAGAACCAGGGGAGTTGATGGTACAAATCCCAGAGCCAAAGGCAAAGGAACCTGAAGTTTTTATTTCCAAGGGCCAATAGATAAGGAGAATATTGGTGACCCAACTCCAGGAGACAGAGAAAAGATTGGTGACCCAACTCGAGTGGAGAGAGAGGGAGAGAGAGAGAGACAGAGAGCAAATTTGCCCATCCTCTCCCTTTTTGTCCTACCCAGGCCCTCAATGGATTGTATGGTGCCTGCCCAGGTTAGGTGAGGGCAGATTTTCCTTACTCAGTCCACTGATTCAAATGCCAATCTTTTTTGGAAACACCCCTACATACATACCCAGAAATAATGCTTTAATAACTATCTGGCTACCCCTTAATCCAATCAAGTTGACATCTAAAATTAACCAGCACATGTGATAAATTAAATATGGTTCAATGGCTCCTTCTGGCAGATGTAGTCGTGTTATCCTCACTTTGAATCTGACCTTATGAACCAATAAAATATGGCAGACATGAGGTAGATTGTTAAGCAGTATCACAGTTTATGCCTTGGTCTCTTACAATGTTGCAATGCTCAACAGTCTGGTAAAAGCCACTATGTAAGAACTGCAATTACTCAGGGACTACCAAGCTCTGAAGAGGCCCAAGCTAGCCAGTGGGAGGAGAGAGAGAGAGATAAAAAGAGAGAGAGAGAGAGATCCCAATGGCTCCAATTGTCTCAGATATTCTAGCTTAGGGGTCAGGCATGTGAATGAAGGAGCCATTTTAAACATTCAGGCCCCAGTGTACACGACATGGAGAAGAACCAGGAAGTCCAACCAACAGTGAGAATAAAAGGCCCCAGATCTATGGCCCTAATCAAATCATTGCAGCCATCTCCAAACATTTGACCCACTCCAGTGGAGGCTGCAGGCTTTGTAGAGAAGTCCTTGCCATGTCCTATCCAACTCCATGACCCCAAAAATCATGAGCTTAAATAAATGTTTGTGGCTTTAAGCCACTGAATTTTGGGGCAATATGAAGCGACAGAACCTGAACACTAACATGAAAATCAGAATTTATAAAAAGACAAAAATTACAGGCAAATTGTATTTATACATTTATACATTCTCCCTATGCATAGAGAGCATTTTCTTCAATCATGTTTTCTTTTTCTTTAGGTTCCAGTTAGCAGTATAGCATCTACAGCATGATTTGATAGATGCTGATAAGTAGGTCTCTAAAATCTCTCCACCAAAGCTGGAGATTCACTTTCAATTATTTTTGGTTAATTTTTGTTTGAAAGGAATACAAACATATTATTGGGAGGAGTAACACATTAAACTATTATTTGTCATTAATATCTACGAAAAAATAGCAAGTGAGGGTTTCAGACTAGGCTGGCCTTCAGTAAGCTGGAAAGAGATTGTTCTTCTAGTCGTCTCTCAAAATGTTATCTTCAGACTGTCAACATCAGTATCACGATGAAGCTTGTTAGAAATGCAGAATCAGACAGTATCTAAAACCTGTTGAGTCAAGCCTGCAGTTTAACGTGATCCTAGCTGATTCCAGTTCAAGCTAAATTTGATAACACTAAGGCAGTGGTTCTCAAACTTTAGTCCATATAAAAATCATCTGGAGGGCTTATTAAAATGTGGATTGCTGAACTCCACCCCCAGGGTGTCTGATTCAGTAGGTCTGGGGTGAGGCAAGATAATCTGCATTTCTAACAGGTTCTCAGGTGATACTGATGCTGCTGGTCTAGGGACTACATCTTGAAAATAACTGCTCTACAGCACAGAGCAGGCTATTCTGGGGAAGGCAGGCTGTAAGAAACTCAGAATCCTGGCCTGCACTCCAGATCTACTGAATCGGTCATCAGCCCGTCCAAGATTTTGGGGTGCCTTTCCATTCATTCAAGGATACCTTTCTATTCATTCAAGGATATATTTTGTCCTTTAGGAATATTTTAAAGTTTACTTCACATAAGTTTTACATGTTTCTTGTAAACTCTATTTGTAGGTGTTTTCTTTGTTCCTGTTGTAAATGGTTTCTTTTTTCCACTATATCTTTCTAAGTGATTGTTGTCTGAGTACGTGAAAAGCTATTGTCTTATGCTTATTAATTTTATCTCTCTACTAATTCTTTTATTGTTTGTAGGGCTTTTCAGAATTTGAAAGTAAACATTTTGCAACCTTTGATGACAAAATGGATCTAGACAATAAATAATGAATTCTAAACTATTAGGTGAAAGCAGAATGGGGTCAGACCTATGCAATTTGAAGCCACTCATCTATATTAGCATCACTAAAAATCAAAGCAGATGCTACGTGCCTTATGATGCAAGGCAAGAATAAGTACATAGTATCACATGTGAAATATTGTTTCCTAAGAAGCTAAACCTAATCAAGTATTTAGACATTACTGCTAGTTTATAGGAAACATAAGCAACAAAAAACAAGGCAATTAGCACCACAAAAAAACAACCAGGTACATCTAGATCTAACAGAACATTCCATTTTACAGATGACTCAGTCTCCCCACAGATTAACAGTATTAAGAAAGGAGAATAAAGGAGATATAAGTGACTTAATAACCAGATATGCTATATAGACCTTATTTGTATCCTGTTTCCAACAACCAACTGTAACAAGATATCTTTGAGATATTTAGGAAAATATGAATGAATATTAGATGATTTTTAGAGAATTATTAATTTTGCTATGTGTGGTAATGGTGTGCCGATTTATGTTTTTTAAAAAGTTCTTCAGTTAGAGATGTATATTTAAATATTTATGTGTGAACTGCCATGATGTCTAGAAGTTTCTTTAAAATACTCTAGAAAAAAGAGTTTAGGGAGAAAGCTGAAAGATGAAATAAGATTGGCAAAATATGGAAACTATTGAAGCTGGATGGTAGGTACACGGAATTCATTACATTATTCTCTTTACATTTGTATATGTTTGAAAAATTTCATAAGGTACACAACAAAATAAATGACATGGTCACCTCAGTTATTTTGCTGAAGTTTTGTCAATCACCCCCTGCTTAGCTGGAGTTTACCTTCTAGTATCATTCTCAGCAAAGGCTCACAGGAATGCTATTCTCTGAATTCTTACATATTCAGCCTGTTGGCCTGTTCTCGAATTGAAGGACAGCTTGTCTGGTTCATACTTTCTCTACATGAGTGTATTGTAAGCATTACTTCATTGTCTTTTGTCATTGAATATTGCTGAGGTGGCCACAGCCTGATTTCTGATGCCATCTCTATTTCTTTCTTTATTACTAACAAGATGTTTTATCCTATATTCTCATTGGTTTCTTTATCTTTCATGTCCAAAAATGTTAAATAGGCCTTCAGGTAGGTCTTTTTGGAACGATTTTTCCTGCTACAAGTTTACTCTTTCATTGTGGAGAATCATTTTCTTATATTTCAATAAAAAAGTTGGAAAATTTTCAACTTATTTTCCTTTCTGTGCTATATCATTTTCAAGAAACTATATTGTTTTGAATTTAAAACTAAACCACTCCTATATTCCTATTGGAATTTCATTAATTTAATTTAAAAAACTAAGTTAACTTGAAGTCTTGGCTCTTGTTTCATCTAAGTTTCACAAGCATACTGGGAGGCAGGTATTACCTTTTCTATGTTTATAAATAATGCTAGAGTCCAAAAAGGCTAAGGTGGTTATGCCACTGTTAAGTTATTGAACATCAATTTGGACCTACATGTGTCTAATCCTAATTTCCATCACACAAATTCTGCCTCATTTTAGTATATTCTTGAGTGTTCATATAACTTTTCAAAGTATGTTCCCTCATTTGTAAAATGAGGATGTTGAATTAGTACATCTCAAAGTCTCAACTCTGTTGTCCTAAATCTTACAGCCAGTGGTGTGTGAATTCCCAGCCAGTTGTATTCTTAATATCCTCTTGGGAATAGAGGTCTATCTCCAAGTTTCCTGGCCTCTGTCTGGGCCCCTGGATTCTTTCCCATCCTGAACAGCTTTTCACCTTGGGTTTCTAAATATTTAGGATAGTTATGCTCAAACTATGCTCCTACTGTATCAATGAAGTAAACTTTCCATTTTATTTTTTTAAAAATTTCCTTAGATAAAAATGACAATTGATATAGAAGGAATTTTTAGCAGTGGAAAGTTTATAAAAGATTTCAAATAGTCCCCAAACTTTAATTTTTATATATTTTAGAGTCCACCTTTCTGTCTGGCCAGCTATCTTTTTATAATTTTGGGTTTCCTGTACCTACAGCCACAACAATGCCAGAGAGAAATCTTCACAAGTTTTAAATTGCAATGAAAACTTGAGATTAAAATGGGAAAATGAATTAATTACTTCACCTAATCACATTCACTGGGCCATTTCAAGAAATAGGATTAAGTCAGCAAAGTAAGAACTCATGATATTAAGTAACTTTGCTTAAGAACAGTACCTTAAGATATATGCATTATTCGGCAGTTTATAACCTATAAAATGGTGACTAGTTGCATTGTAAAAACATTCTGTGCCTATATTTTATCATAAAGAGATGTGCTTCTGCAATCATAATAATTGCTGATGGTTTCAACAGAACACAATTATTTCTCCCAGGGGTTTTGTTGGTATTTGTGTCACGGAGGAAACATGAGGGATAGTAATCAGTGTTTTTAAAAGGGTTACTTCCTTAAACAGTTGGCTAACTATGAGTGGGTTTCACCGACCCTATGCATGAAGTCAAGCAATTAAAGAAATATATGCTTACAAACTGATCCATTTCCACCTTATTTTGAGAAATGTCCTCAAAAACACAGCCTCCTTCCCTACCTCTTTCCCTATAGACAAGTTTGTTGTCCCAACTAAAGGTGAGATGGACTTTGTTTCAATCAAAACTGTTCCACTTTGATCATATCTCTCTAGTGTTTTCCACTTTTTTTCCAAATGGATTTTTATTTTATTTGAAGCATGTAAAAGACATAAAAAGAGAGGTAACTAGGAGAAGAATTTGGATGGAGGGTCTGGAGGCGTGGCAGCCTTAACCTGCAGCCTCACTTCTATAGGAATCACCCTAGAGTTCCACAGAACAAAGTTAGGAAACTCTTGTTCTAAACAGTGGAGGCCAATTAGGATCACTTGGAGAGCATTTAAAAAGTTCTAATGCCTGTGCCTTATTCCCAGAGACCACAATTTATTGGGTCAAAAGTAAGTTCTGAAAGTCAGGATTTTTTGGAAAGCTCCAGGTGAGTCTATGCAGGAGCTAGAATTGATAACCCTTGCCCGGGAGTACCACTGAGAGGTCACGGCAAGTCTGAACAAAATCTTACTTCTGACACAAACTAAACATTACACCAGGCAGGGATGGCCTGGGATTTGGTGTTCCTGATGTGTCTCTGAATCCTTAGACCCAGACAGATCTTGCTTTAGAGTTTTGTTTCCCAGGGTATTTACTCCATGGTTTTTTTTCTTAATAAAGAATTTTATTGTAAATAGTTACATTAATAAATAGCAAAGCTATTGCTATTTTCAGTCCACTTAGGTTTGTTTTAAAGGACTTAAGAATGTGCCACTCCAAAATATTGCCACTTTGACATACATATTCATTATTTTGAGTTATAGGCACTTGAAAAGCAGCAGTCACAAGATTGCTCTGACCTTCCTGCTGTTTCTTAAAGGCAGGAGAAGAAATTCCCATGTGAAGGATATCCTCCCTGTACTAGAAAGAAAGCAACACTCTTAACATCAAGGAGGGACAATTGAGGCTGAGAGGATTCTGTACAGATTTTATTAAAATAATTCTTGTCTTCTTGCCTCCCCAAATAATTTAGTTGCCTTTTCACAAATTACTATTCTTTGTCCAATTCAGTAGGTAAGTGTTCAACTCCTTGGGTCTCCATTTCTTTATTAAAGATTCCCGGCCCGGCGCGGTGGCTCACGCCTGTAATCCCAGCACTTTGGGGGGCCGAGACGGACGAATCACGAGGTCAGGAGATCGAGACCATCCTGGCTAACACGCTGAAACCCCGTCTCTACTAAAAATACAAAAAATTAGCCAGGCTTGGTGGCGGGCGCCTGGTCCCAGCTACTCGGGAGGCTGAGGCAGGAGAATGGCGTGAACCGGGGAGGCGGAGCTTGCAGTGAGCCGACATCGAGCCACTGCACTCAAGTCTGGGCGACAGAGCGAGACTCCGTCTCAAAACAAAAAAAAAAAAAAAAAAAAGATTCCCATGCTATGTGTTAAGTAAATGTGTATGCTTTTTTTCTGTTGATCTGTCTCATGTCAATTTAATTCTCAGGACAACTTTAAAAAAAAATCCTAAGAGGATAGAGGTGAAGTTTTGCCTTCCCTACAGTTTCATAAGTCAGTTTCACATGAGTTTCATCCAAATAACTTAAACAGCAGAAATAAAACCAATAATCTTCAATGCAAAGGCAGAGCAGCCTAGATATTCATGTGCTGGGATACCCGGAAGATTCAAAACTTCTCCCCTAGGAGGGAGAGCATTTGGACCAATGCCTAATGCATGCAGGGCTTAAAACCTAGATGACAGGTTGATAGGAGCAGCAAACCACCATGACACATGTATACCTATGTAAGAAGCCTGCGCGTTCAGCACATGTATCCCAGAACATAAAGTAAAATTTAAAAAAACTTCTCCCTTAGAGTATTTTTAGTAATAGAGCAAAAATGACATCTACATGCAGCCAGATTTCTTGTAAGTCCTGATTATGAACAAAAATGGAAGATGGACATTCATAAGGA
Organism: Homo sapiens; assembly: GCF_000001405.40. NCBI lineage: Eukaryota > Metazoa > Chordata > Mammalia > Primates > Hominidae > Homo > Homo sapiens. The sequence goes on from NC_000006.12 coordinate 116,528,083, forward strand.
AGGTGAGAGGCAGTGCTAAGTTATTTAGTGACTTGCAGAATTTACTAAGAATCAACCCCTAAGAGATTCTTCTCTGTGATGAAAGAAAAAATAATATTATGCAAATGCAGTCATAATAAAAGTTTAAGGGTAATTCCTCTGCAGGTGCTTTGCCTTCATGTTGGAACTCTGCCATAAACAGTGGATGTGGCCTTCTGGGTTTGATCCAATCAGTCTCAAAATCCACAAAGCTTGTGGCTGTACACATATGCTTTTCCACAAAAGAAAATTTCCTACATTTTTCCTTTTTCACCCCTCCCAGAGGTACAAAGCGGAATAGACCAAATGGGTGAGTGATTACATAAGGCAGTTCTTGCCTATTCAGTGGGGAGAAACAAGCCTAAGTGGTTATGCTTGTTTAAACAAGTTTCATGTTTTTAATAATCTATCTGCCATATTTCTGGCCCAAATTGTAAGATGTCTTAAAATAATTTATAAATTGTTTTTGCTGTGAATATTCATCATTTTTTAAATATTGAGAATTTTATTACCACAAAGAATTTTTCTTTCCTTTTAATTGATTTCCGCTCCCTTCTCTACTCAAAACTGCTACTAAATAGGAAAATGGTCTGACATTCAGCTAACTGTGATGCCAGCCTTCTCTGGAATGTTGTGTTGTGTTGGGCTGTGACTTCCATGGAATTCAATTCCTGTTTACCAAGGGCTCCCACTTATTTTATTTTAATATAGTATGTTGAAAAGAGTGGAAAAAAGAAAAGCAATTCAATAGGCTCTTACAATTAGGTTTTGAGTTAGCCTTTGAAAAACAGGACGAGCAAAGAAAGATTTTATTTTTAGGCTTATCTGATAAGTTTCCTTTGTTGTTGTAGTTGTTGAGGGATTACAGGGATTAGTAATCTTAGAAAAATGTTGAGAATGAGGCATATACGGTGTTTTACCCTTGGGTCCTCCCCTGCCTACACTGTGCTGAGAACTGCTCTCTCTGACCGGGTCTCCTGTTTCTACCTGGTTTGTTGTGAACCTGTGTTCTCCACATTTGTCCTGACTCTTCAGGTGAATAACTGAGCCTTTCACTTGGCTTTGCTGCAACCCTTCAGCTCTGTGCGTGGTAAGGAATGCCTGGGTTGCAAATCTCACTAGACCCTGGGGACTCTGTTCCGTTCCAATACCTGGGTTTCCTACTTCAATCTTTTGGCTGGGGTGGGAGGCATGTACAATAACAGCTAATTTCTCAAATATCTATTTACATGTTATTCTAAGATAAGACAGTGGCGAGATATTAAAAAATTTTAGAATCTTTGTAACTAACAGAGTCACAACTGTTGGCTGTCTAATGGAAGGGAAATATGGGGTAGCCTCCATGCACCCTCCTGCTTCCCACCCTACAGTTAGGGATTTCCTGTCAGGCTGCTTTTGGTAGACAGAGCACTGTGCTGCTCGAGGTAAAGTAGATTGGAGCTGAGTGGAAGTTGTCCACCATTCGTATCTGCCTTCAGTGTCTATGTGGAGAGCACAGAACCCCCTCTCCATGTCCTGCAAGGCAGAAGTTACATGTCATCTGGTGAGGTTGACAGGTAGGCAGTTGCAATGATGTGCCTTCCACCCTCATGAGGTGAATGCAGCATGAATGAGTCACTTTTTGAGAGGACCATCAGCAAAAATCAGTCTCCACAATATCAGTGAGAGATTTTAACCAAGTGAAGGGCAGAGATTGAATGAAAATAAACAGGTTCCAGGTCTTTTATTTTATGGCCCCCAGGCTGCATTTCTGAGCCTATACCATAAAGTAAGTTGTGTGTAAGAGGAGTGTGTGCGGAAGAGGGTTGAGGAATGGAAAGCAACTCTAAAACTGAGTTTTACATATTCATCCTAGTAAAAGAAAGAACATTCAGAGGACAGGAAAAAAAATGCCTCCCCATTTTATGCACAGCATTATGATGGCAGCAAAATTCAAGTGTTGTGCATCATACTGGGTGCATTACATCTAGACTTAGACCCAGAATTGTGAAATATGGTGACTTTTAGAGAAGTATTTGTTTTTAAGATGCATGTTATTTAGAAAATGAAGGAAGCCAAATATAATTAGAAAAAAAAAGCAAAGTAAGTAAAATACAGAAGCATAAGGAACAAACCACCCCCCCTCCTTTTTAAGAAAAAGGAAAAAACAGCCTAAGATATGTTACTGTCTCTGACTTGAATGCCCTGGTTTAAGTTCATTTCATCTGGGCACTTTTCCTATTCACATTAAAAATCAGATTGTCTCTGCTAACATTCTTTGAAAAAAGAAAACACACAGAATGTCAAGAGAAAGGACTGAAAAAGACTTAGAAAAAAGAGTAACAAAAGAAAAAGCCCCACAGGATTAGATGACCAGAGCAAACTTTTGTAATTGGTTCCTTTATAAGAAGTTCAAAGGGAAACCTAATACTACCTATTGTAGCACAACATCATTTTTCTTTGGAGAATTTAGTTATCTCCCTTCTACCAAAGCGTTCCTCTGAGCTCACTGTTCTGAATAATGTCTGCCCCACTCTTGCTAATGGTCTAAAATATTTACTTTGCATTAACAATGTGGTTTCACTTGACTGCTTCCAAGTGCAGAGTCATTTTATTTTGAAGTGTTTGCTTTCTTTATTATTATCTGCAAATGTATAACAAAGACAGTTTTGTCTACTTCAATACCTTACAGTTAGCATACTAAATGGAGTCTGCAACACTAGTTACGTGCCCCAAATTCTAGCTCTGAAACAAAGAAAAACAAACACCAGCATCAGTAACATAAATAATGTGAGCAGAAGGTTCATAGATAAAGTGAGACTCATATATATATATATATATATATATATATATATATATATATATGTTACTAATTTCCTAGACAAGAAGAACAAGATATTTGTCAATTACTTTGCCCTGTTTTGGAAAATCTTGGAATGTTTTTCATACCCAGATTCCCTTCCTGAGGGGCTCCCTATGATCACCATGTTCTATCTAATTATCCTGCCATTCTGGCCACAGTTAATGGATTAGGGTGGGCATTGTGAGCCTGGACAGTCAGTTCATAGCTTGGCTAGAGCCCTGGAAGTGACCTAGCATGAAACTCTACTTAACACAGGGCTAGTGATTGGCTGGACAGGTTAAAGACTCTCTTTTTGGGACTTTAAATATGAAACACATAGAGAAAGTCACAGTTTGGGTGATTGGGCAGAATGCAAATGACACCCAGAGAAAAGAGAGTAAGCAGAAGCCATGAGGCAACAAAAACTGTGAAACACCAGAAGCAGTGAGGTGGAGAGAAGGAAAAGAAAAATGGAAAGATATTAGTAGGTAATTATAAGAGCAGAACAAGCAGAGAAGGGTTGAGTCATGAAAATGGCACAGGACTGAAGTAGAGAACCACAAAGACTTGCTGCTGAGGGTTCAAGATAGACTAAAACTGTAAGGATTTTCCCATTTTGGTTCTTTCATGGGGTCTGATTATCGTGTCCCAGAATATCTCTACAATAAACCCTAAAGGTCTGACATAAACCAAATGCTGGTAACCTAAAGGAGTCTACCTAACACAATTTGGCTCCATGATGAATTTTAGGATAATTTTCAAGCATTTTCCATAATAATATGAAATGCACTATGTAATGATTTGGTTACCTACTTAATATTTGCATTTTAAATCACAGTTGACCTCAGAGTAGCAGAATGAATATCCCTCTTCTGAAACCTTCTACACTCATATAATAAATAATGGAAAAAACAATAATAAATATACAATTTAATATAATTAAAATTTATTTATATTTAATTTATATTTAATTTTAAAATATAATATAATAAACAATAATGGAAAAAACAAATGTTTCAATAAAATTACCAAGTTGAGTTCGCTGTCATTATTTAATAAGAATCAGTTATTGTCCTGTTCAGGATCCTACCGCAGTTTAAATCTTGTTGCTGTGGATTTGTTATTGTGAACAACCAGGTACTTTTAGAGCACTGATTTTCAGTGTAATGAAAATTGCTTGAAATAAGAGGGCTGCTTCTGCATGTAGTGTTAGTATTGAGCAGACAGGGTAGGAGTCTTTCATTTAAAGACAAATGTGGAGCACTGCCCTCTTCTGGACAGACTAGGAGGAGCAACAGGGTGTAGATGTGAAAAGTTCTTCTAGTATTTTCTCTCTTTTTTGTCTTTTTTTTCCTTTTTCTGGAGAACGGGGTCTCGCTATATTGCCCAGGCAGGTCTCGAACTCCTGGGCTCAAGCTATCCTTCCGCGTCTTGCCTCCCTGAGAGAGGGAATTACAGGCGTGAGCCACCGCGCCCGGCCGGTTTTTCTAGTATTTTCTAAGTTCACTTTAACAGTATTTAATAAATGTCAACAGGTGTGGATTTACCTGGTGAACCAAATCCCAAGAATGCTATAAATGATCCCTCCTTTGGAAAAACTTACAGATCTGATGGGGAAATGAAATTGTAAATGAAAGGCAACTTCACTGGCTAATACAATAAAGAATCAAATTAAACAAAATTTACTAGTATTATCATAACTTTGGGAAACTGTATTACTTCCACTTTTGTGAAACATTTTTGCTTTCTTTAGATGTAGACTGGAACTATGTACAAAATAAGCTGGTCAACAGCAAATCGTTGGAAGATCAACAGGCACAAAACACGATAAAATTGAATCTCACAAACTGATTAAAACATTAAACTAAAATGCAGACTTACATTGCTCTGCTTTCATAATAAAGGTAGGTTAAGTAAGGTTAATCATGGGTTCCCTTACCTTTACAAAGTTGCTTTGTCATTTTTGCTTACTTATCTTAACATTACAACTCTTGCTTCACATAATGCAAACTAATTATCTCCCTTTGGCACAGAAAGATCTAATGAACATTTCAGAACGTCAACTTGGTTAATTTAAAGCCTATGAGACCCACTGGCAGGCTTTAAGTCTAAGCCCCCAGCTACATCTTTCACTGGGTGGTAGCTTAAGGGCCAGTCTGCCATTTATCCTTGCATATCACCACCTTGGGCTTCCACGGAAGAAAGTATAAATTATTGGCGGGTGATATTCTGGAGTTCTTGGCCACAGTGTCATTTAACAGCACTTCTAACAGCAGTCAAATAGAGACAGTAGATTTATAGTCATTGGAGGGATTGAGAAAGCGAACATAGATTTGGTTGCAGAAGTTGAAGAAATTTGTAGGAAAAAAGAGGTAGTGGTTGTATTTAACAAATTTCACAGTATTTAACAAAAAGTCTTTATTTCAGAAGAAAAGTTTGCACACTGAAAATTGTGCTCTTCAGCCTATTTTGTGTCTTCAGTGGCAAGAAGTTGACACCACTCTAGCAAGAAAAACACGTGGCTTCATTTGCCACCTCTTCCTTCCACCAGACAGCTAGAGTTGCACTGAGTGGCCAGAATAATTCCAGCGTGAGAGAGCAGGTAGGATAGGGTCAAACGTGAGGCCACCAAAATTTAAAACGGCAATAGAAATGTAAGTAACAATCAGGTTGGCTCGGCTCATGCCTTCTGTACTGGTTGTCAGATTATTGCCTCTCAGCTTAAAACCTGCTGTTCAATGCCCTACTTGTAACGCTAGAGCTCCATCATGCAGACATTTCTCCTTGGCCAGAAGAAGGTGCTGCAGGGACACTGCAGGAAGAAGGGGCTTTTCTTCTGTCTCTAGCGTGCCTTTTGTTGGCTTGCTCCTGCTGTGAATTGTGACTGGCAGGGCATAGAATACCCAGTGGCCTTTCCTTCCTAACTTGCTACTTCCAGCTTATAGTTTTCTTACTGTCCCCATCAGCCCACTTACACCCTAATGTGAGTTTCCTGATTGCAAGGTTTAGCCCATTGTTCCCTGCCGGCAGTCTGAGTCTAGCAACACAGCAGCCTTCTCCACTATCCATAGTCTGTAATCATACCTTCCCCAACAAGATTTGAATCCCAGCCTTAAGAAGTGGAACTCTGTCTAAAAAGGATTCCTCCTTTGGGTACTCAACTCTCACCCATAAATTCTGTAGTGCGTTTTTTTTTTCCCCTTTCTCAGTAGCTAATCCCCTATAAATAGCTAATAATGTTTTATATTCAACCTTTCATTTTGAAATGATTGTGTGATTCCTGTCTCCTGACTGAAACCTCTCTGGCTCGCCTTCCAAGCTGTGGGACTCCCCTCTGAAAATGTCTAATAAAATCAGATTTGGACATCCTTGTTGAAGTGTCAAATCAGTGCTTCAAATCTGTATTGGAGATTGGAAATCTATAGCCCTCATGCTGTCTCCATTCTAAAGCAGCTCAGGAGTTTTGGCTTGAAATATTTTCATTCGTCCTATAGATTCAGTCATAGCAGTCTTGTGCATTCAGATCAGAAGCAGAAGAAAAAAAAATATGACTAGTATGATTTGCTGAAATTTTTCTGTGTACACTCAACTCTAATCTCAAATGGAACATTTTATTGAAATAAAAATGATTCACCCACTGGGAAAAAAATTCCCCCTGCTATTCTGTTTTCTCTCTGGATTATGTGCCTAAATCTTTTGTCCTAGAGTTTATGCTTACAAAATTCACCACTTAGATTTACTTCCCTGCTTTAGGCACCCTCATTCATATTGCTTCCTATGATCATTTCCTTGATTTTTTATTACTCATCCCCCAAAATCATTGCTCACATTATTTAATTAAGGTAAAATTTCAATTTATACTATAAAAGAAAAGTTCTCTTCTTTTGCTTTCCAGAATTTCCAACAAGTACAGTATATTAGATGCTGATTTTTTAAACCTAAAAATCGGGGTTTCAAGTTTTTTAAGTCTTTTTATGCTGTATTTAAAAATCCCTTCTTACTGTGACAACAAAGTAATGTGATATTTACACTGAAAAATGATAAATTCCCCCACGTCCCTCAGAGTAATCATCATATTGACATGGACCTGAGAGCAAAAAGCTTCTCAACTTTGACAAACATAATTTGTGCAAGGCCGAGCAGTTATAAACATTGTCAGTAACTAGAAGGTATGGATGGATGCTCTGCAGGAGGCTTTGGAAGCTACATTCACCACACTCAGCTATTTATGATTATAATTCAATGTGCAGATGATAGCTAGTGAAAATAACACCTGAAATTCAGAAGAATGACAGCTGAAAGAGGTCTCTTCTGACAAATATGGAAACCAAAGTTTGGACAGCTTAAGCAACTTGCTTGGAGTCACACAGTGGGAATGTGGATCAGCAGGATGTGGACTCTTCCTTTTTAATCTCCACTACATTGGACATGGTTAGGCCAGTGCTCATCTACTGGTGAGGATCACAGCTCCTTGTGTCCAAACTACTTTCAAAAGGCAACATTATTATAATTATTGTCAAGCCTAGCCTTTATAATCATCTTGATTTAAATGATCAAGTTTATCTCTAATTAGCTTCTCCTAATAACGAAACTATTTTATCATAAATGTGTTTGGAAACCCTAAAATATATTTTGTATAACTAAGGAGGTTTTTTGGCTCTTTGACCAGAGACAGGTGCAATTGCACTTTCTACTTTCCCTTATAATAAACAGAAAGACATATAGGTCTGTAAGTAACAGTTGAATTATCTAATATTTCATTATTACAACTAAAATCAGCTATGGTAATTCTACTGAATATTACACATTTTCATTTAGACCAACTGCAAAATTTTTCTCAGAACAGTTACCATAGTAGAAAAATATCTTTAAAGATATATTTTAAACAATTAGTTTGTGGAAAAAACACTAGAATAAGGTCAAAAGAATTAAATTCTAAGCTGGCTTTTCTTACTATGTGTCCATGGTGATAGCAGATAAGTCTCAATTATTCTATCAGTAAAATGGGGCTAATGATAGATGATAGATGTTCTTTTTATTTCACAAGGTTCTTATAAGGGAAATACAGGTAATAGGTAGGAGTTACTTTGAACTTTTATAAAGAAAATATCAATGCTATTAAAGTTTTTCAATACCATGTTATAATGCTGTTGACTTACAAATGTTCAAAATAAATTAGTATGTCTTATTTAATATTTGTAGTTGTACTTTGAAGTAACTACTACAAAAAGTTAAGTTGTATATTATAAAATTCTGTTTTAAAAATGGATGAATTTTAATGTTGTAGGAATGAGACTTTATAATTAACTTGGCATCTTTTTTTTATATAAAATGCAAGGTCAACTAAAGATTTTTGCCTTCAATGATTTGGCCATTATCATGGGATTTCTTTTCAGACCACTAGATGGCGCAACTTAAGTCTACTACTTGTTAAAAGACATTGTCAGAGGCCTAATGACAGACCGACCTCCTCTTTGAAGAAAAAAACTAGTGAGGGAAACAAGAGAGGGGAATGTTATGAATACCTGAAGTTACACAGTCCTTCTCTCGCAAAGGCAGAGGCGTGCTGAGTGCAGTGTAAGTTCAGGAAACCTGTTCCTACATGTAGTCTTTTTACTAACTCAGAGGGAGGGATCACTTCTCCTGTCTGGGCATAGGTTTCTTCATCTAGTCAATTCTCTTCAAATGCATTCCTTCTCTCTCTTTCCTTCCCTGGAGACAGGACAGAGATCATGAGTTTTATGGGTGCCATGGTCTCTAGGTGCTCAGTACTTGAGACGGATGATGATGGTGTTCGGTAGAAGTGTGTGGTCTGAGAGGGGAGCCAAACAAATTTTACAGCCATTAGGTTCTATTCTTGACTCTGCCATGCTCTGGGAGCAGCATGTGACTACAGTAAACTTCTTCTGAACTTGGCCTAGTTCTCTGTAAAACTGACTGTATCATTTGACATCTGCCTCCTCTGAGGAGAGTTTACAAGGATTAATAAGATAATGCTGCCACAGGCCCGACGTTTGGATGAAAGCTGCTAATTTTTAACAAAGCTTCAGTGGGCAGGTCCATAACTAAAGTCTGACCTTTCATCTTTGTCAAAGTGCTCCTGAAATGGGTGACATTAGTGCTACAAGTAAAGGAACATTTTGTTGGAGAAGTAAAAATGATCAAGAGGAAGGAAATCAGGCCTTTGAAGGAAGGTGCAAAGAGCAGGGACAGTTGTCTTACACTAGAGAAGGGTGAAGGTGATGAATATTCTCCTCATTGACAAGAAAGAATCTTGCATAGGAGTGGAAGTGGATCTTTTTCCTGTTCACTGAGGACAGAAGACACAGGAAGGAATTCATCAGAATGGTTGATAAGACATGAAAATCTTAGAGAAGGGATATTTGGAAAGCAGATGTTGTACATTTTTCTAATAGGGGAGAATCAAGCAGACTTGTTTCTAACTTGGTGAAAATTGTGTACCATTAGGAGGTCAAATTTCGTTAGAATCTTCTTTACTCTTTTAAAGACAGAATATGGTTTCTGAATATAATTTCTAAATGGGGAACATTCTGGGTTTTTTTCATGGGTCTTTTCCTGCTGAGATATGAATTCATTTTCTTTCCTATGCTCTCCATAGAACATTTCTTACTCGATTCCTCTTCAACCTTTTCTTTTTTAATCTGGAGCATTGAAAGAACTCTTGTTCTATTTCCACATATTGAAGACTTCATTGTAAGGTAAAGCGAGTAGTTCCTCATGGAAGGGACTCGAGGAGCCCTTAAATGCATTGGGCAAGGTGAGGAGCATTCGCAGGCTACCTCCTGCAGAAGAAAAGCAACTTCCTAAGGGGCCTGAACAAAAGTCTGCTTTGATTCCTTCTTTCTCCTTCCTCCCCTCTTCCCTTCCTCTTTTCTTTTCTTTCAACTAATTTTTATTGAGTAAATACCCAGTAAGAAGTCCTACATTAGGCCCCACATAAATATGTACTTCCTATTGGCATATTTAATTTGGCTTTCAGCTCTGTAATTTTCCTGTGGCTAATAGAGAATGGAGAATATCCTGGTCGAGGACCACAGGTAACAAGAAAGTTTTACATGAGACTTCTTAGCCACCTCTGGGAAGGATTCATATGGGATATTTGTTAGCAGCTATTTTGAAGTTAATCATAATAATTTTTAAAAGTTACCATTTTTATTTTCTACTAGAGAAGCTTTGTTCCCTTATGTTCTTCTGATTAAAATGAATATGTGGAATTATCTCTTCTGAGTCTCTTCAGAAGCTTTTCAGTGATTTGGATGTTGCCCTCAGCGCTAATAATAGACAGTAAGAAAAAACTGGAGAATCCTCCCATGTCACTGCACTATTCTAACTGGATGAGCCAATATTCTCTGGGCCAAGGGCATTTACGGTATTGAGCATATTTCAGATAATCTCTGACCCTACATCGTGTGACAGAATGTAATTCCAGCTTCTCAGCAATGAGGTTGTATATGCCTCTACTTCCAGTTGGTTACTGCTCTTTTTTCAACAGATATTTTTTGTTCTGTTAATCATCTTCTTAAAAAAATAAGTGAATACATTAATAAATGGCAAAAGATACATATACAAACATATCCAGAGGAATGAAATTTTTTGCTAGTTATGCTAACATATCTTTAGAATGAAGTCTCCAAATTGCCCTTGAAATTATTCTTCAAATGTTCAAAGCCTAATAAACAACCTTAAATACAGGAGTCAGGTTTTATTTTCCACATTATATAAGTTTTCAGATTATTGGTCAATGCTCTACCGCCTTATTAATTTGCAAGACAAAGTCTTAAATCTTTCTTTCTTTTTTTTTTTTTTTGAAACAGGGTCTTGCTCTGTCACCCAGGCTGGAGTGCAGTTGCATGATCTTGACTCACTGTAACCTTCACCTCCCAGCCTCAAGCCATCCACCCCTCTCAGCTTTCTGAGTTGTTGGGACTACAGCTGTGCCACCACGCCCGGCTAATTTTTGTATTTTTTTGTAGAGGTGGGATTTCACCATGTTGGCCAGGCTGGTCTCGATCTCTCCATCTCCTGAGCTCAAGTGATTTGCCCACACTAAGCTAATGGGATGAATTTTGGCAAAGATCAAGAGGGAGTCATTCTCAAACCAATCTATCCTCATTATAGAGAGACTGTGTCTTACTAATCAAAAAGCCTAGGGGGCTACCAACTAGAAATGCAACAAAACACAACCATCTACATTTATATATTACAAGTATTTACTTTCCATTAAAACAGCTGGTATTCTTGTAGTATTGCCTATAGAATTAGTTTCATTAAAAAATGTTTTATTTTATTTTTCAAACTACTGTTTTGGGATCTTACTTATATTCTGACAATATAAAAAGGGACTTTTTTCCCCAGCCTGGTTAGTGGTATGATAAACTCATTGTGCTAAGGTTGGAAGATACTCGAATAACAGTTTCAACCACATTATTCACTAGCCATGAAATAATACCAGTAATAATATGAGTAAATGGAAAAATCTTTCATTTGGATTGTATTTTTAATGTAGAATTTTTCCCCACATATACTATTATTTACTGTTCATCATATTATTTCTGGAACTTAATTTTCTTATCTGGAAAATGGGGATAGTAACTCCAATTCTGCCTATTTCAGAGGGTTACTGTGACAGTGAAAGACAAAGAGTATGTAAAACTGCATTTAGGCTCAGAAAGCATGATGGTATAGAATGACAGCCATTCATGCACAGAGTCAGTTTGGTCATGTATAACAATATTAAGGACTAGGAGAGAAAAAAAAATGAGACTGACTTAATTGATCAGTTTTGTAAACCTGGAGACACGCGTATCTTCTGAGTCTCCCACAAATTAACAACACTACATTAATAACCATAGGCCAAGATTTTTAAAGGCTGGCTAAAGATGCATTTTCCGGTTTAATTTCTAATAAAAGTGAGCTAATCCTGGATGATTCCAAGTTGTCTCCTACATATCAGGGCTATGAAAGTTCTTAGAACAAATATATTTACAGGAAGTTCTGTTTTTCTCTTGGGAAAACAATACTCTGGGAATGACTAAACAATATTCTTTGATACTACCAAAAACCATCTCCCTCCATGTGCTGAAAATTATCGTAAAGAAACTGGTTTGGGGCATGCATGTTTTAAGGTTGCCCTATTACACTCCCCTTCTGTTTACCTTCTGAAAATGCTTTTTCCACTGTGAGACATATACTCTACACACTCCTGTAGTCAGGAAAATCTATAGTTGCTTAAATGCATCTTTCAGTTCACAGTAGCTTTATCTCTGTGCTGAAATAAAATGCTTTTCAATCAGAATCTCCTTTCTCAGCACCTAACAATGAATGCAGATGGAACCTGTCCAATCTGAACAGAAAACCACCATACTCAAAAAGAATCAGAGATTTTTCAAAACATATTGACAGAGATAAAAACATAGTTACCTGGGCAATTATGTCTATAATTTCTGAATAACTATGGCATCTTCCCACGCAGGATCGAGCCAAAAAGTCTTCCACAAGCCGCGTTCCAATGCCGTAACCCCTGTGGATGACGGAAAGAGTGTGGTCTGAAAATTCTAAGAAATTAGTGAAGTCTGTCAGTTTTTAAGAAGCGATTTGTGTGTTTAGCACTTGTGCAAGTGAATCACAAATCAAACCAAATATGACGAGTCAAATGGCTTTTGGCTGTGGGCTTCTTATTCGCCCCACAGACCACAAAGCAGAGAGCAACACACTGAGGAAATATTAACTGGTCTCCTGCAAGCAGAAGAGTCTGCCTAGAATCAAGACTTGCCCAAAGTTGACAATATAAATTAAAATTAAGGAAGGCTGGTTTCTGTAGCCTAATGTTTCTCAGTGGCAGCTAATTTTCTCATCATTAGCTATTGATGGAAATCAAATGAGATCCTAGCTAAAGCGTCTGCTACATGTGTGATACCCGGATGCTCGCTCTTCTCTTAGCATTGTTATCAGGGTAGAAGGGCAGGCATTTCCAGGATGGGCTCTGGAAGGAGGGGAAGAAGAGAGCAGAAAAAATTTTTGTTGCCAGTGAGAGTTTCGGCATCTTCAGACTCTGAAGTTTACTAAGTGAAAAACAGCCAAGTTCAGAAAACTCATTTTTCATTCCAGGGAAACAAACTATGGGATTGGGGGAAGGTATTGTATTATCTCCACCCCGAGAAAATAGCTCTAGTAGTGCCTGAAGTACAATCTTGAAAACCTTCGATTGAGATGTGATTATACACACACTGAATATGTAGCTAAGTTGGCTGAGCACACACTTTCAACAAGATAAACTGAAAAACGACTAGATTTCCCAGAAGGATACAAAGAAAGGTCAGAATCTCTATCTTATAAGAACTTGCAATCTAGCTGAGAAAATGTGACCTTCAAGGTGGAAATCAAACGGAACACTATTTTTGCCAAACCTCTATCAAAATTGGTCTTTTAATTTCACAGCCACATCTACATAGACAAGTGAAACGATTTCCAGTGGAGCCACAAAATGCCCAACAAGACACCACAGTGTTCAGAGGCAATGATTACTCCAGAGGCTCTAAAAAGAGATGAAATCTTTGGTGACTAGGTGGTTGGAGGGAGACGGATTTGATGTGAGAGTGCTTATGAATTCAATGAATCTTGTGAGATATCCTATTTATATTTCTGAGTGGATAGAAATATTCAGTTTAGCTTCCTTGACTTTGGAGAAAAATGGTTTATAATTTCAGCCAAGAAGCTCTCACTGCAAAGACTTTTAACAATCAAAATGTCTACTTTACAGAAATAGTTGTATCAGGATTAAAAAATATTTCCAGTGTTTTCTAATTCTCACTTTGCATATCCACAGCTCAGCAACTGGGAACAGTGGTCAGAAGCCAAAACGTTATGAGCTGTGCTATATCTACACATATTGCTTTGGTCAAAGGGTATGTTTCTGCAAAGTAGATATTTTATAAATTAAAAATGTAAGAGGCTCTCAGCAGAAGCTATTAAGGAAATCTAAATGTGAATTTTTTTCTTAAGGAAAGATCTTTCTGCAGCTTCTCAAAAATTTATTCTTTAATATTTCTTTCATATTTGTTAAATGTGTACTCAATTAGCTAACCAAAGGTATTTTTGTAGTCAAATAAGTGAGCTTTTTTATTATTCACAGCTTTTTCACAAAACAATGCAAGTTTAACATAAGTCAAATAAAATGAAGTAATTTCTGGAAATGCTATGTCAGATGTTTAAGTGTGAGCTAGCGTAAAATAACCTTAACATTCCTCACAGCTATAGACAGACAGTTCAGCTAACAAAGTGACTGAAAAATCTATAGGTAGACAGTTGGGCAGTTCTCTTCTTTGCGAATGCCCTTGACTAATTAAGTAGAAATTCCAAAAAAAAGTCATGTGTACAAAAATAAATTATAATTTTTTTAAAAGAAAAAAATATGCATACAGAAAGAAGAAAAATGAGAGTTTTTTAAAAAGACTTTCAATCTTTATGTTGTCTTTTTCTGTATTTCAACTGAAAATACAATGAACCCTTTTAAAAAGCTCTAAAATGTTAGGCTAAATTTCCCCTTCAATCTGCCTAGATAAATCTTCTAACCAGTACACATTTTCCAGTCTTTCCTCTGTTAGAGTCCTCTTCAGAGTTTATAATTAAAAAGCTCAAAAACCATTGACAGATGTTTTATTGTTTGGCAATCATCTGATGATCACATAGTTACTCAGAGAAAATCAAAAGGTGGAATTTGTGCAGGAGGAATCTCCAACAATAAAGACAAAGAGAATGGGTCTCATTTAAAAAGGAAGAAGTGAGTTTTTCTACCTAATATGTTTTTTAAGAAAAGCATAGTAATGATTAAAAAACATTCAAACAATAAAAATGCTATCTTAAAATAAACTCTCCCTTTAATTCACAATTCCTATTTTCTCCATCTTCCCCTTAGGAAACTACCATTGTGAGTTTCTTGTATATCTTTCAATAGATGGTCTGTGGTTGTGTAAGCATATATTTATATTGGAAGCAGTTGTGTTAGAACAAAAGACTTCTGAAAAGAATAAAATTTGATGTTCCCTCATGTTGTTAATAGAATAATTTCAATTTTACCACATCTTTTGCTTATAAGCGACTCTTAAGTCACTTAAGAAATGATTTCTAACTAAAGAGAAAACATCCCACACTTGATATTTGTAGGAAAAAAATCCTTCCTATTATCTTATTCTATCAACCCAAATGGCACTTGTAAGAAATTATGTTCAGCTTTCAGATGTGATTAATTGAGACAGAAGAACAGCTGGTGAAATGAAGCAAAGGAAGTCATTAGAGGCAGAAAGAATGCAGGTGATGTAAGAAACAACAGCCATTCAATAAGAATGAAGGACTTCCACTTACATTTTATCTAAATATTGGTTCACATCTTCATCCTTCTCATAATCCTTACACAGCTGGGCAACCAGAGCTCCATAGGTAAGGACAAAGAGATCTTTATTCTGGAGAAAAAGGGGTAGTTTCTGGTTATAGGCAAGTTATGACAGTATACTACTGTATTTCTTTTGTTTATAAAATCTGGTTTGAAGTAGCCTTAGAAGTCACCTGTACATTTTTTCCTTCCTCCTATTATTGCAACAATTTGCACTTTTGAAAACAAATTATATTCACATTTGGATACATTGATGTGAGGTGGGGGAGAGAGAGCTGTTAAATAAAATGAATTTCGTAACATGATAACATCTTTCTATGCATTTGCTTACATGATAACTTGCAATGTATTTTCATGGAGGACAGTTTTTTAAAAATACTAATTTCTAACATAAATTTCTGTTTTTCTAAAATATATGCCATCCATGTTTTCAGTTGGAAGCAAGAATTGGATAAGACTTCTCAGGCGTCTGCACAATCCCTAATGGCCCCCAGATCTGCCAAGGAGACCTTCAGGATAAACCCAAATGTAGCAGCAAATTTGTGAGTTTCTTTTCTTTTTACTTAGAGAAAAAAGGGGAATGTGATATTTCCTTATAGTTCTCCAAAATATGTCCCATTTTTAGAGTAAATTATAAATGAAAACTAAAACTTAAGACAATTTAGGTTTGGCTTAGGGTTTTTCCAAGAACCTAATAATAAATCACAAGAAATGCTGGTAAATTATCAATGAAAAGTCTGCTCAACATATAAGAGCCACAGCAGAAGACAAAGTGCTGCCATGTACTAATGCTACAGCATAAAGATAAGCAAAGGTGAAGAAGAGAGAGAGAGAGAGAGAGAGAGAGAGAGAATGATGAGATTGTTGTGACTAGCAGTAAAACAAAAGAATTTGAAAAAGAGAAAAGTAGAAAAAATCATACCCTACCTACATGCCATGGCCCCAACATTGTGTCCCTTTATAATTAAGGCCAAACTGAAATAGTGGAATTTCTTCTCTGTCCCTGATGGGTGGGCACTATTATATATTGAAATCTATTTTATTTCCAGCTGAGTTTCTGGTTCAGTACCCATAAAGGCCAGCTTTCTCTATTCTGCTTCATGGCCAAGGACTGTACCTTGAACTATCTGTTCAATTGGGTCTCAAATCCATACCACAGATGCCAGGAAAGGTCAACATAAGTTTATCTTTATCGTTTTTAAAACAATAAAAATAATCATATGAATATCTGAAAGAACATCATTAACTATTTCAGTAGGTTATGAATGTATCAGGATAAAAATACATTTTAACTGCTTTATAAAATCAAGTGATTTCGGTATAATATGAACTATGTACCATATATTTTTAGCACTTGAGAGTCCCACAGGAAAATAAATCAAGATCCCAGAAGGCCAGAGGAGGTATCTGCAGGCATTTCAAACTGAAGTATGCTAGTTAGTCACTACAATTCTAAACACCAAGTCTGAAATTACTTAATTATATCAAATGCCCATCAGTCTCCTGACATAATTAACAGAATTTTAAAGTTAACAGTGAGTTTTTGTATCTGTAGTATCTGAGTGACTAAAACTATAAGAGAGTATTAAAGAATATTATTTAAAACTAATCTGCAAAAAAATAAGGTTTATAAATAACTCTTAACCTGGAATATATAGAAAGGATGATATTACATACCAAGCTACAATAAGACTAGGAAACATTTTTAAAGGCAATCCTTTTTTGATGACCTATTTCGATTCAGTTTTACACATAATCAACTATATATATACACACATATATATATACATACATACATATATATACATATACATATATATGTAAGTTCCCATTTCCTGAAGTATGAAATAGAAAAAATTGCTAATATTTTCATATTTTCTGTCAGAGGTGAAAAAATTGACACTCATATTGATATAATTAGTCAGAAAAGAAGACCTTAAAGTGTGTATAAAGAATTGATTATTCTTTATGTAGGAGATAATCATAATTATTCCTAGATGTGTCATTTATGATTCACTTCGCTGAACACTGTCTTTCCTCCACTAAAAATTCTTATAGCATCAGTTTTTAAAATCAATCAGAAATCACTCAAGAAAACATTTTCTCTGAAGTAGAAAAAATCTCTTTGTAGAAAGATCTTACTATTTTATGGTATTCTGGTCTTCGGTGTGCAGGGCGAGACATAGTGCTTGATAGATGAAGAATATGATCTTCAATTTCTCTTCTTTTGCCTGTTTCTTAGAGGTGTATCAGTCCATGTCTTTTTGTTTTGTTTTTGTAAGCTCTTCCTCGCTTTGAGACAGGAGTGCTGCTTCTGCACTCTGCTGCTTTTGCTCTTTGCTGAGCTGAAGAGGGAAAAAAACCATGAACAACAGGATTGTCTTATAGCCACGTAACTTGCCATGGATCAAATAACTGCTTCATTTGTAAGGATGAATTGTAATCTAGAGCCATAAAAGCTGATAATGTGAAGTCAGACCTGAAGCACTGCAACTCAAAAAATTCTTTAGCCCGAGGGAGTTCAAGAGTGGTGTTTTGTTCTCAGGCCAAGACATTGTTTTAAAATCAGAAACAGAAACCTTCGCAATCCAAGATAGATCTAAATGTTAGCATTATTCAGTCTTGGATTGATTGTTGTAAGAATTAGAGAGACAAGATCAGCAATCTGTAGGTAATAAATCCTGAGTTAAAACGTGATCCCTCAACTACACCAATGGTTATCACACTGTCCCCAAAACCATAGATCCCTATCTTGTGTGATTACAGTATTCAAATATATCTGGTAACTTTTTTGCTTTTCATTAGCAGCAATCAACAACATTAAGGAGTGATAGAATGGGCAATATTTTCTTACAAAACTGTTGTTCAAAATGGGCGCTCTACAGTATCATAATGTATAATGATTCTGATAGAGAAAGTAAGCCCTTAGCTTTCTTTTGAGAGCTCCTGAGACGTAAGCTATTGAAGGCTCTCTTTATTTACGCAGAAATACTTAAAGTTCAAATAAAAAAATCCTTTCACCTTGACAACTGCAGGGTGCAGAGTAGGATCAAAATCTTTCCAGAAATGGAAGCGGAAAACTCAGTTTAGGAAAGTAATTTTCTTCTACTTATAGTTTGAGTCCATTAGTCCTATTTGTTCTGGAAAATTCTTGCTATAAAGTGACAAACTCAAGAATACTTTGACGAAAAGTGTGGTGTAGTTGAAAGAACCTAGGAGGATTTGGAAGGCTCAGGCTGTTGCAGCCCTACCATTTACTGGCTGTGTGGCATTGGGCAAGCCATTTTATTGCTCTATGACTCAGTTTCCACATTTGCAAAATGGCAACAATATCACTCACCTCACAGAATAATTGTGAGAACCAAAGAGACGAGGCGTACCGTAAAACACATTAAAATGCACCATATAATAACTAGTTACTATAGGTTATTCTTGTGGTTGGATAAATTGAATGGAATTCTACAATACCTAAGGCATTTCCATCACTGCATATGTTCTATGACACTATGATCTCAGGAAAATTAATTTCACTTAGTTGTGGGGTATGGGGTGGAGAGTTTTTCAGTAGCAAATAATAACGACTTATATGTATATCAAATTTACAGTTTACAACATGGTTTTCGTTCTCTTCATCTCATTTTAATTCAGATACAATCTGTGAAATAGTACTGTAATCATGGCCATTTTACAGGATAAGAATCTAAAAGTAGAGAGGTTGAGAAATGTATTCAAGGTTATCTGGATGTTGGCAACAAGAAGGGATTTGGGCTAATTTTGATGATTCCAAGTCAAATTTATTTTGTACCGCACACACTCTAATTATGTTAGAGCAAACTATTTTAGAGGCAGACTCAAAAAGCTTACTAAGGTGCAGGGACAGCATGTTGCTGGGTCAATTTGTGGGCAATCCTAGTTCTGAGTAAGATACCCCAGAGAATAACCTACAAAGGGCCTGTGTGCTTGCTGCGAGGTGATGGCGGTACTGGAATCAATTTCACCAAACTCTAATGGCTGTGGTATGGTCACATTATGGCCATCGGGAGAATTCGGGATGTCATTGGATGTATTAGAAAAAGCCGGCTTTTACTTCAGACTGACATGGCTCCCCTCTGCTCCATTGACCTTCCAGTCAAGACACGAGCTTAAGGAAGGAGCAGAGCCCCTGCCAGGTGCTACTGTACAAAGCACAACCTTCACGACCACAGCTGTACTCATCATCACAGGGGACACTGGTTTGCTGGTTTTCAGTCTATGAAACCTGCTAGTCTTCAGCAGCTCTTAGGATGCAAGTGAGCCCTGTGTTCCCCAGACTCCTTTTTTAATGTAAATGTACTCCTCCCTTAAATAGAAGAAAGCACAGAGATGATGTTTCAAGCGGGTACATGATCTATAATGTCTGCCCTGGCAGCCAACTAGGAAAGAATTATTCCAAGATAATGCATAAGCAAAGTTTTTCCTGTTTTACTAAGAGTTCTTTAGTCTTGTTAGGACTAAATCTGGAACTGGGGTTAGGAGAAAGACACATTCTTCAGTCTGGTAAAACTGCACTGCAGTCAACCAACCCAAGTAAATGGTGAATTGAGCTATGCCCCTATGCTGGTCCTTTGGGAATACATGGGCAGCAGAGTAGACACTTGGGAAGGTGCTAATAGAGGATGACATCCGCTGATCTGTCGGTTGTATGATCACCCGCAAACTATCAGAGAAGGCAAAGGTCTGAATGTCCCTAAAATTTATGTGTTTAAACTTAATGCCCATTGTGGTAGTTTTAAGAGTTGGGGCCTTTGGGGAAGCGATTAGGTCATGAAGGCTCTGCCCTTATGAATGAATTAGCACCTTATAAAAGGGCTGGAAGGAAATAGCTTAGACTTTTGTTGCTCTTCTGCTATGTGAGGATATAGCAACAAGGTGCCATCTTGGAAGCAGAGAAGAGCCCTTGCCAAAAAACAATGCCAGCACCTTGATCTTGTACTTCCCAACCTCCAGAACTGTAAAAAATAAATTTCTGGTGTTTATACTAGTCTGAAGTATTATAGCATCACAAAAGAACTAAGAAAATTGATTACTCATAAATGTAATCATTCACAGTCATTAGCAAGTTACACATTGGCACTGCAGATGAAGTGATTAGTTCTTTCAACAGTAAGCAATAGTAAAACTTGGGAATTTATCATCTACAAACTCCTTTACAGCAAGAATTTTACAATCCAATAATGTTTTCTAATCAATCTATGCTCCATCCTTTACTACATACTTCCCTGAAAGAATGGTCTACAATTTCCTTCCCCACTTCCTCACTCCCCTTATACAGATGCTCCTCAACTTGTGATAGGGTTATATCCCGACAAACCATTCAGAAGTCAGAGTGCATTTAATATACCTCATGTACCGAGCAGCATAGCTTAAGCTAGCCTACCTTAACATGCTCAGAACACTTACATTAGCCTACAGTTGAGCAAAATCATCTAACAGAAAGCCTATTTCATAATAAAGTATTGAATATCTCATGTAATTTATTGAATACTGCACTGACAATAAAAAACAGAATGGTTGTGTGCATGTTTGATGTAGGGTTTCTCCTGAATGTGTATTGCCTTCACACAATTGTAAGGTGGGGACCATCTGTACTTTAATTAAGTTCATTTTTAAATATAAAATTTTAAACATAAGAAGGCCAGGCATGGTGGTTCACGTCTGTAATCCCAACACTTTGGGAGACCGAGGTCGGTGGATCACCTGAGGTCAGGAGTTCGAGACCACCCTGGCCAACATGGCAAAACCCCATCTCTACTAAAAATACAAAAAAATTAGCCAGGTGTGGTGGAGGGCACCTGTAATCCTAGCTGCTTGGGAGGCTGAGGCAAGAGAATCGCTTGAACCTGGGAGGTGGAGGTTGCAGTAGCTGAGATGGTGCCACTGCACTCCATCCTGGGTGACAGAGTGAGACTCCGTCTCAAAATGTACATATATGTAAAAAATAAAAATAAAAGTATAAGCCTAAGGAAAGATGTGGCATTTACTATTGAGCTTTACTGAACATGTCACTATATACACTTCAGGCTTTGCTTTTTTAAATTTTTGTGTTGATACATGATATTATGAGGTACATGGATAGAATATACAGTGATCAAGTTAGGGCATTTAGCGTATCCATCATCTTGAGTATTTATCATTTGTATGTGTTGAGAACATTTCAAGACCTCTTTTCTAGCTGTTTTGAAATGTAAATACATTATATATTATTTATATATATAAAACTCTCAGACAAAACTTGCTAAGTTTGTTCTTTGTATATTTTATATATTTTCTGATATTTATTTGATGGATTCATTTCTGATAAAAGTATATTAAAAATATCTCTCCAGCCAGACGTGGTGGCTCACGCCTGTAATCCCAGCACTTTGGGAGGCCGAGGTAGGTGGATCACCTGAGGTCAGAAGTTTGAGACCAGCATGGCTAACATGGTGAAACCCTGTATCTACTAAAAATACAAAATTTAGCTGGGCATGGTGGTGCATGCCTGTAATCCCAACTACTCGGTAGGCTGAGGCAGGAGAATCGCTTCAACCCGGCAGGCAGAGGTTGCAGTGAGCCGAGATCATGCCATTGCACTCCAGACTGGACGACAAGAGCAAAACTCCATCTTAAATTATATATATATATATATATATATATATATATATATATATATATATACACACACACACACACACACACATCCATAATTATAAAAATTTTTCTTTATAATTTGATCAGTTATTGCTTTATATATTTCAAAGTTATACAATCACAGACTACAAGTTGACAATTGCCAAAATTATTCCTTGTGACACTTTTTAGTTAAGTTTTGCCTTCTATTAATATTATTGTTCCCATTGATATATATTTCAGTACCTTTATTTTCAAGCATTGTGTGTGGTATAGTTTTGAGAGTGTCACTCGTAAGCAGCATGACTCTATTTTTCAGTGACTTTGTAGGTAAAGTTTAATCTAGTTCTGGAACAGTGGTTAAAAGCATGTGTTAGACCACCTGAGTCCCAGTCCTGGCACTTCCGCTCATCTGTGTGTGATGGGCAGAAGTGCCAGGGTAATTTTCCTGGGTAATCTCTCCACACCTTAGTCCTCTCATCTATAAAAACATTGAGGATAATATTAGTATCTCATCATAGGGTTATTGTAGGAATTAAATAACATAAAGTTCTTAGAGCAGTGCCTAGTATCAGTAACTGTTAGCTGTTGAAAAAAATTTTTTGTTGTGATTATTGATGTATTTAGTCCCATTTCTACCATTATTTTCTGTTTTCTCTTTACCATCCTCTTTCCCTTGTTTACTCTCTCCTTTCCTGTCAATATTCTCTTTGTATTTCCTCTTTTTTGAATTATCTATGCGTTGGATTTCTATTCTTTTAGTGATTACACTTATACGCCTGAAGCCACCAAATAAATCAATATAATTAACATTTCCATCATCCCTGTCCTAGTTGTATTTTCTCAGATTCTGTATTTGTCTATGTGGCATCCATTAATTACTAGGTCAAATAATGGCCAAGTTGCTTACATCTGCCCTGTGATCAGAGACCATACTCTGAACCACTTCCTTATCTAATTCTCATACACCAAGCCAATGTTTACCCTCCCCTAAATAAACTATGGCCAGGTCGCGGGCACGTAGGGCTAACCTCTGTGCCCCAAGGCCAATCAGAATTGTTTAAGCTAGCCAACCCTAAGTGTTTTCCCTGCCCTGCCTTGCCTTTTCCACAGAGTGCCCAATAAAGGCTCTAGTTAGGCTTTCCCTGCTTCCTTCTGTCCCCTGACCAAACCTGATGCACCCCCGTGACCTTATGTGGCAATAAATTATTTAAATGGCATTGGCCTCTTTGTGTTGTCACTCAGTCAGCTCTCTAAATTAAAATTCCGTGGCACAAGTTGATATAACCCCAGAATTACAAAGGGATATTTCTCATATTCCTTTGTAATCCCTCTCTTCTTATCCCTACTTCCAGACTTCCTAGGCAAGCACTGGTCTATTTTCTGTCGGTATAGATTAATTTACATTTCCTAGAATTTTACATTAAAAGAATCATACATTATGTACTCCTTTTCCTGAATTATTTCATCCGGAAAATTATTTCTGAATTCATTCAAGTTATTGTATTAATATATATCAGGTTGGTGCAAATGTAATTGTGGTTTTTGCCATTACTTCAATTGTTTTATCCTTTTTTTTTTGCTGAGTAGTATTCCATTGTATGAATGTATAATACTTTGTTGATTCATTCCTTTGTTGATGAACATTTGGGTTGTTTCCAGCTTTTGGCTATTCTAAATAGGGTTGCTATGGACATTCATGTGCAAGTTTTCATGTGGACATGTGCTTTCATTTCTCTTGTGTAGGTAACTAGGAGACACACGCTTATGTTATATGGCAGATGTATGGCTACCTTTTAAATAAAATAACAATTTTCCAAAGTGGTTACTCCATTTCACATTCCCACCATCAGTGTATGAGAATTTCAGTTGCTCTGCCTCCTTGCCAACATTTGGTATGGCTAGTCTTTATTTTAGACATTTTAGTAGATATGTAGTGACATCTTATTATAATAATATATAGCTTTAGTTGTATATTTTGAAATAAAAATTAGTTATTTCTGAATTGAATGGACTTTTAAAAGATTATACTTGTGCCCATCATTATTTTTTGCTCCTGTGTCTTTCCTTGGGGCTCATTTTCCTTTTTGCTGTAATATATCCTTTAGTAATCCTCCTAATGAGGTTCTGTGGATGGTAAATTCCCTTAGCCTTGATGTGTCTTTATTTTGCTCTATCTTGAATGATAGTTTGGCTGGTACTAAGCACTCTGAAGATAATATCTTCTGGTCTTTATTGTTATTGATGAGAAGTCTGCTGTCAGTCATTGCCGTTCTTTTGTAGATTATCTGTTTTTTTCTTTCTGGTAGTTTTAAAGAATATCTATTTTTTCACATTCTGCAGTTTTATTCTGTGTTTAGTTGTGCGTTTATTTTTCTTTATATTGCTCAGAATTACCAACATTCTTCAGATATAAGAACTTTTCTTTGATTCTGCAAAGTTCTCAGTTATTTCTTCTTCAAATATTGCCTGTCTATTCCTTCCTTTTTTCTTCCAGAACTCCTACTAGACAGATTGTGTAGTTGCTTAACTGTTTTCAAAAATAATTATTTTATTTCTTTGTCTGTACTGCATTTTGGGTGAATTTCTCAGTACTACATTTCCTTTCACTAATTATGTATTTAACCATGTCCAGTTAAAAGTTTATTTGAGAAGAGAAAATGTATATCATATTCACTTTTTATAAACCCAGTCAAGCCTAGTTCAGTGCCCTTTATATAGAAATTCTATAATAAATATTTACTGGTTAAATACACACAGAAAACATCTTACTTTTTGTTTATAGATATATAACTTTATTAAAAACCAAATATCGGCCGGGCGAGGTGTCTCACACCTGTAATCCCAGCATTTTGGGAGGCCGAGGCGGGCGGATCACAAGGTCAGGAGATCGAGACCATCTTGGCTTACACGGTGAAACCCTGTCTCTACTAAAAATACAAAAAATTAGCCAGGCGTGGTGGCGGGCGCCTGTAGTCCCAGCTACTCACGAGGCTGAGGCAGGAGAATGGCGTGAACCCGGGAGGCGGAGCTTGCAGTGAGCCGAGATCGCGCCACTGCACTCCAGCCTGGGCGACAGAGCGAGACTCCGTCTCAAAAACAACAACAACAACAAAACAAATATCACATTTTCATATAACAAAAAGATACATATAAACAAATCTGCAACTTAAATTTTTAAGCAGCATATAGCAATATTCTGTCAATGCAAGCAGATTTAAAATTTTTATGCAAAGTTAGAATATTTTGTTGTGATTTGGCTTTAGGGGCATCTAGCCTTGTTCTTTCCTTGGGGAAATCTTTTGAGCTCTTCTAGCAGAACCCTTAGGAACATTCCAGCCAGCCCTAAATTTTGGATTGCTCTAGTATTTAATAATTTCCATTATTCATTTTATTATAATTTTATGGTGACGAGATTCTAGTCTAGTACAAGGTTAAGAATGTCTCTGTTTTGCTTTCAATGCTCTATTTGCTGGTGCTCAGCATTTTGTGTCATACAAAGCAGCACATAGAAAGATGGAGGCAGTCTGCTTTCTAAGCAAGCCACCCTCCTTTTATTATAGTTAAAAAAAAGAAACTCCCCCCTTCACTCATACCTAAAGGAGCTCTCCCTCAATTTCTTTCAGCTGTAATCAATCTGAGCTCAGGGTTTTCAAAGTACACAAGGAAAGATGCTAGAATCCTTTAAACATGTAAGGATGTTGGATCACTTGACACAACCAGTTAAACCAGTAAGATCCCATAAAATGGTTATAGCTGGTGGAGTCTAATGATCAGAAAGGGCCACAAGCTGATTTGTGTAACAGCTTCCCAAGATGTGCCCAACTCTCAACAATATTGTGTCTTCTCTGCAGAGAAATGGAATATTTATCAATTCTTTAATTGCAGCCTTGACTATTGGTGGGCAACAACTCTTCTCCTCTTCTACATTCAGCTGTCCTTGTCAGGTTGGAAAAAATTTCTATTATGGTTCTGCTTTTCTTGTCATTCCTGCCTTGATCCTTCTCGTTGCTGGCTTTGCTCTGAGAAGCCAAATGTGGACAATTACCGGTGAATACTGCTGCAGCTGTGCCCCTCCATACAGGAGAATCAGCCCCCTAGAGTGCAAGCTGGCTTGCCTTAGGTTCTTCAGCATCACTGGGAGGGCAGTTATTGCTCCTTTAACTTGGCTGGCGGTGACCCTGCTGACAGGCACGTATTATGAATGTGCAGCAAGTGAATTTGCATCTGTGGACCATTACCCAATGTTTGATAATGTCAGTGCCAGCAAACGAGAAGAGATCCTGGCTGGGTTTCCATGTTGCAGATCAGCTCCTTCTGACGTGATCCTAGTAAGAGATGAAATAGCTCTTCTGCACAGATACCAGTCACAGGTAAGTTTTTAGAATTTTTTTCCCTCTGCTATGTTATCCTATAGAACTACAGTCAATGGAAACATTTCAGATTCCTACTGCTTCTTATATTCTCTGATTATAGAACACAATACTAGATGCTGTTCATCAAAGTGAGTTCTACTGAGCAAATATATATAGTTAGGATGTTGGGCTTTGGAGTCAGCAGAACTGAGTTTTAGTCTTGCTTTGCCACTTATTAACCTGCAAAACCTTGAGTAAAATGGGGATATTCATGGCACCTACCACATGGGGCTGCTGTGGGGAATACATTACCAATATATCTGGAGTGTTTAATATGATTTCTAGAATCTATATTAAGAACAATAGATTTTAGATGTTATGAATATTATTATTGCTATATTAGTAAATCCCATTTTCTGTATATATATATTCTTAAATATGCATTCTTATATATTACTATCTCATCTAAAATTATAAGAAGCTTAATTATGATGAAAAATAACTCCAGTTATGATTCTAAATTTGGTGTCTATGGATAGGTTTATGTCAGAAAGTGAGGTGGGGTGGGAAGAAAGCCTGAACCCTACTACATTTATAGGTTGAATTTTAAAAGTGCTATTGTGCATTTTGTCAGTAGAAAGAGTGACACTGCTGTCATCAATTTCTCCAAGGGATCTGAGGAAAAAACACATTTTGAAATCATCATCATATAGTAAAAACATGGCTTTTTAAAACTACTTATTGCAAAGGCGTGCATATTTTTTGACTGGTAACCTTAGAGTTATTACATTTCAGAAATGCTAAAGTTATTTCGTTGGGAAAAGCTACTATCAAGACACAGAATATCAAGTTATTGCAATATGGCCCAGTTTTTAAAAAGTTAGAAATACCATTAGATATGCTCTGTCTTAACTTTTTTAATACTAGCCCTAATGCTCAGAGGAGCTATGTAAAAATATGTGAAAATTCAAAAAATCAATAGAAAAATTATAACTTAAAATAATTTTCTTGCTTAAGAAAAGCTAAAATGTAACACACATTGGTAAGATTTTCTTAAAGTCAAAACAAAATGTGTTATTAAACGCATACACAGATTTCTGTGAAAAGACAGTTTTACAGTTCTGAGTACCATTGCCAGTAGATTGTTTGGTTTTGTGACAACAAAGCTTACATTTATTGATGTACTTATCACATACTGTATAAATATTTCATATCTTAATTTAGTCCTGATAATATTGAGAGACTGATATTACTACCCCATTTTACAGATAAGTAAATCAAAGCTCAAAAAGTTTATGTAACTTGTATAATTCAGGGCTAATAAACTGGATCAAGATATCCCAAGATCATGCTATTTCCATTTCACTAGGCCATCTTCTGTGACTGTCTCAGTCACATTTCAAGAATATACATTATTTTTCAGTTAGATTTTTGTGAATTGACCACAAAATCACCTTGAATTCAAATCTTTTCTTTGCCCATGCCCTATTCTAAAATATCTTCCTCACATTAACTTCACTCCATGTCAATCTGCCTTCTAGATATATGCCAAAAATATCTTTCTAAGTGCAAATTGAATGATGAGATCCCTTCCCTACTGCATATAAAGCCCTTCAGTGATTTTCTACTAGCCTAAGAACAAACCCACTTTCTTGGCATAACATGCAAGGCTTCAACATCTGGCCCTTGACCACTTTTACATGACTCCTATGAGCATGTGAGTCCAAATGTGTTGAGGTTCTGCCAACTATTCATGCTATTTTCCTTTACCTTCTTAGAACTCTCTTTACCTTCTTGCATTTGATGAACTTCTTTTTAATAATTTAGGCTTTTGCATTATCTCCTCTGGGAAGTATTCCCTGATAATCCTTTCCCTTAAGTGAGTTCATTCCATTGTGCTTCCTCGGGTGCTCTGATTACTCATATCAAAAACTATCCCATTGTACCATATTTCTTGGATTGCTCATTTGTCTCCTTTTTTAGGCTTAAAAATTATAGAGAAAATGAATGCATCTTTAATTATTCACATCTGAGTTCCCCATAACCAAGCACATGTATTACACATGGGGGAAGGTCAACCTGGAGCTCAGTAAATGATTGTTTATAGGTTAATGGGCATCTGAGATGGCTTTTCCTCCGCCATGCTGGCCTCTGTTTAGTTAAATGGTAATAAATACCACTTTGTAGGTTTTAGCCTCCGTAGAGTACAACTATCCCACTGTGCACACACTGGAAACTTCAGGCCTGTTGGTAAATCACAAGATGCAGAAGAGGCCTTCACTACCCAAGCTGTGGCTGCATACTGCTAGCGTCCCTAAATATGTGGAACTTACCTCTCTCACTTTACATAAGAAGTGCAAAATATTGAAAACAGTAAAATGAAAAGAAAAAAAGGATTCTAAGAATAGAAAACAGCCATTTGATTCAATCTTTAAAAGCCGACACTAAATAGTCTCAAAAACTAGTTCATTTTCCTTTTAAAGTATGTTTCAAAGACACATAATGAGACTGGTCAGCAAATGATTATTTGAGGACAAGGGAAATGAAAAGGAAAACAATATGTTACTACATGGCACAGTGACTATGCTATTCATTTATTTTTAATCTTTTTTTTTTTTTTTTTTTGAGATGGAGTCTCTCTCTGTCACCTGAGCATTATTATGGCATGATCTGGGTTCAGCGCAACTTCTGCCTTCTGGGTTCAAGAAGTTCTCGTGCCTCAGCCTCCCGAGTAGCTAGAATTACAGGCATGTGCCACCATGCCCGACTAATTTTTGTATTTTTAGTAGAAATAGGGTTTCACCATGTTGGCCAGGCTATTCTCAAACTCCTGGCCTCAAGTGATCCGCCTGCCTGACCTCCCAAAGTACTGAGATTACAAGTATGAGCCACCACACCCAGCCAACTATGCTATTTATAATACATTTAGAAACATGAGTCTCTTCACTGACTTGCTTTTTAGCTGCAAAAGATAAGAGGAAAGTGCAATTCAGGAAAAAATATCAGTGAACACCTGTTGGTACATCATTGAAAATGCCTTAGAAGGTTACTATTATTATGTATCATATCATTTTCATCACCATCATTATCAAATACTTATTAAACACCCAAAGAATGCATAGGCCTATAACTGATAGTTGAGAAGTAAGGTTGAACTAAAAGCAAAGAAAGGTATGTATCATATGTAAGGTTAATTGGTGGGTTATAGCATCTGTCACTTCAAGGACAGTACTTAGAATCCATTCCAAGTTAACTGGTCAAATTTCTTTGTAACTCAAAAACGAAGTTGAAATGGCTGGGCCTATGCCCTCCATCAGACCTATTTCCAAATCATATCATTAGCACGTTGTTGATATACTAAAGATGGGAAAAGCAAATTTTATGTCCATATTTTAGTTCTTAGGTTTGTAGGAATCCCCCCTCCCATGGCTGTTGCTTGAATATTTGATGCATTGATACTTCCTGTTTTTCTTTTTAATAATGATGTGAAGATGCTGGGTTGGATTTTGATCACCTTGGCAACCATTGCTGCCTTAGTCTCCTGCTGTGTGGCAAAGTGCTGCTCTCCCCTCACCTCTCTGCAACATTGCTACTGGACCAGCCACCTCCAGAATGAGAGAGAACTCTTTGAACAAGCAGCAGAGCAGCACTCTCGGCTCCTCATGATGCATCGCATAAAGAAGCTATTTGGCTTCATTCCCGGGAGTGAAGACGTCAAACACATCCGCATTCCTTCTTGTCAGGACTGGAAAGATATTTCAGTACCCACTCTTTTATGCATGGGTGATGACTTGCAAGGTCACTATAGCTTCCTTGGAAATAGGGTGGATGAGGATAATGAGGAAGACAGATCAAGAGGTATTGAATTAAAACCTTGATTACAGCACCTTTCATGAGTCAGGTTGCTTAGCAGATACTTGGCTTTTATGGCTTTTATGATCAGGCCATTTCAATGTAATCTCTTCATCTTTTTCTTTCTCTCTGATATTTGTTTACGTAAGTCCATCTCAAATATTATTTCTAAAATCAATCTATTAGATAATTGTGCCAATCTCTCATTTTGAAATTTTGCCAATGGTCTGGTAATGCCTAGAGTGGAATGTGAAGTCACATGGAAATTTGCATCTTAGTTCTGTTACTTAGTAGCTGTGTGAAAATTAATATTTCTGAGTGCCATTTTGTCATCTGCACATTGTAGCTACCTCCTAGAGCTATTATGAGAATTAAACATGATAATACAAAGTGTTTAGCACAGTGTCTTTCATAAAAATAGATGCTAATGAATGTTACTTTCTCTCTTTCTCTTTTGCATTCCATGTCTTCTATTCACCATTTTCCCTGCCTCTATTTTCTGGTTTTATCAGTTTCTACCTTTATATAATGTCCAGAACTTTTCACAGCCTCCCCCTCTTTCTTCAGACCTAAATATCTGACCTTTTGGGAAGCAGGACAGAAACCTCTTTCTAATCCAGTAACATGTGAGGGAGAAGCCCATGCAGGAAGCTCTTGAGTTACTGTACTATAACCTGGGGACAATGATATATTATTTATCATTATTAGTATCATGTTATTTGTAGCACCTCCATACTAGGAGCATTTTTATGGCCACTACATATAAAGTTTCTTCTAGAAAGCTTCTCCACTGTGCTCTACTCCAGAGATACCATTTGTACCTTTTCATTACCAAATTGCACCTTTGCACTCAAAATCCATTTGTGAAACCAAAACTGCAGTCTGTACTTGTATATCCATTATCTGTAACTACAAAAGAGGATAATTCCTGCTTGGTGTTGCTCTGCCTGGCTTTACTAAATGCAGCCTACAGTATCTGGACAATTTTCTAATTTATCTAGATTATTTCTGTGATATATAGTGACTCGTGCCTGATTTTTGCTACGTTCACTGAAGCAACTTGCTCATTAGCAAAAATAAGTTGTCTGAGGGCATTCTGTCTATTTATTTCTTCAGTCAAAACAATGCTTACTGGACAGTGGACCAACTGCCAATAGTCAATCCAATTTTCAAGATTCACTTTCAAGGAGACCAAGGAACTTGACTATACTATCTAAAATGCAATCAATTACTTGGTAATCTACTTTTACACAATTATGGAAGGTTTTATTTTCTATAAAGTTCTGGGTCCTTGAACTTAATAGGAAGAAGCAGAAAATGAATTTTTAAGAAATCAAAATGTTTTCAGGTTTTGTTTTGTCCTTCAATAAGAGACTGCATATTGTAGCTCTTTGCTGGGACAGGAGAACTGTCCTGCCCTCACCATTACTCATCTGTCATTTGACCTTGGACAAATCAGTCCATCTCTCTGGACCCTGGATTTTTTTCATCTATACAATAAAAGGGATGATAATATTTTACCTCTTGGAAGAAAATAACTGAACTAAATAACTGCTTAAGGTCTCTTTTACATCAAGTACGATTTTTATGTTTATGTTTATATATATATACAGGTCAATATGCATACATCTTTCTGAAATGGTAGTAGACCCACGTTGCTTCTCTTGGAAGGAAAATGTCCCCAACTCTGAATCTGAGCTTTCTCTGAAAACATTTACTGGCATTCCACTTTTAAAAGAATGTTAATGTACTGATCTTTTTCAAGTCATCAAGGAAAGCCATTCCAGTTTGTCTACTAACTCTACACTCAGTACTGATATGACATTACATGAAGGATGTTAAAAATACAAATAGAAGTATGTTGTGGAAGGCAACTAGGGTTCTAGTTCCACACTGATACAAATGAACTGTGTAAATATGGAATGTCACATCCATTTTGTTCCCTAAGGTCTGCTCCAGTTCTAAAATTCTGTTCCTATATAACTGATAATTTTTTATATTCTTCTGTATTGGAACATACTAGTTAAATGAACACTTTCAACCATGCTCAGAATTAGTTTATTAGTTGTCAGGAACTATACCACAGTAAAGACTCTTCAATAAGATTTTCGGTTAACAACAAAATCAAAGAATATTTGAAGTTATAGCATTACATCATCAGAAAGAAGATTAATAGTTGTTTATACCCTAATACCAGGAAACTATTTCCACTAGCTTCTGAAGCCCTTCTACATCAAACTCTTTTAGTGTATGATGTAAAAATTTTATATTTTGAGCCAGTTAATCATGATCTTCCCCTATAACTTTCTGGCAAAGGATTCTAAGTATTCGTTGGCTCTTCTACATGGCTTCAGAATGATTTATAGCATCTATGTGAACATTTAAAAGGTAGTACACACCCCTGGGATTTCATCTTACAGTACATTATCTATCTCAGATCAAATAAATGGAATTTTTAGTATTTTGGGGGGGGGGGGGGCTATGGTCTATAGCATTTTTTTGCTCCACAGCTAGTTAAATGAAACTTTTTCATTAAGAACATGGTACTCCCTCCCCTTTATGCTTAATGGATTTATGTAATTATAAAACATATAATTAAAGTCAATTATGTGCTAATACTACTTTATATTTTGCTACCAAATGCTTTTGGCTACCACATCAAACCCTGGAGCTTGACATATATAAACCTGCTCCTTTCTTAATTTCATTAGCTCCTCCACGGTCCCATCATGACCTAAGTTGCCACCTTCCCAGGAGACAAATACAAACCAATGTGTAAATGTGTTTTACTCAGCTTTCTTTATGTTTTCCAAAGCTGAATTGTAGAACCGCATTTATACTCTGTCCTTCTCTGTGTCTCTTTTCTCTGTTCTCAGTCTTCCATTCATTTTTTGTAGAAATTCTAATGCATGATTGTAATAAACAACAGTGAGATTTTGCTAGTTGTTTTCTTGCATTTGGTTTGTATCACAAAGGGACATCACATTAATCCTATAAAAGTTTGAAGTATCATGGCCAACCAAAGGCCTTCTGAATGCAAGACTAGGTAGATATTTGCTATCTTGAAAACATAAGGTGTGGAGATACAACTTTAACTTCTAAATAGAGTCTACAGAAATTTAGTACCAGTCAATAAAGAACAGATACTGGCAGGCTGAAGAGCGTAGACTGCTACGCAACTGGCTTCTTGAGCTGGGGGGCGTAAATCCATAAATGTGACGTCTGGACCGAAGAGCAATAAATGGTATTTCCAGAGAGGCAAACTGTAGTATTCCTGACCTGATTATTTTTCTGCAGTAACAACCAAGTATGATTAAGCTTCTGTAATTTCAGTATACCAGAACTTCAGGAACAAAACAAAACGCATGGATTTCAAGTATGGTTTCCTCTGCTGCCACCCAGTGGTCAAAACAGGTGTCTGCACCCATCTGTGGTGACAGTAGTAGTAGCAAAAACAAGTAGTGCTCTCTGTATGCCAGTAACTTTTAACAAATTATCCTAGTTACACCTTTGGACACGTGACAAATAGTCACCCATTAGAAAGTAACTTGCTGAAATGATATTAAATAACATTAATTCTTTATTAATTCATTGAGTAACTGAGATACAGAGAAGTAATTGAGATACAGAGAAATCAAGCAATGTGCCAAGGGTCACGTAAGGGTTGAAGCCAGAATCCACCCCTGGACCCTGCACTCTGCAGCACTGTGCTGGAATACAGCAATGAGGTACGTTATCAATCTTCCAAGGCCTTGTAGGTGTTAGGAGGATATCCCTAATACTTCTGTCGATGAATAACTGAAACATCCTGGGCTCTGACCGTGTGTTGCCATATCACGTAAGTCGCTCTCTTTCCACCTAAATCATACCTGCATACATCAGGGCCCACTTTCAAGGCACTATGCTTCTTAGCAAAGTGACCTGTCCACTCTCACTGGGGCATAACATTGGACCTGATCTCCCCAACAGCCAGTGGCACTGATTCTATTAGCCGCAGACTAACAACAAACCTGCTCTGGAGTATCAGGTATTCTCTTTCTCATGCATGGCATGGGCATGGCACTACTGTAATCTGTCCATTTATTTTCAGTAGGCCATAGTTATGAAGTGTCAAAACAGGGATCAGGAAAACACCATCTCCTATCATTTATGTTGTCTTGCACAAGCCAGCCTCTCTGGGACTTCAATTTTCCCCTCCACGAGAAAGGAGAGGGTGGTTAAATTGCAAAGGTGGTTGATTAAACCATTTTGAATCACAGACCCCTTTGACGAGCCATTCTGGGGAAGCTGTTCTGAGGACATATCCAGTACATACACATAGACACCAGCTCACATACCTCAGAGTTCTCAATACCGTGGTAGGCTAAATAATGGCTCCCTGAGGATGTCCATATGCTTATCCCTGGAACCTGTGAATGTGACTCAATATGGCAAAAGAGACTTTGCAGATAGATCAAGGTAAGGATTTTGAGATGTGAAGATATAATCCTGGATTTTCTAGGTGGGCCCAATGTAATCACAAGGGTGCTTATAAAAGGACTGTAGGAGGAATCCGAGTCAGAGAGAAGGCAAAGTGACAACAGAAAAGGAGTGTCAAAAAATGTCGGAGTTACGCAGCTTGAGAAAGACTCTATCAGCCATTGCTGGCTTTGAAGATAAGGGGGTCATGAGCTAAAGAATGTGGGCAGTCCCTAGAAACTGGAAAAAGCCAGGAAATGGACTCTCTCCAAGAGCCTCCAGAAGGAACACAGCTCTGCTGACACTTTGCTTTTAGCCTGCTCAGAGCTGTGTCTGACCTGTGCCAGAAAAGTAGTAACTACATACTGTTCTTTTAGTTACAGAACTATAAAATAATACATTTGCAGTGTTTTAAACACTAAATTTGTGGTAATTTGTTACAGTGGCAATAGGAAGCTAATATACAAGCCAATACACTTCAGGAGCTTATGAGCCCACAAGCCTGTTGAATGAGACTCCCTGGATTAAGACCTCTAGGTCATTTCTAACACAAGCATCCTGATTCTATATGTGCTGACACTCTGCCTTGGGCAAAACTGTTGCTCCTGGAAAACAAATATATCTATAATATAATATTTTATGAATAAAATACAATGTGCTCTAATATTTTACAGTGTGCTAAAGTGCAGAAAGAGCTGAATATAAACTTCATAGGCATTTGTGGATGTTTTACCTTAAGCTGCAAATAAACATTTAAATATATTTTTCTTCTGTAGTTGTCAGTTAGTGGCATCAACAGAACTATTTACTATAAATTATTTCATAATGTAGACATATGCTAGCATTTCAAATGTGAGAAAGCAAATGTGAAAGCACAATCAATCAATCTCTGGATCTACATGGTGTTTTATTGATTGCACAAATTTCATAAGTCGATAATAGGTGACCTATTATTGATAAGTTTATGCCTGCCGTCATTCTTTCATGTTGAAATAACTTGAATTTGGAAAAGCTGCCTACAAAATAAGCATCTTTAGTCCAATGATGATTTAATAGATCCTATGCTGTCCTGTGAGACAGGTTTATATTTCATGGGGAAGATAATGCAAAAAGCAAAATTCATCCAAGTTATTACTGGCAGAGCTAGAATAATAATTTAATATGCGATTCAGTACTGCGCGCCATCAGGGAGCCTGATGTTTTGAGCTCCTTCTAGGAAATTGTCTGGGGCTCATTGGCATGGGGTGCCCTGAGCCAGACCAGACTGCGGGGACCCGTTTCTTCCCTTCCCCACATCCCTACACTCTTCGACCCTCTTCCCACAGCATGGCATGCCGGGGTGTTCTAGCTGGAAGTGCCAGCTCCCACCTGCAGCCCTGGAGCCGGCGAGGTGGTGGCAGCAGCAGGTCCTTTCCTTGGTGTGCCGCTGCACTGGGCCCAGGGTGGTCTCCACTGTGTGCCGCGGATCAGGCTGTCCTCTGGGGTGGTGTGTCTACTACCAGTTCTCTGATGGCTTTTGAGGGGCCTTACAGATTGCTGTCCCTTTCTGGCTTCAGATCAGTGTTGTGAATCTGTGCTCTCTTGGGCTGGTCAAGGACATTCCCTGCACTGGAATGGAACTGCTTATCTGGCACCACCCTTAGGACCTTCTCCCTTCTTCCCACTTGGTGGCCAAGTGTAGAAGGTGCGGTGCAGCGACATTAAAAGAGACATCGTTTTAGGAATGCAGTGATTATGGCCTAAGGCATTCAAGAAAAGACATAGTTGGAAGATGTGTAGTAAATTTAACTGACTGGAAAATAACCATTCCCATTTTCCTGCATACTTTGGGTAAAATTTCCATTTGTGGTCATCAATAAAGAACATTCTTTGAGAAAGACTTTGGAAGCCAGTATTCAGGAGCAGCAGGATGAATGACGCAGCTTAACGAGTAATGATGTGACCAGCATTACAAAAAAAGGTATTGGGATACTGCAGAGGCAAGAAGAACGATTTTGTTTTGCTAGAAATG
This sequence comes from Homo sapiens, assembly GCF_000001405.40. Taxonomy (NCBI): domain Eukaryota; kingdom Metazoa; phylum Chordata; class Mammalia; order Primates; family Hominidae; genus Homo; species Homo sapiens. Next base: position 116,564,655 of record NC_000006.12, read on the forward strand.
ACAGTGAGCCACGGGATTGTGTGTAGAAGCACTGCTTTTTTTTTTTTTTTTTTTTTGTTCTTCTAAATCATGGTGAGAGATATGAAATTAGACAGTAGTGCATTTGACAATAAAGAACATGAAGAGATGGCTCTTCTTCCTGAATAGAAAGAGATGGTGCCTGGACACTATAGAGAATCTTCAGACAAACTGATTAAACAAAAAGAAATGTATATGTATTGTCACAGGCTCCTTCAGGTGCTGCTTTACCAGCTGGAAACCTCTGTGGCCAGTGGTACCTCTACTTGAGTTTTGCTTGTTCCTGCTGGACTCGTTCAGCCCACTTGGCCCAGCAGGCCGTGCTCGCTTGTGCTACCGGCCCAGATCCTATGCCTGCGGAGAGTGAACCAGGCGCGGAGCGGCAAGGCGTGTGTGAGCGAGCAAGTACGGGGTCCGGCCACTGTACACAGCAAGCATGCCGGCTGCTGCAGCGGGGTGGGTAGCTGCCGCAGCGGGGCGGGTAGCTCCTGGCACCGTCACCGAGCGAGACTGCGGCGGGACCAGGCATACCGCAAGCAGCTTCCACTGTAGACACGAGTGTCTGGACGAGGGGAACGCGGTGGCACCCAAAAACTCAGAGATTCCAGGAACCACAGAGCTCCAAAGAGGGTGTTACAATGTGTCACAGCCCTGGCTCAGGGAGCCCCGAGGTCTGTGCTTCCAGAATGGCCACAGCTCTTCTCTCCCTCTTGTCATCTGCAGTGTGGGCAGCGGGGATGGGGGCCATGTTTGAGGGAGTGTATTTCAGCCCCTTGGTGGTATAGGTCTTTCAGTCTCAACACCCCGCTCTGGCCTGGCCCTGCGGCTGCTTTCGGTCATATGGGGCAGCCGCCCTGCACTAGCAGAGGGTGGGAGGACTATAGTGTTAAAGCTCTGGCTTGGGGACTCCCAAGATCTAGGTCCCCAGAAGGGTTGCCACTCTTCCTTCCTGCAGTCTGGGAGCATATCACCGCCCACAGCTCAGCAAGCAGGCCAGGAACATGTCACAGCCCCTTTAGCTCCCGCCTGCAGTTCAGCAAACCGGCCAGAAAAGTGTTACAGCTCCTTTTGCTCCCGCTGTTCGGCAGGTCCTGAGTTCTTGTCCTTCGTCCAGAAAGAATGAGGTTATGCAGAAAACTGGAAGGTAAGCAAGGCAGAGAAGAGCTTTATTGGGTGACCGAACTGCGCCCAGCGAAGAGGACACCCAAAGTGTGCAGCTACCAACTGCAGGCAGGTAGTTGCCATGAGTGTCTAAGCCGGCCTCAGTCCAGCGGCTTTTATGGGCTCAGAATGCAGGAAGACCATGCTGATCGGTCCATGGACAGGAGGAAATGCATGCTGATTGGCCCATGGGTGAGCCACTTAATTGGTCCAAAGGTATCAAGGAAAATCTCACTCCAGGTTAGGGACTTCACCTGGAACTGGTAGCCCAGCCCCTAGGCTTCAGGCTGTCCTTGGCTTGAAGATGGAGTTTCACTGGGGACTTGCCCCTTCCCACCTAGGAACCTATCTACCTCCAGCTGCCATCAGTAATTTTCTATTATTTATTCCAAATCTTCATCAATAAGTCATTATATCTTACAAGGGCCCATGAGTTTTAAAAATACATTTGTAAATACAATTAAATAAGATTGTTTATAGAGACAGGGACTGCACAATAAAATTTTGCCACCAAGACACTACTTACCTTAGGGGTAACCCCAACTCAACCCTTCACTGTATTTCCTTGAAGGAAGCCAGAGAATTGATGACTTACATTTAAATTTTTCATTTTAACTGTTTTCTTTCTATACATTTAAAGTCATTTCTATTGCATTTCACTAACCCTATCTTCTATACCTCTTTTGCTCCTTTGTTTTCTTCTCCCCATGCCTCAATCCTTTTCACATCCAAAGCAAAGGTAGGGGTTTGTGGAGAGTGGTGAAGAGGGAGAGGAAAAGAGGGAGGAAGAGGAGGAAAGTCAAAGAACATCAAAATGGTTATTACTAGGGTAAGAGGAAAGGAACATGTACAAACTTTATTTCTTGTCTTCCCACCTTATACTTTGTTCTTACATGCAAGGCAATGCTGGAAGTGTAGCTCACTTAGACCTAGCGTTGTCTCTGCTTTGTTGTTGCCCAGAATTGAGGCCCCTATCTGTTATATGGTTCAAGAACATTAGCATCAAGGCTGTTAGAAGAAAAACAACTCCATGCATAAATACTACTTGTATGAGTTCGTTTTCACACTGCTATAAAAAAACTACCTGAGACTGGGTAATTCATAAATAGGTTTAATTGACTCACAGTTCTGCATGGCTTGGGAGGCTTCAGGAAACTTACAATCATGGCAGGAGACAAAGGGGAAGCAAGGCACGTATTACATGGTGGCAAGAGAGACAGTGGTGAGGGGTGGAGGAAGTGCCACACTTTTAATCCATCAGATGTTGTTAGAACTATCATGAGAACAGCAAGGGGATTTTCACCCCCATGATTCAATCATCTCCCACCAGACCCTTCCCCTGGCACATGGGGATTACAATTCAAGATGAGATTTGGGTGGGGACTCAGAGCCAAACCATATCACTACTCCTTTAGCCATGCCACCTTGGGGCAGAGAAGTTAACTGCTAACTTTGAAATCTATACAAAATTGACTCCAATATAAATATGATCTTGAGGAATCATAGGCTCTTACATTTGCAGAGAATCTCAGAGATCGTTTTACCCAACTCTTTCATTTTATAGATGGGGAAGCTTAGATCCAGAGAGATTGTTTCTTACCCAAATTAATATGACAAAGTCATTGTAAAGACCTATAACCTAGCCTTATAATCCCCTGGTCCAGTGTTTTTAGAATTGTACCATGTTACCAGTCTTTTGGATTCATTCATTCACTCAGAGAGTTAATATTTTCTGAGTGCCTAGTCTGTTTAGGTACTGCCTTATGTGCCAAAATACAACAGTAAACAAAATTTCTACCCTCATGGAACTTACATTCTACTACAGGGAGAAAGAGTATAAACATAATAAATAAATAGTGTAATTTTAAAGAAGCATGGGAAAAATGAGTTAAAGGGGATAGGTAGTGCTAGGAGTGGTTGTAATTTTAAGTAGGGTGGTCGAGTTGGGGTAACCCCATTTAGAAAGTGACCTTTGAGGAAAGACTTGAAGGAAGGGAGGAGGTGACACATATGGGTATGGGAGGAACGGCATTCCAGAGGGAACAGCAAGTGCAAAGACCTTACGAGGAAATCCTGCCTTGCATGCTTGAGGAACAGCAAAGAGGCTAGTATGGCTGGAGTAGTGGAGTAGAATAAGAAGAGAGACCTGAGTGAGCACACTCAGCCCCCTCGCCATGTGATGGCCTGTGCTACCTCAGTACTCTGCAGAGTCCCCACATGCAAGAAGGTCTCACCAAATGTCCCCCATGACCTTGGAATTCCAATACTCCAGAACTGTAGGAAATAAAATTACCCAGTTTCAGGTATTCTGTTATAAGCTTAGTCCAGAAAACAGACTAAGGCAGAGAAAGAAGAGCTGTGAGGGTGAGGATCAAGAAGCCAGATTCTCTAGGACCTATACTATAAACACATGGTTTTAATCTGAGATGAGGATGGGGCAGTTATGAGCAAAGGAGTGATATGGACTGGTTTACATTGTAACAGAACCACTCTGGCTTCTGTGTTGACTCACAGTAGACTGCAGGCCAGGGAAGTGAGTTAGGCTGGAAAGTATTACTGAGATTCACTACCCTTGAAGATATTTCTGTTCAGAGTACACAAAATTAAAATTTTATATGGCTCTTTGTGCTTGTGACTGGTAAAGTCTTTGAGATACCTGAGTAAATGAAACATTAGCCACATGAACTGTTCGATAATTAAAATTAAGCATGAAATAGGGAATTCTCAACACTGAGCTTCTGAGAGTAGTGTGATTGCCTAGAAAACTCACAGGCACAGAAAAGTAAAAATAAACATCAAAATAATTTTTAAAGGCTGATAGCATTAGTAAACAGCAACTGCTAATATGCACTACCTGCAGAAGAAACTAAGAAGAATACAAATAAGATGAATCTCTTAGGGACAATTTCATTAGCAATAAAGATGAACAGAGAATAGCAATGCTTTACAAGATGGTATATGAATTTAATTACCAGTAAATAATATTTATATGGAGTTTACACAACATGCTTACACATTATTTCATGTCATCTGAATTATAAGCTTATGTATCTTGCAAATGACTAAGCCTGGGCTTCTCACTTCTGGTTCCAGATCCTATGATGGCTGTAATAGTCAGTTCTCACCCTGCTATGAAGGAATAACTGAGACTGGATAATTTATAAAGGAAAGAGTTTTAATTGACTCATAGTTCTGCATGAATGAGAAGGCCTCAGGAAACGTACAATCATGGCAGAAGAGGAAGCAAACACATCCTTTTTTTCACATGGCTGCAGGAAGAAGAATGAGTGCCCAGCGAAGAAGGAAGACCCTTATAAAACCATCAGATCTCATAAGAACTAACTATCACAAGGACAGGATGGGAAAAATCGGCCCTGTGATTCAATTATCTCCACCTGGTCCCTCCCAGGACACGTGGGGATTATGGGAACTACAATTCAAGATGACATTTGGGTGGGGACACAGCCAAACCATATCAGTGACTCACACCATTTGCCTACCTGCAGAGCTTAAAACACTTGGTCTGTAACATCTCTACCTACCGATTAAAAATGAAACACTAAAAGAAAGTCAATTTGCCTCATGAGAATTTTCCACAATTTCAGTTAAGGGACTTGCTGTGCTGTGTTAAGCATGTGTTATGGTCAAAATGAAATTAGAGATCCACTAAAAAATGCTTAATAATGCTTATGTAGGTGTGACAAAGATTTGCGGAAGTGTTTTCTTGATTACAAGAGCCATCTCCAGTATCAAAGTAACACTCTTGAGCATTCTGAAGCATGTAGGGTTTATTTACAGTGATACATAAGGTTTGAAAAGGATGCTTTACCAAAAATTTTGTTAATGAAATAGGAATGAAAATAAAGAGGTACATTTACTGGATTGCAACTGGCAACCAAAAGTAACCTTTTTCTAACGTAAACCTTGTATGTTTGTTGCTTTGCTGCATCTCATTTCTTTTGGTAGGTTGTTTTTATTATTCTGTTAGGAGAAAAAAACTTAATTTTGCTTGATTTTCTTTCATCTAGGAGTCATTTAAAGATGTAATGCCACCTTCCTTGCCAAATTTGATTCTGTCTTCCTCACTTATTTTGGTCAACAGAACTTCGTCTTTCCAGTTCTTCCAGCCAAAAATCATCCTTGACTCCCCACTTAGGACTTAATGCACTAGCTGTTTCCTCTGGCAGCTCTTTCCTCATAATAAATCAGTATAATTCCTCTGAACTGAGGCGATCCAAAAAAAATGAGCAACTTATACTTGCAAAGTTACTTTATGTATTTTATTTGATTGTCATCATAGTTAGGAGACTCCACTTTTTCATTAAAGTTTAAAAGAACGCCTGAAATCAACCCTTAATACCGTAAACACGGAATCAGTATCAAAGTGTTCCTCTGCTATAGGTAAGCAGCACTCCTCAATAAAAGATCAAGGTGCCTTCTGGTGCTTCAGGGGCTTCATCATTAGGAATCTTTCATTTAAAAAGTGTTCCTCCCACTATACCAGTGAAACCAGCTTTAATACAGAGAAATCAAAACAAAGAAAAATACAGAAAAGTGGGCAACAGCTTTTGAGTATTTTCTTAAAATTTTCCATTTTTCGACTTAGCGCAATAATATAATAAAGGAACATGGGATCCTTTATTATTGTTACCATAGTTTTTAATATCATTTTCATAAAGCTAACCATGTTTATTTAGCCATTTTCTTAGCTTTTGCCATCATGGTTCTTTGAAAATTTTCTTTGTAATTGCTGCAATGATTTTGGAGATCACAGATGCATGCTACTTGCTCAAGTTTATTCTTGGAAGTCGTATTACCAAATTAAAGGTTCTCAACATTTCTCGGGGTACTGCAATTTTTACATTGCATATGATAATTGTTATTACTGAGATCTACATTCCTTTCATCAATTCACAAATACACAATCACAGACATCTTGAGATCTATCATACGTCCAGCTGCGTTCATTTCACAAAATCAGAAGTTAAGCCTAAAGATCTGAACCGAGAAGCCGGACCTCCGGTCTATTTCTCCCTCCTGGATCCACCCCGACTTATTAAGCAGTTAGACCGACCCTTCCATACTCATTCAAGGCAGTGCAGAGCTTTTGCTCCCCTGCCCAGTGGAATCTACACTGGTCCCAGCCTCTCGTCCAACTCCCGTAGGACGCCAAGCAATACGGAGTTCGAGAAGCTCAGAAATCTCCTGAGCCCCACCAGTCCACACTAGGTTGCAAGCCCGCAGCACCTACGCCACGGCGTCAAACCGGAAACCAGAAAAGGTGAAGGCATCGGACGCCCCTCGCCCCAGCCCGGCCACCAGCGACACTATCCTTCACTGACGCGCGATGCCGGCCTTTCAGCCCAGACTCATCGAGCGAGGATGCAGCGCTGAGAGGCTTCTAAGGCTCAGGCCCTGCAAAGCCCAGGAGCCGGCTGTAGGTGTCCTTGGCGAATGCCAGACCGCGCGCACCGTCCCAGCAAGTCCCGAGCGAGTGTGGGACAGGCAGCAAATCAGTGCCCCCTGGCCAGGCAGAACGAGTCGAACGTGGAAGTAGGGAGCAGGCGGAGGCCGGCGCGGAGCTGCAGTTAAGCAAGCCGGGTCTGGCTTTGGGCCCTGGGCCTTCCAGCCGGGGACTCTGCGCCTGCGCCCGCCTGGCCGCCGCCCGCTCTCCCGGCGCGGCAGCTGTCTGGGCTGCTGCGCGCCGCCTAGGTGTCTGGGCGATCTATGGGCAAGAGCAAGGGCCACGATGACAGATTACGGCGAGGAGCAGCGCAACGAGCTGGAGGCCCTGGAGTCCATCTACCCTGACTCCTTCACAGGTGACTCCCGCGGCCGCAAGCCTGTAGCCGCCCCGAGGTGGAGTAGGACGGGCAGGAGCTGCCGCAGCTCTGGGCCTCATAGGTTGGGGTGGAGAAGGGGACCTTGAGGCCGCGCGGCCACCTTGCCCTCCACTCCTCAAGTTCTTCAGTCACTTACCAGCAACCCAGTGACTTTTTCTCCTTCTCTGCTTGTTCCCGGAAATCTAAAAGTCCGGGTGATGTTGGAGGGTGTCAGGCCTGAAAATTGAGTCGGGATTACTTTGGTTTCTGTGTAACCTACAGCAACCTGAGATTTATAATACATTAAGAGAAAAAATACTCCAAGTGCGATTCGTTTTTCCACAGCCGCAAGAATGTTAGTTTTCACATTTTTAGCTTTATTAAGGTAGAAACTGTTTTTCATACGATGCTGTTTTAGTTTATAGGATTCAGAGTGCTGTTTTCAGTTACTCAAATCGGTTTTGAGAGTAGCATAGTCCCTGAAGTCTGTCGGGTTTCTTTTCTTATGAAAAAAAAAAAAATCTGGCATTCAGCAGAATGCCTAATGGATAATGTGGCCCAAATTTCCGTTCTGCTATAAATTCATAGGTTGTTAGATTGGAAGGGAGATTAAACATCATCTATCCTGGGGCTCCTGCTCCAAGCCAAGGTCATGGGGGTTCAGGAAAGCTAAGTGGCTTGCTCTGTACTGTCCGCCAGCGAGTTAGCGGCAGGGCTGGTACTGAGTTATACGTCCAGAACGCTTGCCTGTTCTTTCACTTTCCAGACATATGGGACTTGGGATTCAGCTCCAGCTGAGATTGAGAGAGCAGAAGATTACTTGGTAGGTTGGGCTAATGTAAAATATTATAATGAGAAGTTCATTAGGTATAATTTAGAGGACGAGATTTCTCTATTAAGCCATGCTTCGGATGATTATAAAAATGCTACATAACTATATCAATATGGCTCCTCTGAGATTTGAGAAGCGGTCAAATAAAGCCAATATGAGTGAGTAGAACCTAGGTGTGTGCATTTACATTCCCCATCCTTTCCTTTGAGTGTTGCCTATCGTTGATAGTCAGAATTTATAGTGTAAGGTATATTACTTTAACTTATAAATTCCAACCCCTCTCCCTTTCATTGTTTAGCTTAGTTTTCTTGGCTTCACCTTTTGACCACTGCTTGCAATGGTAGCAAATTTTGTTCTGCTTTGCCAACAGGCAGATGTCTCTCAGCTATCCCTGTATAGCTCCAGTCCTGTTCATGTTCTCTCTCACCAGCAGTACATCTGTGCTGTGAGGATGTTAAGGGGATGAGTGAAGAGGGGTTTGAGAGTGTCATTAACTGGGTGAGTGTGTATGGAGTCTGGCTCCCTTCTCTATCCTTGCTTATATGTGTATGTCTAAAATAGAATATAGGGTCAGTTGTTGGATATATTCTTAATCATGTTTGGTCATTTCCAGTACTTTGGAAACATACTAGGTATGAACACTGTAGGCAGAGTCAAGACAGCAGGATGTGCTATTCTTTTCATTTCTTTGGACATAAGCTATCCCTCGCTAAATCCTATGCATATAAGCATTTATAAAACTGATATCTTTTTTTGTTTTTAACCCTGAAATAATCTTGTGGGTATTTCAAATTGTACTAGGCCCTGACAGCTCTGGTATAGTTCGCTATGTGAAATTCTTATCAGATGCCCAAGTGCTTGAGGATTCTGAGCCAGGGTAATAAAAGACAATTTATGAATCTTTTGATGCATTCAGGTATTCTGCATTATCAGATGAGCCATCTGTCTCTAACTCCTGTCAACATTTCTACAAGCTTTGCAATAAATAAATTAAAATGAGGTGTCTTTATTTATAGTTCTTAGGGAACTTTGCCTTCCTAGTGATCATGTTCTTTATGAAAACTCTTGGGGAAAAGGCAGAGGACTTTGAAATAAAATGTTTCCATGTTTGATCTTTTAAAATCTTGGAGATTTGCAAGATTTTCTGTTTTATAGCCTTCTTTTGTATTTATGATTCCATACTTTTGTATTCTCATGCCAGGTTTAAGAAAGAGATCTTGCTTGTGTCGGTTGGCCAAGGAACACTAAATGGGAGTTTTGTAACTTCATTTTGAATCACATTTAATTATTGAATTTGGTTAATGCTCAATACTATTAATGAAGGAAATAGATATACTTTTTTTTTTTAATGGATGACTGAGTGCTTGACAAAGAAGCATTTGTTAAGTACACGTGACCCCATGTGGATGCTGAAGAGACACAGTCCAGCCTATAGACCTAGGCACATAGATTTAGCCTAACCTCAGAATTAATTGCTTTGACTATTTGCAAAGAAGTTTTGGTCCAGTGTTGCATTTGTTGTGATTATAACAAATCATAATACAATTTCTTCTTTTTGCCTATTCTGTAGCTTGATTGCACATTGATCCAACCCTCCTAACAACTAGTCTTCCAAAATATAAATGGACTCTCCTGATACCACATTCTCCTTCAGTAGTGCTTCACTTGACAAGGTCCTGCTAAGGTAGTAGAATTTGGTTATTTCAATTTATGTATTGAAATCTCTGGCTGTGGGGAGTTTTATTGAAACGCATTTGTTGGCATCAGGTTAACCAAAAGCCAAGTTTCCTTAATTCTGTTTGCCTTACAAAGAGGAGTACATAATCCTGTATTTCTTTGTCAGTACCTCTAAGCAGCAGCCATTCACATTTGACAGTTATAATTGTATCTTGAGATAGGTAAGAAGTCGTCCTGTAAAAGCAGTTTGTTCTAAGTCATACTTTTTGAAAGGTCAGACACTCCCTAACAACCAGAGGTACTTATTTTAATATGGGCTCTCTCGTATTTTGTGGAAACTAAAGGTAATTTGTGTATCTCTTAATGTACCTTTTAGCTGCTACCTCTATTATCCCTGTTTTTGACAAATCTTTAATTCTGTCACTTTCACCACCATCTGTCCCCTAACATCTCTCCTGCCCTTCCTCTGTGGCCAACAACTTACTTTCTTTCTTTCTTTCTTTCTCTCTCTCTCTCTTCCTTCCTTCCTTCCTTTTCTTTCTTTCTTTTTTTCTTTCTCTCTCCTTCCTTCCTTCCTTCCACCTCCCCTCCCCTTCCCTCCCCTCCCCTCCCCTTCCCTTTTTTGAGACAAGGTCTCACTCTGTCACCCAGGCTGGAGTGCAGTGCCCCAATCAGCTCACTGGAACCATGGACCTCTTTACTCAAGTGATCTTCCCACCTCAGCCTCCAGAGTAGCTGGGATTACAGGCTCGCAGTACCATGCCTGGCTAATTTTTTCATTTTTTATAACAGCAGAGGTCTTGCTTTGTTGCCCAGGTTAGTCTCAAACTCTTGGCCTCAAGCGAGTCTCCTGCCTCCAACTCCCAAAGTGCTGGGGTTATAGGCGTGAGCCATTGCACCTGGCCCAGCTTTACTCTTTTTCTCAAAAAAATTTTTTTTTGAGAGAGAGTCTCCCTTTGTTGCCCAGGCTAAAGTACAGTGGCACCATCTTGGGTCACTGCAACCACCACCTCCCAGGTTCAAGCAATTCTCCTGCCTCACCTTCCCAAGTAGTTGGGATTACAGGGTGTGCCACCATGCCTGGCTAATTTTTGTATTTTTGGTAGAGACTGGGGTCTCACTATGTTCCCAGGCTGGTCTTGAACTCCTGGCCTCAAGTGATCCACCCACTTCGGCCTCCCAAAGTGCTAGGATTATAAGCGTGAGTCACCATGCCTGGCCCTCAAAAGTATTTTGAATTACTTACAGTGGTGGAAGTCTGGCATCCTTAGTGAAGACTAATCTTTCTTCTACTTACCCTAACTCACAGTAATGCATGGTAATGGGATTAGTCCTTTATCAGAACTTAGGAATTATCTATTTTTGTGAATCCAATTAAGTAACTTTCCCATCCCTATTTTAGTTACTGCCCAACTTTGAAATATCCCTTTTTCTGTTTTTAAAAAATACTTATTTTAATAGGATTAGGTTCATCTGTGACAGAAAACCCCCAATAACATTGGTTTTTAAAAAGGTAAAAACTTATTTTGCTCTTGCACATATAAGAGAGTTGTGGCAGCTCTATTTCAAGAATTCCTCAGGGACACATCTTCTAATGTAGCTCTCTGTCATCCCTAAGATGTAGTCTTACACTCGTGGCCAAGATGGTGACATTCCATTTCCAGGAAGCAGGATGAATAAAGGAAGGAAGAAGAACAGAGAAGTAAGAGATGGCAGTTTCTTAAGGAAATTTCCTGGAAACTGTCAGAGGGCATATCTACTTCCATCTTTTTAGTGGGAACTTAGTCATTTGGTGAGAGCTAGCTGGAAATGAAACTGGGAAATGTAATCTTTATTCTGGTAGTCAGTATGCTCAGTTAAAAATGGCATAACTTTAAGAGTGGATATTGGGAGACTTTTAGCAGTACTTCCCAAAATCTTTTTTCTTTGCCGTACTTGCTTCACGTTTTTTTCTCTATAGTGGCAACTTTATGTAGTGTCCTTGGACAAATCACTTAGCCTCTCCAAGCATTAGTCTCTGTATCTGTTTAATGAGAAATAATGTAAGTGAAAATACCTTATACCTTATAATTGTAAAACAAACATATGATACTCTTTACTAGAAATACCATCTTAGTTGTTGATTTTTCCACTAATATGGCTTCATAATTTCTTGTCTCTTTCAACTAATGATTTTGATTTCCACTTTTTTTTAGCTGCACATGGGCGTTGCCACACCTTGAAAATGCCATCTCTAACATTTTGGCCTCTGAAAATTACTCCTTCCCATAACCTTTGTACCCTGTAGTTCTTTTGTTCCCATGCTTGTATTGAACATGCGTCTCATGATTTCTCATGGATTGATAGTTCATCAGTTTCTTTCTGGTCCATTTTCCTCCCTGTTCTATCTGGCTCCCCAGGTCCGGTAGTTCACTGATATTCTTGCTGACATTCCCATATCTTTTGGTTTCCTCATTTACCAAATAGTTACTATATGCATTTTTTTAGGATCTCAGCTTGGGGAAACAGACATCAGATAAATTTAGGGAGAGGGGATGGTCTGAGTTGTTTCAGAAAATTTAGGAGTAATGACAAGTTAACAAGTAAATGAGACTAGGGAAAGGGTATTCCAGCCTGGGACCCACATATGCAGAAACAGGACTCTGAGGGATCAGAATATGTTCAAAGGACAAGTGATTTGGGTATTGCTAGAACATGAAGTGAGAAGTGAGAGTCATGGAAAATGAGACTTGACCAGTAAGCAGGGACCACATCACAGAGGGCCTTGTCAGGGACTTAGATGTGATCTGACAGGGCAATAGTTCATTGCCCACTTTATTCCCACACAGACAATATAGTGCATATTGTAGACACTGCCACATCAGACTCAGATTCTAATAGGTAGGGTGGCTTCACAAATAAAATAGACTTTGAGTTACACATATTTTTTAGTGTGTTATTTGTGATTCTACCCCTTTCTCAGAACTCATTCCAACACACTTTATATGGATAGGGAACTGCTGCTGTAAGCAGGTAACAATGTGATAAAATCTGCTTGCTAGGAAACTGACAAGAGACAGTGGGCAGGATGGGGTAGAATGAGGAGAATAATTCTTCATATGCTCTTGAAACTCACTTCCCTTGATTTTCATAACACTGTTATCTCTTGAGTTTGTTATTATTCCTCTTACTTTGTTTTCCAAATTGAGAATTCCTTAAAAAGCTTATGTTGGCTTTTATTCTCTGTGTTACATTTCTGATGATCTCATTTAGTCTAATGGCTTTAGCTATCACCTCTGTCTAGATGATCCCAAATTGAATTAAAGCCCAGCTCTCTTTGCCACCATTCGCCCATTTCTGATTGCATGTTCAACACTTCTAACTGAAAGTCCTAAAGTGTCCTTAAAATATATCATGTCTGATTTTTTTGTTACTACTCATTTTTGTTAGTGGCATCACATTCTCAGCCTGCAGCCTGCCAACTTAAAATATCATCATCACCATTTCCTGCTATTCCCATTGCTGCCGACCTAGTTCAGGACCTTATTACCTTTGCCTGGATGATTGCAATAGTGACCTAGTTTCATACTGCCTGTAGTCGTCTCCCTCCTTTCATTTTATGTGCTGTTGTTAGATTTGTCTTCCTATGTTTTGAGAACAATTCTGATCATATTATTGCTAAAAAAAAGATTGTGCGCAACTAAACTTTCAACTGTATTTTCACCTAGTTTTCTTCGCTCACATATAAGTTCAGCAAATGGAATAATTTCTTATTCCCTATATATATCTTTAGCTTTGCCACCATTATGCCCTTGCTTCCATGGTGCCTCAAGTGCATTTCCCTTCTCCATGTCTGCTTGCCAATGTGCCACCCATGATTGACAGCCTAGCTCAAATGACTTTCTTGGAATTTCTCAGCTGGAAATATGTTTTCTTTTTAAATGATGCTCTATATAGTTTATTCTGTTTGTTCAGTTACTACCTGATAACCTTGGACAAATTATTTAAAAGCTCTCTATCTCAGTTTCCACATCTGTAAAATTGGGGTGATAGTATATTTAATAGTTTTTAAGACATATTTTACACTTAACATCTCTGAATTCTTATGAACTTTTCTTATAATCAGTTACATGTCGGTTTAGTTGGCAGCTTATTTTTCTTTCTTAGTGGTATGTAAAGCATATCTCATACTTGATGGCATTGAAAATTTAGTGAATTATAGTATAAATCATGGTCTTGTGCCAGAAGTACAGGATTTTCATGTTAATGCATAGCATAGCACAAGCACAAAGTGATGCTCAGTAAATGTTACCTGTTGTAATTGAGTATTGGTTACCCCTGACCTATAGCCTCAGGGAGTCATAGAAAGTGGTAATAAGTTGGAATGTCATTGGGCTGATCCCTTATTTCTATAGTTGCAGTGTTTACATTTCATGACTTGTAAATGTTAAAGTTGGTCATGAAAGGAAATAAGAATGAAATACATCAACTATATTTTACATATATTTGTAAAATATAGACAAGCCCAACCATATTATGGCTCTATTATAATAACCTTTTGGTGGGCTGAAACTTTTTTCAGCATGGGCTGGACTACCCAAAACCTATTAAAATATGAATCTACTGAGTCTTTTATCTAACACTTTTCTAGTAATCACAGGTGTTCATCATTTCTTAAAGTACCTTAAATTCAATTAAAATGAAGACATCTATCTTGAAAATAATTGGTTTTTGGGGTTTTCTTTTTTTTGAGACAGAGTCCTGCTCTGTCGTCCAGGCTGGAGTGCAGTGGCGCAATCTTGGCTCACTGCAACCTCTGCCTCCCAGGTTCAAGTGATTCTTGTGCCTCAGCCTCTGGAGTAGCTGGGATTACAGGCATGCGCCACCACGCCTGGCTATTTTTTGTGTTTTTAGTAGTGATGAGGTTTCACCATGTTGGCCAGGCTGGTCTCGAACTCCTGGCTTCAAGTGATCCGCCCGCCTTGGCCTCCCAAAGTGCTGGGACTACAGGCATGAGCCACTGTGCCCGGCCAGAAAATACTGTTGATAATATATATTTATGATGGCTTTAGAAAGTTCCCAGGTAGGAAAAGTTGAATAGTTCCCATGATTACTTCTTCAGTAATCCATTGCTCTTTCATTCTGAAAAAGTCTGCAGAGCTGCTGCCAACCTTGACAAGTACCAGTGCTTCCTGGACAGGGAGTGAGGCATAGGCTTTTCTCATAGGCTTAGCAGCCATCCCTGGTAGCTTGAAGTTTCCTTGTTTACTTTTCAAATGGTTCTGAGTACAAGTTTTCTTTGTTACTGTTTTTCCTCCTTTCATTCTATTCATTTAGTTCTTGTTTTATTGGGGCAATATTAATTGAGTTTCTAGATACTGCCAGATACTGATCTAGGAGCTCTCATAGAGTTGTTATAGCATTCTTGTTGAGGAATAGATGATAAACAGAGATGAGTATTAGATAGACATAGGCTATAAAATGACATACAAAGCTTTGTTATTTATATAAATGTTGATTTATGTGTCTTGTCTTGCTTAGTAAATTACATGCAATCTGATGTTTACATTCATAGCTAATTCATTTTATAATTCTATGAAAGATGGTAGAGGCTTAGTAAGCATATGTGAAAGAAAGTTTGGTTTTAGAGATGATGTGGTAGAGAATGACAGCAAGAAGACATAAACTTTAACAAATCGGTATTTACTGTTTGTCATGGAGATTCTGAGTTATATCTCACAATATATAAGTATAAAAATCAGTGAAACATGAGTATCAGTGGGTAGTTTCAGGTGAGAAACATGAAACTCTTTGCCATTATTTTTGGGATTTTTTAAGAATGTAATTTTCCATGTATAGGTGGAGATTTTAAAATAAACGGTAAACTACCTCATTTTTTCAGTTGACTTGGTAAAACTCCAAGAGGGTTATCTACCATAGTTATTTCTTTCCAGATTAAAGACAACCCTCCATTTAAATAGAAAGTTGATGGTAATTTTATCATTTCAGTGTTCTGTTCAGTCTGTATTTGTGGAAATGGAAATATAGCCTAGGGACCAGTTTCTAGGACTGGGTACTGATAATTTGCTAATAAGGAAAAGCATCTGCCTTAGAAAGCATTTCAATAACTTCTGTGTGTATTTTCTTGCAGTATTATCAGAAAATCCACCCAGCTTCACCATTACTGTGACGTCTGAGGCTGGAGAAAATGATGAAAGTAAGTCTTATAAAAAATACTTGTGGTTTTTCTAAATTTCTCAGGAATTTCACTCATTCTGTAGGCATTATGCTGGATATTGTCATGTGGAGGTGCTAAGGGGCTGTTACGAATCTGCTATGAATGTTGTATATTTCTAGTCAGAATTTACTGTGTGAACATGACTTCTAGGGAAATAGAGAGGAAATTAATGAAATATAGTCTGGCACAATAAGCTTAGTTTTTAAAAGTGAAATAGTAATATTAATAATACAGCAGATGAAAAAAGGTAGGAAACTTTTGTTTTGTTCAAAGCAATACTTCACGTGCAAACATATTTCAGTGGTTGTGTGGTTCCTTTGAGTGACTATTATTTTTTCATGGCTGTTTTTCTCTTTGAACATTTAGATTGTTCACTGGACATTTGGTGTTATAAATGGGGCTGGATATATGTCTGTCTGCATGTTTCTGTCTCTTTCTTTTGAAATAACGTAACTATAAAAACCAATAAATTAAAGTTAAATAAATTAAATTTGGAGATGTTTGGGGGAATGGTATCTGAAGTTTATTTCTACTTTTAGTCACGTTAGTTGATATGGTAATTTGATAAAAAGGTTATGTAAATTGGAACTAACAACCCTACACATTTTTTTACCCCCTTTGAAGCTAGTAAACCT
The DNA here is from genome assembly GCF_000001405.40 of Homo sapiens. NCBI lineage: Eukaryota > Metazoa > Chordata > Mammalia > Primates > Hominidae > Homo > Homo sapiens. Next base: position 116,581,017 of record NC_000006.12, read on the forward strand.
AAATTCTGCCAGGAGCAGTCATTAATAGCCAACTTTTATGGTATTACTTGATAACTCCAAATCTGTCTAGTATACTTGAAAATGAGGTTTGCATTCACACATTATTGAAATCTGACTTAAAAGGATATTGAATACATTTATTTACTACCAAATTGATAACCAATATACTTTTGCAGATTGGTATCTAAAAATTTTTCTGTAATGCTTTAAAGCATGAAATAAATACTATACTGACTGTTCTTCAAACCATTTAAAATTTTCCTTTGTAAATAAGCCAGTGGCATGATTTGGGCTTCATATGATGCCATTATGGGTTCCAAAATGGTGTGGTGATGCTCATTGATAAATAATCCAAATAAAATTTTCTTTAAGATTACGCTGAAATGAAAAATAAAATATAAAAATTTCTTGTGAGAGCTCCCATATTCTGAATAATAGCTTTATTAGGAGCTAGTAATAGCTCTATGAAATAGGTGTACTCAGTGCATTATCCACCATACTTTCAAAATTATTTCTTTGAAACTAAATCCTGCATTGTACTTTTTTTTCCCCAAAAACTCCTTTTTAGTGAACAAACTAGTAGAAAAGTGGGCAAAGGGCATTGATATACAATTTCTAAAGGTAGTATTAAAAGAACGATCTCACAGGTAATTAAAAATGCAAGCTAAAATAATATATCCAGCAAATTATTAGTATTGGAAGATAGCATTATGCTGTTTGGAATATGAATCGAAACACATGTTCAGGAGAACTATTGGAATCATGAAGCAGGAGACTTTGAAAATGTTCATATTCTTTGATACAATGACTACTGTATTTATGGGTATCTATTCTAAGCACAGTATCATAATACAAAATAATACATGCAAGGATGTTTATAATGTCATTGTTTCTATCTTAACTAATAAACAGTGACATACTTATAAAGTGGAAGTATGGTTGTATTGAATAAAGACTTGGAAGTATTCTCATGTTATTTTTGAGATTTTATATTTATATATGAATATGTACATTTTAAGCAAAATTTTATCCATCTATACATAAAATTTTGTTTAAAATGTAAATATATGCAGATAAAAATAATGTAGTTTTATGAAATATTTTTAAGATACTTAAAATATACCAAAATGGAAATAGCGATCTCTTCCTGATAATGGGATTATTTGTTATTTTATTTTTCCATTATTTTATTCCTAAATTTTCTCTACTGAATGCCTTTTACTTATAGTAGAATCAGTTTTTTTTTTTTTTAAACTTAGTTATTTAAATGGTTAAATGCATTTTAATATACCTGCATGGTGAAAATCAATTTGCAATTATTTACACTAAGTGTTAAAGAATATTCTCAGGATATAATGCACATGAAGCAAATCCAGTATAAAGCTCTATTCATAGAAAAGAGGAAGAAACTAATTTGCCACAATGATAAACTTTATTTTTTTAATTTACTTTTTAATTTTTTTGGTAAGAACATTTAATATCTAATCTCTTGGCAGTTTTTAAGTATACAGTACATTATTCTTAGCTGTAGTAATAATGCACTACAATAGATCTGAAGTTATTCATCCTGTCTTAAACCTTTTATCCTGTAACTGATATCTCCCCATCCCTGATATCAGTTATAAAATATCTTCTTTCATGTATGATTTTATTCATTTTCGTCTTCTCCCTTTTTTCTAGTCTAGCTGTTTCGTTAGACCTTTTCTATTGTTTTTCTGATGTATTTCATTTATTTCTGCTCTGATCTTTATTATTTTCTTCCTTGTGCTGATTTTACACCCAGTTTTTTCTTTTTCTAGTTCCTTGAGGGGCATGTTAAATTGTTTCTTCAGATCTTTATTTTTATTTGATTGTAGGCATTTATTGCTATTAACTTTCCTCTTAGAACAGCTTTTGCTTCAACCCATAAGTTTTGGTATGATGTGTTTCCATTTTCTTTTTTTTTTTTTTTAATTTTTAAAATTTTAAATATTTTTTAGAGACAAGGATCTTACTCTGTTGCCCAGGCTAGAGTTCCATGGTGCTATCTTAGCTCACTGCAGCCTCCAACTCCTGGGCTCAAGCAGTTCTCCCACCTCAGCCTCCCAGATAGCAAGGACTACAGGCACATGCTACCACTCCCAGCTCAATTTTTCAACTTTTTGTAGAGATGGGGTCTCACTCTTGCCCAGGCTGGTCTTGAACTTCTGACTTCAAATGATCCTTCTACCTTGGCTGTCCAAAGTACTGAGATTACAGGCATAAACCCCAGCGCCTGGCCATGTTCCATTTTCCTTTGTCTCAAGATATTTTTAAAGTTCCCTTTAAGTTTCTTCTTTAATGCATTGATTGTTTAAAGTCTGGGAGGTAGTAGGAATGGTGAGATGCTGGCCAAAGGGTACAAAGGTTCAGTTATACAAGATGAAATAAGTTTGGGGATCTAATGCACAACATAGTGACTATAATTAATTATAGATAATACTGTATTGTATACTTGAAATTTACTGAAAGAGGTGATCTTAAGTGTTCTCACCACATACACACACACACACACACAAATCATAATGATATGAGGTGATGTTAATTAGCTTGGTTCTGATAATCATTTCACAATATATATGTATATCAAAACATCACATTGTACACCTTAAATATATACAATTTTTATTTGTCAAGTATACCTTAAGAAAGCTGGGGGGAAGAAATAAAATGGAAAAAAAAATCTTGTTCCACCAATAAAACTAAAAATGTGCTAATAAAAGAAGAAAGGAAAATGCCAGAAGATACTGTTTCTTACTGACCTCTAACACTTAATCTTTTGCAATTTTTGGTTCATAAAATTCCTTGTTAATATCATAACATGAAAAATAAAATATCAAACCTGCAAATTTTAAAGTGCTTTTTTTCCCCGTCCATGAAGAGCAGTATAAATTTGTATTGCTTCATCAAAATCAGATTTTAATAATATAAAATGTGAGTTACACAAAAGATGGCACTCTGGGAAAAAGGTCATTGTGAGTAATAAAAAGTCTTAACAGAAAATGTTTAGCACTACTGCTTAGTTGCAGACTGCCTGGTGGAATTGAGAACTCAATGGCCTGTGCTGCAGAGAGGCACCTTGCACTGACACGCCCATAAGAGTTTTACTTCCGTACAAGTGTGAGATCCGTAAATTGACACAGACTAAAAGAGTGAGTGAGAATATATAGATGAATTAGGTTAAAAGTTTCCCATATAACCTTTTATACTCTCGAGGTCTAAACGGTGCCATCCAGCCACTAATTAGCCCTGCTGACATTGTGTGGATTCAAATATAGATTCGAGGGCTATAGCCAGATCTTCTGCAGGTAGGAACTGGCTCTGGTAGAGGCTGAAAATGAGCATACGGTAGTCTTTTTAAAAATATGTTGTATTCAGTGCCTTTGTTTATCTTAGGAAAGGTTTTTAAAAAGTGACGTTTATCCACCCTCTTTCTCAGACATGCAGTCTGGTAAAATACCAATAAGTGGTAAATGTGCTTCACGTGTAAGTGTGATTTTTGGTATTCCCATGATTTGTTTCATGTATCTCTTTGTGATATGTGTTGTTTACATTAGTGATTATCCATCTGGTCTCTTAATAACCTTTTTCTTTGTAGGAAAATCTATTGTGCTACTTTCTACTGATTCAGCAAAGATATCTACCTCTTTACTTTTAAGGTATTCACATCAAACTCTTATCTTGTGTCTTAGCTGTCCAGACTACCCTCAAGTTTACATACAGTGAAAAATACCCAGATGAAGCTCCCCTTTATGAAATATTCTCCCAGGAAAATCTAGAAGATAATGATGTCTCAGACATTTTAAAATTACTAGCATTACAGGTAAGGAAATAATAATTTTATGTTTTGTAGCAGCATTTATTGGCCTTAAATATTACATATTAATTTCAAGAGTTAGAAAATGCTATTGTGTAAACAGAACATTGACCAAGTGGAATTCATGTTACATAATCACAGAGCATCTTTATTTTTGTTTCCTACTGTCCCTTTAAAATTTGAGTAATAGAATTTGTCCCAGTGCCCCTGCTTGAAACTCAGTCAGCCTCATGGCTTTTTCCCTCATGTCATTAGTGATAAAAAGTCCAACGGGTACTTTAAGTTGTAAACAGTGTTTTGATTTGGTTTTTAGAATGCCTAGTCCCATATGTAGCTACAATTTTCAACTTTTTAAAAAAATTAAAACTTCTTCCCTCTCTGACTTTTACATGCTAGTTGCCTGCAGTCTGGGAAAAGGACTGGTAATTGATTTTTTTTCTCCCATCTCTCATCCTCCCAAAGCTTACAGACAACAATAATGGCTTATGACCCCTCTATGAGGGGAGGCTTGTGTGGAAATAAAAATGGATATTAAAAAAAGTTTTTACTGGATTAATTTTATTGTGGGATAGGCTACCTGTAATCTGGGCTTGGCAGGTATTTAAAATATACTCATGCTTGGGTAGACAGTTTTCATGGGGTTCTTCAGAGTAGAGAGTAGGGAGGGGGGTAAAATTCTTACTCCACCATCTTAAAGTCAGAAGTCCTACCTTTATTTGTTTACTCTAAGAAGAATTGACAGAAAACATATCTCCACCTTATATGTGACTTACATATTCTAAAGATCAGTGGTCACCATAATGTTGATGTTATAGAAATATCTGGAGCTGTTGTACAATGAGGAGTGAAAGAAGATATATCAGATAGGAATTTTTGCTGATGTTGGGCCCTATTCACCTTGTTACCTTGCATGAAGTTATGCTAATTCTAACATCTTTTTTTATATATTTTTATTTTTTTTGAGACAGAGTCTTGCTCTGTCACCCAGGCTGGAGGGCAGTGACATGATCATGGCTCATGCAGCCTTGAACTCCTGGGCTCAAGTGATCCTTCTGCCTCAGCCTCCCAGAGTGCTGGGATTACAGGCATG